>NC_000005.10:172731020-173034051 GCF_000001405.40 Homo sapiens | reverse complement strand
AGGTTCCGCAGGCATGGCGAACTCTGCTCTGGGGCCAGGCTCCTGGGGAGCGGGCTCCTTGCATTGGTCTTGTACTGGAGGCTGCCCTGTAGCTTGCTCCCCGTTCTGGCTATCTCGAGTGTAGGTGACAAATGACACTTTTCTTTTTCTAGCAGCTTAAATTCAACACCATCTTTTTTTTTGTTTTGTTTTATTTTTGTTTTTTTCGGACACAGGGTCTTGCTCTGCCATCCAGGCTGGAGTGCAGTGGCGTGATCTCGGCTCACTGCAGTCTCAATCTCCTGAGCCCAAATGATCCTCCCATCTCAGCCTCCCAAGTAGCTGGAACTACAGGTGCACGCCAACACATTCGGCTAATTTTTATATTTTTTTGTAGAGACAGGGTTTCACCATGCTGCCCAGGTTGGGCTCTAACTCCTGGGCTCAAGCGTTGTGCCCATCCTCGCCTCCCAAAGTGCTGGGATTACAGGCATGAGCCATCATGCCCTAAACAGACTATATTTACAATGTACTAGGAAAACAACATCAGGCCAAGGAGTGGTAATTACCAGAGCTACTTGTTTCTTGTAGTAGTGTGAAAGCCTCATAATATCTTTCACTTAATCTAGGGATAATTTTCTGTTCTCTTCCTTAGGCCAGCAGAACAGCCTCTTTGTACAAGTATCAGTACCAGGCAGATTATAAATTTAGGCCAGGCGTGGTGGCTCACACCTGTAATCCCAGCACTTTGGGACGCCAAGGCGGGAAGATCACCTGAGGCCAGCCTGGGCAACATAGCGAGACTCTCTACAGCACGATGACACACACCAGTAGTCCCAGCTACTCCAGAAGCTGAGGTGGGAGGATCACTAGAGCTCAGGAGTTTGAGGTTACAGTGAGCTATGATCATGCCATTCTGCACCCCAGCCTAGGTGACAGAGCCTGACCCTGTCTCTAATCAATAAATAATATTTTTTTCAGACAGTCTCGCTCTCTCACCTGCCCTGGAGTGTAGTGGCCACAAACACAGCTCACTGCAGCCTCGACCTTCTGGACTCAAGCAATCTTCCTGCCTCAGCCTCCCAAGTAGCTGGGACTATAGGCCCACGCCATCATGCCCAGCTAATTTTTAAATTTTTCATAGAAATGGGGTCTTGCTATATTGCCCAGGCTGGTCTCAAACTCCTGGGCTCAGGTTTCCTCTTGCCTTGGCTTCCCAAAGTTCTGGGATTACAGGCATGAGCCATCACACCCAGCCAATAAAATAAATTTTATCTGAGAATACTGAAGTAGTGAATACATATGGTTTGTCTGTTAATTTTCCATGAAGAGCACACTGATTAGACTTCTTCATAGTACAGGCATTTTGTGACAAAGAAACAATCAAAAAAGGGAAAAATAAGCCTTCACTTTTGAAAAACCATATACAAATGGGGGATAGTTTTCACTCAAGATCAATGATACCAGTTTAAAATAAATGTAGGCCGGGCACAGTGGCTCACGTCTGTAATCCCAGCACTTTGGGAGGCCGAGGCAGGTGGATCACTTGAGGTCAGGAGTTCGAGATCAGCCTGGCCAGCATGGTAAAACCCCATCTCTACTAAAAATACAAAAAAATTAGCCAGCTGTAGTGGTGCATGCCTGTAGTCCCAGCTACCTGGGAGGCTAAGGCAAGGAGAATGGCTTGAACCCAGGAGGCGGAGGTTGCAGTGAGCTGAGATCACACCATTGGACTCCAGCCTGGGTGACAGAGCAAGACCCCATCTCAAAATAAATAAATAAATAAATAAATAAATAAATAAATAAATAAATAAATAAATAAAATAAAATAAAAGTAAATGTGCATTATGTTACATGGCAAAGGCATGCGGTTTGATTTTGGAATAAATTTTTATTTTTATTTATTTATTTATTCTTGAGACAGGGTCTTGCTCTGTCATCCAGGCTGGAGTAAATGCAGTGGCACCATCACCGCTCACTGCAACCACCACCTCCTGGGCTCAAGTTCCTTCCATCTCAGCCTCCCAAGTAGCTAGGACTACAGGCGTGTGCCACCATACCTGGCTGATTTTTGTATTTTTTGTTGTTGTTGTTGAGATGGGGTTTCACCATGTTACCCAGGCTGGTCTCAAAATTCTGGGCTTGAGCAATCTGCCCACCTCAGCCTCCCAAAGCGCTGGGATTACAGGTGTGAGCCACTGCACCCGGCTGATTTTGGAGTAAATTAAGGAAGCTTTTTTTTTTTTTTTTGAGGCAGAGTCTCGCTCTCTCGCCCAGGCTGGATGGAGTGCAGTGGCGCGATCTCCACTCACTGCAAGCCCTGCCTCCCAGGTTCACGCTATTCTCCTGCCTCAGCCTCCCGAGTAGCTGGGACTACAGGCGCCCGCCACTATACCTGGCTAATTTTTTGTATTTTTTAGTAGAGACGGAGTTTCATTGTGTTAGCCAGGGTGGTCTCAATCTCCTGACCTCGTGATCCGCGCGCCTTGGCCTCCCAAAGTGCTGGGATTACAGGCGTGAGCCACCTCGCCTGGCCAGGAAGCCTGTATTCTTATCATCTTTGATAAGAAATAGCTGACTGGGGGTGGGGCTGAAGAACTTAATCAAAGGGTCCATGTTCTCATTTTGCACGTCTCAAAAAAAAAAAAAAAAAGAGTCATAAGGTTACCATCAGATAAAACTGACAAAGGGTCGGATGCGGTGGCTCATGCCTGTAATCCCAGTACTTTGGGAGGCCATGGTGGGTGGATCACTTGAGGTCAGGAGTTCGAGAACAGCCTGGACAACATGATGTACCCCATCTCTACTAAAAAAAAAATACAAAAATTAGGCCGGGCACGGTGGCTCACGCCTGTAATCCCAGCACTTTGGGAAGCCGAGGCGGGCAGATCATGAGGTCAGGAGATCGAGACCATCCTGGCTAACACAGTGAAACCCCGTCTCAAATAAAAATACAAAAAATTAGCCAGGTATGGTGGCGGGCACCTGTAGTCCCAGCTACTTGGGAGCCTGAGGCAGGAGAATGGCATGAACCCGGGAGGCAGAGATTGCGGTGAGCGGAGATCGCACCACTGCACTCCAGTCTGGGCGACAGAGCAAGACTCCGTCTCAAATAAATAAATAAATAAATAAATAAATAAATAAATAAATACAAAAATTAGCCAAGCATGGTGGTGCATGCCTGTAGTCCCAGCTATACGGGAGGCTGAGGCAGGAGAATCACTTGAACCTGGGAGGTCAATGTTGCAATGAGCCAAGATTGCGCCACTGCACTCCAGTCTGGGTGACAGAGCGAGATTCCATCTCAAACAAACAAACAAACAAAAACCTGCCAATGGGCCAGGTGCAGTGGCTCACACCTGTAATCTCAGCACTCTGGGAGGCGGGGCGGATCACCTGAGATCAGGAGTTCAAGACCAGCCTGGCAAACATGGTGAAACCCCGTCTCTACTAAAAATACAAAAATTAGCCGGGTATGGTGGCACATTCCTGTAATCCCAGCTACTCGGGAGGCTGAGGCACGAGAATCACTTGAACCCAGGAGGCGGAGTTTGCAGTAAGCCAAGATCATGCCACTGTACTCCAGCCTGGGCAACAGAGTGAGACTCTGTTTCAAAAAAAAAAAAAAAAACAAAAAACTGACAATGAAGATAACATAAAAATATTAAGTCTAGAACCAAGAAATCTGTTCGGGGAAAAGTAAGTGAATATTCTTCTTAAACGATATATTAGGCTTAATTTTTATCTGTTTAAAAATTTTAGATAAATTTGCAAAATAATTCCTTCTTTACTATGATATGTAAGGCTATATATTGTAGGAGATTAAATACAAGGAGTTAAGCATGTATTTAACAATTCAAGGCAATGTACCAAATGAATGGCAAAAACTGGAGAGCTAAATATGTTCAGAAAGAAAAGAAATCACTTTGAAACAAAGTAGCCAAGGAAGGAAGTGCTAGGATTTGCCAGCTGGGCACTGAAAGAGAAAGCATCAGAAAGAATTAAGAGAGAATGGGTGAACTGAGGCAAGAAAGCAGAAGGAATTTTCACGGGAGAGTGTATTTACTAAGTTGTTTTCTAAATTAATGAATGTAATAGGGTAGTGAGAGTCAGGAAAAACCAAGTAAAGCTAATGAGGTCAAGAACAAGGGCCCACACCACTAGGGCCTGGAGGGGAAAGTAGTGAGAAGGAAGGCAGACTGGGGAGGGAAGGCCTTGACAGTCAAGTCAGAGCTGGACATGACCTGCAGGTTAGCCGTTCTTATCTGTTGTGGCTCATGGGACCGCTGGTGACCCGGCAAAAGTTGTGTGCTTATAACATTTTATATCGCATTTCAAGGGGCATGTACTCTCTACAATCAGAGACCTTAGGTTAAACAAAACAAAACAGAAAAGCAAAACAAAACAAAACAAAAAATCCTGCTGCAGGCCCCAGAGAACTACTGACAGTTTCTGAGGCAAGCTGATCTATTTCAGGAAGTGCTACACCAGGAAGATAAACAGGGTGGTATTCTGTAGATAGATGACGGTAGAGCCAGGGAGACCAGATGAGGAGCACCTGCCATAATTCAGAGCTGTAGTAAGTTGGGGCAGAAATCAGGGTGCCTGAAGGAGGAATGGAAAGGAAAGGCGGACACAAGAGACATAATGAGAGCAAATGGATTTGAGGAAGAGGAGAAAAAAGTGACGCGACAGGTTCTGACCCTGACAAGGAAAACTATGATATTGGGAACTGAAATGGAGACATGGCTGAACCTGAAATGGCAGCAGAATACCCAGCCAGAGTACTCGGAGTAAAAGATTTACTTTTTAACCACACGACACCTTGCACTATTGAACTTCTCCCAAGTATGGCTTAATTCAACACCCCAACAGATCACAAACCCCTTTGGAGCCCAGTCTTCCCCTACTTCAGTACTATACACCTCACAAGCACTCAAGTATTTTAGGAATGCATAGAAAAACAGCTCCCACAGGGCAGAGGCCTAATTATCAATATCCTCTATTTCTTTCCTGGCCCGGACTTTATAATAAAACAGCATTTCTATGCCTTCAGACTGTGGTCAACCATATCAGATCATCTACCAGGCAACAATGCCTTGCTAAACCAAGTAACTTCCAGGATGCTGGATCTGAAGCCGAAGCCACCCCTCCAAGGAGATTCCATGGTAGCAGCACACCCCACAAGGCTGTAGGAAAGTGAACATCAACAAAAACAGCAACCTTGACATTAGAGTCCCACATACATCTTAGGAAGTCACACTCAGGAATCTAAGGGAAGCAGACGAGGCTGGCAAAGCCAAGGATGGAGTGAGCACTGCTCTTAGGAGTACTGGACACGTTTATTTGCAGCCAATAAACATAACGTGCTGTAACTCAGCCTCTCATCAGGCTGTGGTTCGGTTCTTCAATTCAGGAAAGAAATCATGACAGTTACCTTGATTAAAGCAGCAAAAGATCGGCTATGTATTTAACGGTGTGTTCTTTGGATTGATTCCATTTCATCTATATAAAATTATTCTAAAGCTTTCATAACTGGTCCTCATTTTTCTCTGTTGAATACCATGTCTGGCTTACACCTACTTTCCAAATCTGGCCTCTTAAAAGGAATCATGTACTAAACCAAACATTTTTCCTTATCAGGTGAGGTCAGACCCAAATCTACCTTCTAAACTCCTTTATCATCTCACCATTAGGTAAAAGTTCAAAATTCAAAAGGTTAAACAAAACTCAATCCTTTGACTTTACCATCCAAAAAGTGAAGTCAGCCTGTCTTAAGTCTGTCTGTTCTAACGCTAGGCAGAGATTAGATCTCTTGATGTGTTAACTCCAAAGTCTTAGGTTACGATACCACTATAATTCTGTTAAATGCAGAATAGGCATGACACGATGTTCATAATTAGGGATCGCCCGGCTTGCCCTCCTACTTCCTGGCATTTTGCTTTTAAAAGAACCAACTTTAGTATAAGGGTTTCAAGGAGCCCGAGTGTGTGCTGTGGACCAGAGTGAAAACATGAGGAATCTGTCAATCCGGTTGACAGAGACATAAGAGTGAAAAGAATAAGCAGATAAAATGTCTTCAGATCCACCCACCCAGTGTTATTTAGTGTCAAAGGGCCCAATTCTCTCATTATCATGGAAGGAAATGAAACTCAGAGAAGTTAAGTGAAAAGCAATGCTGGAACTAGAACCAACTGAGGCCTGAAGTTCTCAGCTTTGAACCCCAATCAACAGCCTTACCTAACACTCACTACAGTTGAAATAAAGAGTAGAAAACAGAACTTGATGAAAAAGGCAGGTTAAAAAAAATTGGTATTATTGCCAGGCACATTGGCTCATGCCTGTAATCCCAGCACTTCGAGAAGCCAAGGTGGGAGGATCGCTTGAGGCCAGGAGATCAAGACCAGCTTGGGTAACAGAGTGAGACCCCCATCTATTAAAACAAAAACAAAAACAAAAACCCACACGTACGTATAAACATATATATAAAATATATATATTTAAGGGGAAATTAAATTGGCAAAATTCAGGTTGTGGCAAAACAGAAACTCATACACTATTTTTTTTTTTTGAGACGGAGTCTCTTTCTGTCACTCAGGCTGGAGTGCAGTGGCACGATCTCGGCTCACTGCAAGCTCTGCCTCCTGGGTTCACGCCATTCTCCTGCCTCAGCCTCCGGAGTAACTGGGACTACAGGCACCCGCCACCATGTCAGGCTCATTTTTTGTATTTTTTTTTTTTTTTTTTTTAGTAGAGACAGGGTTTCACCGTGTTAGCCAGGATGGTCTCGATCTCCTGATCTCGTGATCCACCCGCCTCGGCCTCCCAAAGTGCTGGGATTACAGGCGTGAGCCACCGTGCCCGGCTATTTTTTTTTTTTTTTTTTTTTTTTTTGAGACGGAGTCTCGCTGTGTCACCCAGGCTGGAGCGCAGTGGCACAATCTCTGCTAACTGCAAGCTCCGCCTCCCAGGTTCATGCCATTATCCTGCCCCAGCCTCCCGAGTAGCTGGGACTACAGGCGTCTGCCACCACGCCCAGCTAATTTTTTTGTATTTTTTTAGTAGAGATGGGGTTTCACTGCGTTAGCCAGGATGGTCTCGATCTCCTGACCTCGTGATCCGCCCGCCTCAGCCTCCCAAAGTGCTGGGATTACAGGCATGAGCCAACACGCTCGGCCACTCATATACTGTTGATGGGAATGCAAAACAGTATAATCTCTATGGAAGACAATGCAACAGTATCTAGAAAAATCATATATATCTTTAAACCAGAGATTGCATTTTCAAGGAGGCTACATTAAAGATCATCAGCAAAAACAGAAAATGGCATATGCATAGGATGGCACTGTGGCTTTATCAGTAATAGCAAAAGACTAGAAATAACCCAAAAGGATTATCAATGGCTATAAAGAGATGAGAAACATCTCTATACACCAGTATGCAGCAATCTCTAGCATATATTGTTCAGTGAATAAAACAAGGTACAGAATAGTATATGTAGCTGATATCTGTTCTGTAACAGCAGTGTGTATGTGTGTATATACATATGAATGAATATATGTATTTGCTTAATCTTTACAAAATATGAAACAGTGAAAGGATAGATTTCTCTGAATATATCTTGTTCATAATTTGACTTTGGAGATGTTTTATATATTCAAAAAACAGCAGCAAATAAAACAGAAAAAAATACAATAAATTGAACACAAACAACTTAGTCTAATTGTGTATCAAACTGGTGACGAAACTGCCAGGGGAAATAATAACAATAATTACAGGCCGGACATAGTGGCTCACACCTGTAATCCCATCACTTTGGGAGGCCAAAGTGGGTGGATCACTTGAGCCCAGGAGTTTGAGACCATCCTGGGCAACAAAGCGAAACACTGTCTCCATACAAAATTTAAAAATTTGCAAGGCATGGTGGCACATGCCTGCAGTCCTAGCTACTCAGGATGCTGAGGTGGGAGAATTGCTTGAGCCAGGAAGCGGAGGTTGCAGTGAGCTAACATCACACCACTGCACTCTAGCCTGACCAACAGTGAGACCCTGTCTCGAAAAAAAAAAAAATATTATTATTTGAGATGAGGTCTTGATATATTGCCGAGGCATGTCTCAAACTCTGGGCTCAAGAGATCCTTCTGCCTCACCGCACCAAACAGCTGGGATTATAGGCACATACCACTGTACCAGCTGTTATTCTAAGTGACCTCAGAAAACAGCACTTGATGAGCTCATATCTATTAGTTATACTGGTGTTATCTTGAAAGTATTTTGCCGGGCATGGAGGCCCACACCTGTAATCCCAGCACTTTAGGAGGCCAAGGCAGTTGGATCGCTTGAGCTCAGGAGTTTGAGACCAGCCTGGGCAACATGGTGAAACCCTGAGTCTCTACCAAAAATACAAAAAATTAGCCAGGCGTGGTGTCACGTGTCTACAGTCCCAGATAATCAGAAGGCTGAGGTAGGAGGATCACTTGAGCCCAGGAGGCAGAGGTTGTGGTGATGCACTCCAGCCTGGGTGACAGAGACCATGTCTCCAAAAAAAAAAAAAAAAAAAAAAAAAAAGTATTTTATATACATTGTAGAATAATAAAAGTTACTGTTATTAAGGAACAGTAATTTTCAGGCCAGGCATGGTGGCTCATACCTGTAATCCGAGCACTTTGGTAGGCCGAGACAGGCAGATCACTTGAGGTCAGGAGTTCGAGACCAGCCTGGCCAACATGGCGAAACCCTATCTCTACTAAAAACACAAAAATTAGCTGGGTGTGGTGGTGTGTGCCTATAGTCCCAGCTACTCAGGAGGTTTAGGCAGAATTACCTGAACCTGGGAGGTGGAGGTTTCAGTGAGCCAAGATACTGCCACTGCACTCCAGCCTTGGCAACAGAGCAGGACTCTGTCTTTAAAAAAAAAAAAAAAAAAAAAGAATGCCAGGCACAGTGGCTCACACCTGTAATCCTAGCACTTTGGGAGGCTGAGGTGGGTGGATCACGAGGTCAAGAGTTCGAGACCAGCCTGACCAACATGGTGAAACCCCGTCTCTACTAAAAACACAAAAATTAGCCAGGCGTGGTGGCGCACACCTGTAATCCCAGCTACTTGGGAGGCTGAGGCAGGAGAATCGCTTGAACCCAGGAGGCAGAGGTTGCAGTGAGCCCAGATCACGCCACCGCACTCCAGCCTGGCGTCAGAGCGAGATTCTGTCTCAAAAAAAAAAAAAAAGAAAAAAGAAAAAAATAAAATAAAATAAAAACTCTGTAATGTTATATTTGAAGAGAAAATACTAATGTAAACTTAAGATTATTTTTCATCTGAAAAATACATTACTTCCTGGTTCTTTCCATTGAAAAGGCTTAGAAGCAATTATGCTTAATTACCCCAGGCAGCAACAAACGCACCTAGCACTCCGATCGTGATTCTTAAATGCCATTTCCACTGAACAGAACCAGAGTCAAATGGGCCTGAGAACTGTTAGTAAACCAGACATCCTTTTAGTGGGGAATTCAGAAACCAATTCAAAGAACAGCTAAATCTAAGTCTCGGACAGAAAATATAGAAGAGGGGCCTGGACATTTTGATGTTGCCAGAAAGTAAGGAAACTACCAAAAACTAACACCAAAAGTACATAGAAGCCATCCTAAACAGGTTCTCACAGACAAAAAACAACAACAACAAAAAACAACAACAACAAAACACAACCATATAAAGGGTAAAAAATATAATTATTTAAAATTTAAAAAAAATCTCATTGAATACCCTGGAACTTGGCCACCAACATCTTACTATGAAAATTAAAAGAATTAAACCTGTATTCTGCTTTTCCCGTATTTTTGTATGATCTGTATTTCTTTCTTTTTTTTTTTTTTTTTTTGAGACGGAGTCTTGCTCTGTCGCCCAGGCTGGAATGCAGTGGCGCAATCTCCGCTCACTGCAAGCTCCACCTCCTGGGTTCATGCCATTCTCCTACCTCAGCTTCCCAAGTCGCTGGGACTACAGGCGCCCACCACCATGCCTGGCTAATTTTTTTTGTATTGTTAGCAGAGAAGGGGTTTCACCGTGTTAGCCATGATGGTCTCGATCTCCTGACCTCATGACCCACTCGCCTTGCCTCCCAAAGTGCTGGGATTAGAGGGGTGAGCCACCGTGCCCGGCCCCATGATCTATATTTCAAGTCTATTAGATCATCCTGTTGATGAGGAAAAGTTTTTTGTTTGTTTGTTTTTTGAGACAGAGTCTTGCTTTGTCACCCAGGCTGGAGTGCAGTGGTGCGATCTTGGCTCACTACAACTTCCACCTCCCAGGCTCAAGTTCTCCTCCCACCTCAACCTCCTGAATAGCTGGAACTACAGGTGTGCACCACCTTGCCTGGCTAATTTTTGTATTTTTTGTAGAGACAAGGTTTCACAATATTGCCCAAGCTGGTCTCGAACTCCTGGGCTCAAGTGATCTGCCTGCCTCAGCATCCCAAAGTAGTGGGATTACAGGCATGAGCCACTGTGCCTGGCAGGAAAGTTATCTTTATAGAAGCATTTCAGCTCATCAAATGCAGAGGTAATAATACAATTGAAAAATCAGACGGGAATGGTGGCTTACGCCTATAATCCCAGTATTTTGGGAGGCCTAGGCGGGTGGATCACCTGAGGTCAGGAGTTTGAGACCAGCCTGGCCAACATGGTGAAAACCCATCTCTACTAAAAGTAACCAAAAATTGGCTGGGTGTGGTAGCACACACCTGTAGTCCCAGCTACTTGGGAGCCTGAGGCAGAAGAATCACTTGAATTCAGGAGGCAGAGGTTGCAGTGAGTTGAGATCGTGCCACTGCACTCTAGACTGGGTGATAGAGCAAGACTCTGTCTCAAAATGAATAAATAAATAAATAAATAAAAATAGAACTGGAAAAATCATCATTTGCGGCCAGGCACGGTGGCTGATGGCCATAATCACAACACTCTGGAAGGCCAAAGTGGGAGGATCACTTGAGCCCAGGAGTTTGAGACCAACTTAGGCAAGATGGTGAGACCTCATTTCCACAAAACAAAACAAAAGTCACACGTGGTGCTGCGTGCCTGCAGCTGTTAGGGAGGCTAAGACAGGTCGATCTCGGGAGCCCAGGAATTCAAGGCAGCAGTGAGCTATGATCACACCACTGCACTCCAGCCTGGGCCATAGAAAGAGACCCTCTCTCTCTATAAAAAATAAATAAAATTTTAAAAATTAGCCAAAACATGGACCACATAGTAAGACCTTGTCTCTATTCAAAATTTAAAAATTAGCCAGGCACGGTGGTGTGTGCCTGTAGTCCCAGCTACTCAGGAGGCTGAGGCAGGAGGATCACTTGAGCCAGGAGTGTGAGGCTGCAGTAAGCCATGATGGTGCCACTGCATTCCAGCTGGGTGACAGAGACTCTCTTTCAAAAACAAAAAAGTTAGGGTATGGTGGCTCATGACTGTAATTCCAGCTACTTGGGAGGCTGGGGCAGGAGGATTGCTTAATCCCAGGAGGTCAAGACTGCAGTTAGCCGTGATTGTGCAACTGTACTCCAGCCTAGGTGACAAGAATGAGATTCTGTCTCAATTAAAAACAAAAACAAAAACAAAAAACAGCAGCAGCAGCAAATCACCATTTGCCATTTCAACTAAAATGATTAATTCAGGCTATGATCATCAATGGATAAAATCACTTGATAAAAAGGACTTTACAAATGAAGGAACCAGGCTGTCATTACCTGAACCCAGTGATCACATCAGCCTTACTAAACATAGGAGAGCCAGAGCCAGACATCCTGTTTCTCCAGATGGGAGGCAATACACAGTTTACAGTAACACCTAAAGAGCCAAAAAACTTGAACCTAAATCTAGTCAAGGCATTTAAAGCTAACTTCCATTTAACAAAATAATGAAAACAACGAACAGATTAAATAAGAGGTTTCCTGACTCTCGGCCAGTGAATAAATCTTTCCACTATACCACTACTAACCTCTCTGACCCTCAGGACAAATAGAAGCTGCAACCTTAAGACTGATTTTCCTTTTTCTGAGACGGAGTCTTGCTCTGTCGCCCAGGCTGGAGTGCAGTGGCGCGATCTCGCCTCACTGCAAGCTCTGCCTCCTGGGTTCAAGCCATTCTCCTGCCTCAGCCTCCCGAGTAGCTGGGACTACATGCGCCCACCACTGTGCCCAGCTAATTTTTTGTATTTTTAGTAGAGATGGGTTTCACCGTGGTCTCGATCTCGTGACCTCGTGATCCACCTGCCTCAGCCTCCCAAAGTGCTGGGATTACAGGCGTGAGCCACCGCGCACGACCAAAGACTGATTTTCAAAAGGCACTGATATGGCTTGGATTATATGTCCCCTCCAAATCTCATGTTGAAATGTGATCCCCAATGATGGAGGTGGGGCCTGGTGGGAGGTGTTTGGGTCATGGGGGTGGATTCCTCATGAATGGCTTGGTACCCTCCTGATATGGTTTGGCTGTGTCCCCACCCAAATCTCATCTTGAATTGTAGCTTCCATAATTTCCACGTGTTGTGGGAGGGACCTGGTGGGAGATAACTGAATCATGGGGGCAGTTCCCCCATACTGTTCTCATGGTAGTGAATAAGTCTCACGAGATCTGATGGTTTTATAAGGGGAGACCCCTTTTGCTTGGTTCTGATTCTCTCTTGCTGCTACCATGTAAGAACTGCCTTTCATCCTCCGCCATTATTGTGAGGCCTCCCCAGCCACGAGGAACTGTGAGTCCATTAAACCTCTCTTTCTTTATAAATTACCCAGTCTTGGGTATGTCTTTATCAGCAGCGTGAAAATGGGCTAATATACCTCCCCATAGTAACGAGTGAAGTAGTTGTTAGTGCACACAAGAGCTGCTTGTTTAAAGGAGCCTGGCACCTCCTTCTCTCTCTCTTGCTCCCTCTCTGGCCATATGACACGGCTGCCCCCCTTTTGCTTTCTGCCATAAGTAAAAACCTCCTGAGGCCTCACCAGAAGCCAAACAGATACGGGTGTCATGTTTATACAGCCTGCAGAACTGCGAGCCAAATATAAATTACCCAGTCTCATGTATTCCTTTATAGCAACACAAAACAAACGGACGCAGGCACCTTTCTCCATCCAAAGCATTCAAAAACCTTAATTTTGTTTTCTCTGTCTGCTCCCAGACTAGAACTAAGCAGCCAAAGTGAATGCTTAGCACACTCTCGGGGAAGCACAGCTCTGTCTTGCACCAGTGCCAGACGCCACCAGAACAGTGGCGCAGGCAACCGGATGAAGACAAGACATTCCTCTCCCAGCAGTGTAACACCATCACAGGAACGGTTCTGTCCGGATGGCTGACTACTGCTGGAAAGAAACCTGCTCAATTTTAAATCTGCCAGCCACTTTTTAAAGTTGCTGGATCTCACAATGCCAAGTATAAACAGTTACTTTTTTGATCTGCGTCTGAAAGAGTGCATGCAAGCTTAATTTTGTAAATTAAACTGTATTTATTTAAAAAGGCAGGGTGATAGCAGAATCTAAAAAGAATCTTAATGAGATTTAGGTAAGCTAAGGCTTAAGTTCCAATTTTATTTCTGCTCTTCAGATCGTGTTTGCATTCAGCAGCTTGCCCTTGCCACGTGTTAAAATGGCCATAAAATGTGAGAAAAAGTCAAGGCAAACTCTGACTGCCTGACCATACTGATAAGAAAGGTCACAAGCATAGTCACCTCAAAGACTGAGCACTGTAGAGCATGTCTTCTTCCTCAAGGCCAATGATACTTCAGATACCAGATGGTTTCATTTTTCAATTGCGGTCCAAAGAGAGGGTTGAGTTGGGCCAGAATTGCAATCAGCCAACTAAAAGAAGGATGGGAGAGAAACAACGAAGCGGTGAAATCATGTTGGAACATGACCATTTTCAATTAGCATGGAAAAAGTACACTAGCAAAACTTAAATCTACTGCATTCACACCAAACTTTCCATATACATTGTGTTAACAGCAGCATGTCTGATAACAAAATGTTTCCCAGGACGTAGCCTGCCTTCATCTTGAGACATATCACAAAGCAGTGAGGCTTTGTCACAGTAAGTCTCTGACTTTTCTCTCATTACCTGATTATCTTTCCAAGTATCCAAGATTTCCTGAATTCATGATATCTTCGCTTCAAAGCGTTTTCACTTAATCTCAATTTATCATCATCACAACTTCCAACCTCAGGGAAAATGTGTCTTATTTTATCCATTCTCCAAATGTTAAGACCCACAACCTACATGACACACCCATTTTTACTGGTACAGGCAAGGTTTGATTGTAGCTTATCATCTTCCTATTAGACTATAACATGTAAGGTCCCCTTTTCTAATCCCCATCACCACCAAAATATGTAACACATCCTACTGTGGAACTTAACAGAATGGGCATTTACCTTCTCCCCAGTTTACTTCAGAATCTAAATAATGAGGTATTCCTCTGTATTACAGACTAAACTATAAAGGAAGTAAAATGGTGTCACATCTTACTTCAGGGTTTTTTTTTTTTTGAGATGGAGTCTCGCTCTTTCGCCCAGTCCAGACTGCAGTGGTGCAATCTCGGCTTGCTGCAAGCTCCGCCTCCCGAGTTCACCCATTCTCCTGCCTCAGCCTCCCGAGTAGCTGGGACTACAGGCGCCCGCCACCACGCCCAGCTCATTTTTTGTATTTTTAGTAGAGATGGGTTTTCACCGTGTTAGCCAGGATGGTCTCCATCTCCTGACCTCGTGATGTGCCCGCCTCGGCCTCCCAAAGTGCTGGGATTACAGACGTGAGCCACCTCGCCCAGCCGACTTCAGGGTTAAAAGTGAAAAACAGGTTGGGTGCGGTGGCTCATGCCTATAATCCCGCACTTTGGGAGGATAAGGATCACTCGAAGCCAGGAGTTGATGACCAGTCTGGGCAACACAGTGAGAACCCGTCTCTATAAAAAAATTTTAAAAATTCACTGTGTTTGCTGACTTGCACTTGTAGCCACAGCTACCCAGGAGGCTGAGGTGGGAGCATCCCTTGAGCCTGGGAGTTCAAGGCTGCAGTGCTATAGTTACATCACTGCACTCCAGCCTGGGCAACAGAGTGAGACCCTGTCTCTAAAAAAAGAAAAGAAAAATAGCATAGATTTATCTTTAAAATTTTCTTATATAGCTCACAAAGTTCTGTATAAAGGGTCTTATATATGATACGGTAATTCATATGCCAAATAAAGTTTTGAGAATCACTTAGCTCAGACAAAAGCAAACAACAAAAAAATATGCAAATGTCTGAGTATTCAAACCATTCTTCACTTACTAAAGAAATATTTAATGAGCACCTACTAAGTTCTAGGCCTCAGAAATACAATGGCGAAAAATGAAATGTCACTATCCTCACAGAGCTTACATAATAGAATGTCAGGTGATAACTGTTATGAAGGAAGTCAAGCAAGGAGAAGGAATAGAGAGTGGCTTGACGGGGCATTATTTCGACAGGGTGGTCAGGGAAGGAGGAAGACAGACAGGGGAATGAAGCAGAATACACACTGCCTTTAGTTCCTACTCAAAATCCAGCTGACCATTGAACATGGGTTTGAACCATGCAGGTCGACTTGGATGCCTGGGCCTGCTCATATGCCTGCCTGTCCTGCCTCCACCTCCCTTTCCACCTCCTCCACCTCTTCTGCCTCTACCACACCTGAGACAGCAGGACCAAGCCCTCTTCTTCCTCCTCCTCAGCCTACTCAGTGTGAAGACAACAAGGATGAAGACCTTTATGCTCATCCACTTCCACTTAATATAATAGTAAACATATTTTCTCTTCCTTATGATTTTCTTAACATTTTCTTTTCTCTACCTTCCTTTATTATAGGAACACGGGATATAATACGTATACAAATTATGTGTTAATTGACTGTTTATGTTATTGGTAAAGCTCCTGATCAACAGTAGGCTATTAGTAATTAAATCTGGGGGGATTCAAAAGTTATAAATGGATTTTCAACTGTGCAGGGGATCGGAACCTCTAACTTCCACGTTATTCAAAGGTCAACTGTGTATGAATTTGAATTTCTTTCATTGGTGGGCAGTGGTGTGGGGAGGAGGGCAGGGTTAAGGTAAACAAGCCCAACCAACCTCCAACTACCAATCTGGGAGAGTGAAATTTGGTAACATACTGCTATCCTTTCTGCATGGTACATTGGGATCTAGGGAATCCCTTTCTTTTCTTTTCTTTTTTTTTTTTTTTTTTTTGAGAAGGAGTCTCGTTCTGTTGTCCAGGCTGGAGTGCAGTGGCACGATCTCAGCTCACCACAACCTCCACTTCCTGGGTTCAAGCAATTCTCCTGCTTCAGCCTCCTGAGTAGCTGGAATTACAGGCACGCGCCACCATCCCCAGCTAATTTTTGTATTTTTAGTAGAGAAGAGGTTTCACTATGTTGGCCAGGCTGGTGTCGAACTCCTGACCTTGTGATCCGCCCACCTTGGCCTCCCAAAGTGCTGGGATTACAGGCGTGAGCCACTGCAGCCGGCCAGGAATCGCTTTTTTTTTTTTTTTTTTAGACGAAGTCTCACTCTCGTCACCCAGGCTGGAGTGCGATGGCACGATCTCGGCTCACTGCAACCTCTGCCTCCCGGGTTCAAGCGATTCTCCCGCCTCAGCCTCCCGAGTAGTTGGGATTACAGGCGCCTGCCACCACACTCGGCTAATTTTTGTATTTTTAGTAAAGATGGGGTTTCACCATGTTGGCAAGGCTGGTCTCGCACTCCTGATCTCACGTGATCCGCCCACCTCGGCCTCCCAAAGTGCTGGGATTACAGGGGTGAGCCACCACGCCCAGCAGGGAATCACTTTCTAAGGGTAAGTGGATATATCACTACAGCAGTCTCCTTTCACGCTTTCAGGACTTTAAATTTCCCTATAAGCGGGGAACTAGCCAAGCCCCAACTAGGCCATTATCCGGGTGGATCTTTTTTCTTTCATTTACTGTCATTTTTAGAGCTTTTCCAATCAGAGGATCAAAAGGCTGATTCTGATCACCAATGGAGAGATTGCTGGAGAATTAGCCAGCACCATATCAGAAGCTTGTGCCCACAGAAACAAAAGGTGATTTTGTGACAGGAAACATGACACCTGAGGAAAGCAGGCCAAAACAGATAGTTCAAGCTGACTCACTTAATAAACAAAAAGTTCATTCAGATGAGATTTTCTGATCCATCCTTAGAAGTAGGGTATTAAACACAAACACAATACTAAGACTTGTAGTTGAGGTTCAACATCATCCATCTGACATTATAAAAAAAGGAAGAGAACAGCACAGGCGGACACACTGAAAAGCTCTGTGACTGCAGTTGACGCTAATGGTGCAGAGCTAAGAGTCATGGAAAATTCCAAACTAACCAAGGACTTCCCCAATCCCGGCAGGCAATACAAGCTGCCTGAAAAAACACTTTCGTAAGAGACTGAGACAACTGGCCAATGCCTAGAAATACTAAAAAAATCCATTAGAATTTAAACTAGCCCCTATCTCCTTTTGTTACCAAGAATATAGCACAGAATGAAAACACCACTTCCCAGCACTTTGTAGGATGTTGTAGCGGAGTGGTTCTCCTCCCCAGCTGCAAATTATAATCACTCAGGGAACTTTTAAAATATACTGATGCTATTTCTGAGAGTGGAAAAAACATTGACTCCTTTTCCTCTGCTTTCACACCACAATAATCAACACAGAAGAGACTTCTACAGCCAAATGTGTGGGGATTTCTCCCCACCAACAAGCACACAATCAATTCTGCAGCGGACTCCAGCTGGGTGTCCTCCAATTCAATCCTGACATTATCTGCCTGGAGGTAGCATCAGCATCAGATCTCACAGGGTGAGGGCTTGGTTCCACAAGACCGCCCCTCACTTCTGATGCCAATCGCAAGCCCCAGGTTGTTCTACCTGTGCTTCTGACCAACTGGCTATAAATCGGGGAGGCTCTAACCTTTCTTAGGTTCAATTAATCTACTAGAGCAGCTCGCGGAGCTCAGGGAAACACGTTTTCTGGTTTACTATAAAAGATACTACAATCTGGGCATGGTGGCTCACGCCTGTAATCTCGACACTGGGAGGCCAAGGCGGGTGGATCACTTGAGCCCAGGAGTTCGAGATCAGCCTGGCCAACATGGTGAAACCCGTCTCTACTAAAAATACAAAAATCAGCTGGGCATGGTGGCACACATCTGTAGTCCCAGCTACTTGGGAGGGTGAGGCAGGAGAATCACTTGAACCTGGGAGGCAGAGGTTGCAGTGAGCCAAGGTCGCACCACTGCACTTTAGCCTGGATGACAGAGTGAGACTGTCTCAAACAAACTAACAAAAGATACTACACAAGATACTGATGAAGGGATGGACAGGGTGAGCTATGGAAAGGGGCACAAAGTTCTCATGCTCTTCCTGGGAACACCAGCCTCCAGGAATAGCTTCCAGCTTTCCTGAACCTCTCAGAACCCAATCCTTTTGGGTTTTTATGGAAGCTTCATTGTGTAGGCATGATTGATTACATCACGGGCCATTGGTGATCAGTTTAAGGTTCAGCCCCTCCCCCTTCCCCTATGGTTGGGCTGTGGGGCTGAAAGTCCCAACCCTCTAATCCTTCCTTGGTTCGTGATTAGATCCCATCCTGGAGCTACCAAGGGGCTGCCAATCATCAGTCAACTCATTAGCATACAAAGACACATGTCACTTTGGAGATTCTAAGGATTTTAGGAGTTGTATACCAGGAAATGGGAACAAAGACTAAATTTGTATTTCACAATATCACAATTTCACATATAACCTTTCATTTAATTCTTGTACTAGGAAACAGGCAGAGAGAGTCTAAGTGATTGGCCTATGGTCACAATGCTAATTAGGTAGTAGTAGATCCTAGACCAGGAATCAGATCAGATTACTGTTCCCACTTCAAAAAGTGACCTTCTGGAATATTTTAACTGAGAACATTTCAGAAGGCATTAATTTAGCTAAATCTAAATTGAGAATTCAGAAAATGAGAATCCATCCACTGAGCACTGATTAAGTTCAACACAAGCCTTTGGTGCCTTCACTAAAGAATATCCAGAAGAAAGAATGAAGACCCCTTTCTTGGTCAGGTCAGTATTTAGAAACTGTTTTTTCTTCGTATTTACCATTTCTCTGTGTTGGTATCATTTCAAGTCCTCGCTTCCCGTTAGTATGAAATACACAAAGTACTGTTGCTGAGTATAGTCACCCTATTTTGCAATCAAACATAGAAGAAACTTATTTCCTCTGTTTAATGTTTGTGCCCATTTTACGGGTACCCCACATGTTTGTACCCATTGTGCTACTCTTTATTCCCACAACTTTCCTTCCTTCCCAGTCTCTCATATCTATCATTCTACTCTTCATGTCTTTGACATCAAATTTTTTAGCTCCCACATATAAGTGAGAACATGTGATATTTGTCTTTCTGCACTTGGCTTATTTCACTTAAGATAATGGCCTCTAGTTCCTCCCATGATGCTGCAAATGACATGATTTCATTCTTTTTTTATGGCTGAATACTATTCCGTAGTGTACATATAACACATTTTCTGCATGCGTTCATCTGTTGACAGACACTTAGATTGATTCTCTGTCTCTGCTACTGTGAACAGCACTGCGATCAACATGCGAGAGTGCAGGTATACCTTTTATATATACTGATTTCTCTACCACTGGATAAATACCCAGTAGCGGGAATGCTGGATCATATGGCAGTTCTATTTTTAGTTTTTTGAAAAATCTCCATACCATTTTCTATACTGGTTTCTATACTCCATACCATTTTCTATACTAATTTACATTCTCACTAACAGTGTATAAAAGTTTCCTTTTCTCTGCATCCTTGCTGGCATCTGTTATTTTTTGGCTTTTTTTTTTTTTTTTTTTTAAGATGGAGTCTCCCTTTACGGCCCAGGCTGGAGTGCAGTGGCACGATCTTGGCTCACTGCAACCTCTACCTCCCGGGTTGAAGTGATTCTCCTGCCTCAGCCTCAGGAGTAGCTGGGATTACAACCTACCACCACACCCAGCTAATTTTTTAATTCTTAGTGGAGATGGGGTTCCACCATGTTGAACATGGTTGGCCAGGCTGGTCTCAAACTCCTAATCTCAGATGATCCACCTGCCTTGGCTTCCCAAAGTGCTGGGATTATAGGCATGAGCCACCATGCATGGCCATATTTTCGCTTTTTAGTAATAGCCATTCTAACTGGAGTGAGATGATATCTCATTGTAGTTTTGAATTGCATTTCCCTAGTGATTAATAATATTGAGCACTGCTGGCCATTTGTAATGTCTTCTTTTGAGAAATATCTAGTCATGTCCTTTGTCCATTTCTCAATAGGATTATTTGTTTAACTGTTAAGTTGTTTGAGGTCCTTATATATTCTGGATCTTAGTCCCCTGTCAGTTGGGTAGTTTGCAAATATTTTCTCCCATTCAACAAGTTGTCTCTTTTTTTTTTTTTTTTTTTTGAGATGGAGTCTGGCTCTGTCGCCCAGGCTGGAGTGCAGTGGCGCAATCTCAGCTCACTGCAAGCTCCGCCTGCCGGGTTCACGCCATTCTCCTGCCTCAGCCTCCGGAGTAGCTGGGACTACAGGCGCCCACCACTACGCCTGGTTAATTTTTTGTATTTTTAGTAGAGACGGGGTTTCACCATGTTAGCCAGGATGGTCTCGATCTCCTGACCTCGTGATTCACCCGCCTCGGCCTCCCAAAGTGCTGGGATTACAGGCGTGAGCCACCGCGCCCGGCCAAGTTGTCTCTTTATTCTATTGTTTCTTTTGCTGTGCAGAGCTTTTTAGTTTAATATAGTCCCATTTGTCTATTTTAGTTTTTGTTGACTGTGCCTTTTTTTCTTTTTTTTAACACAAGTGTCTTGCTCTGTTGCCCAGGCTGGACTGGAGTGGCGCAATCACAGCTCATTGCAGCCTTGATCTCCCAGGCTCCTGGACTTAAGCAATCCTCCTACCTCAGCCGCCTGAGTAGCTTGGACCACAAGCACGTGCCACCAGGCTTGGCTAATTTTTTAAATTTTTTGTAGAGACAGGGTCTCATTATGCTGCCTAAGCTGGTCTCGAATTCCTGGGCTCAACTGATCCTCCCACCTCAACCTCCCAAAGTGCTGGGATTACAGGTGTGAGCCACTACACCCAGCCTGTTGCCTGTGCTTTTGAGGTCTTAGTCATAAAACTTTTGCCTAGACCAATGCTCTGAAGAGTTGTCCCTATGTTTGCTTCTAGCTGTTTTATAATTTCAGGTCTTATGTTTAAATCTTTTCTTTTTTTTTTTTTTGAGATGGAGTTTCACTCATTGCCCAGCCTGGAGTGGAATGGCACGCGATCTCAGCTCATGGCAACCTTCATCTCCCAGGTTCAAGCGATTCTCCTGCCTCAGTCTCTTGAGTAGCTGGGATTACAGGCATGCGCCACCATGCCCAGCTAATTTTTTGTATTTTTAGTAGAGATGGGGTTTCTGCGTATTGGTCAGGCTGGTCTCAAAATCCCGACCTCAGGTGATCTGCCCGCCTTGGCCTCCCAAAGTGCTGGGATTAAAGGCGTGAGCCACCATGCCCGGCCTCGTTTAAATCTTTAACCCATCCTGAGTTGACTTTTGTATATGGTGACAGAAAGGGTTCAATTTCACTCTTCTGTATATGGTTATCAAAGTACACATGCATACACATATGCATGTACACACACACGCACACATCTCACTTAAGAAAAAAAAAACAAGAAACCACAGTTCAAGAAAACTCCAGAGGCCAAGGCGGGCGGATCACCTGAGGTCAGGAGTCCAAGACCAGCCTGGCCAATATGGGGAAACACTATCTCTACTAAAAATATAAAAATCAGCCAGGCACAGTAGCACATGGATGTAGTAGCAGCTACTCGGGAGGCTGAGGCAGGAGAATCACTTGAACCTGGGAGGCAGAGGTTGCAGTGAGCTGAGATCGGGCCACTGCACTCCAGCCTGGGTGACACAGCAAGACTCAAAAAAAAAAAAAAAAATTTACCTAGGAAACAGTCTAGTCTGGTTTATTTGAAATTTCAGAGGAATTTACCCCCCTAACCCGCTGAGCTTTGTGCCTGCCCCTCTGACTACCTCCTGACTTAAAATTTCCCTTTAAAGCTGACAAACACGCAGAGAACTGGAAGGGAAAAAAAATCCACTCTGAATTGATGGAAGTGGGTGGAGGAAGAGATCATATTCCAATGAATCTATTACTTCATGTGTACAAGAAAAGGAACTAAATGTACCTTTCATGTTTGCCCGAACTGTACCGCATGTCTTCATAACCTGAGGGCCAGCCTTAATAACCAATCTGAGATTATTCAAACAATTGAGGCAGCTATGGTGCAATAATGTCTTCAGAGAACTGCAGAGCCGGAATGGATCTGAGATCAAGTCTAAGTTCTGCATTTTAAAGATGAGGAAATTAAGTCCTAGTGAACTTACTAATACCCCACAGCAAATTAGTGAAGGGGGAAGCTGGAAGCGGGGAATCCAGGACTCCTGAGTCCCATTATACTAGGCTGTTTCTATAGGCTATTAAGGATGAAACAGGCCAGGTGCAGTGGCTCATGTCTGTAATTCCAACACTTTGGGAGGCTGAGGCAGGTGGATTGCTTGAGCCTATGAGTTCAAGACCAGCCTGAGCAACATGGCGAGACCCCGTCTCTATAAAAAAAAATTTTTTTTCAATTAGCCAGGCTTGATGGCACATGCCTATAGTCCCAGCTACTCAGGAAGCTGAGGTGGGAGGATCACTGGCCGGAGGTCAAGGCTGCCGTGAGCTATGATCATGCCACTGCACTCTAGCCTGGGCAACAGAGCAAGACCCTGTTTCAAAAAAAAAAAAAAAAAAAAAAAAGATAAATCAGGCAGCCTAGGGATTCATTTATTCCACAATCATTTAGCAGTGCCATGTTCCATGTCAACCTCTGAGGATGCGAAAAGGAGATGGCTGAGGGGCCAACCCAAAGGGACTCATGAGCTGTGAGAAATAAGCCAAGGAGAGTAGTAGAATATGTTTTTGTAGAGATATGCATGGGTGCCTTCATACTATAAACCCTCCCTGGCCACTTCTTAGGAGCTCAGCTCTTGGTTACTAGAACTCTCCCAGCATAAACTATGCCCTCACCACTATACTCAGCTCTCTCAAGCCCTGCTTTGTTCTTCTGTTCCACATTCAGATATAAGAACAGGGAACAAAGGCACAGGTTACTTCCCGGTGACACGCAGATGGAGCAGTCTCAGCTTCCCTACTGGAATGGGGAAGTCTGGCCAGGACCTCTCTTCTGATCCACTGTCCCTCCAGCCAGGGCCATGACAGCAGTGACCTCTGTCGGTGAGCTCCTTAAGAGACAGCAGAAATGCAGGAAAGTGATTTGCCCTAGCGCCACTAAAACGACCTCTCATCTCAACTGAATGATAAAAATACTTTCAAGAGGAGCAACATTATTAGATGCTCCTAGAAAACATGGGATTCGGTATTAGACAGAGTCGGATTTTAATTCCAGCAACACTAAATATCGGTGAACTGAATCCAGGCAAATGTCCTTACAACCCCAAGCCCACTGTCTCCTGTTGTAAAATGGTGATAATAATCCTTGCCTTATAGTATTACAATTTAAAGAGATAATATAAGTAAAGTGCTCTATGCAGTGGCTGACAAATAGATGTTCAATAAACACTGGTTATTTCTTCTCTTTCTCTGTAAGACAGCTAAAAATGTATTCAAGCCACAGAATGAAATACAACCTATTTACTTCACAAAGGAGTTTCTCATGTAGCACTGAGTCATTCTCATCTCCACCTCCTCTCCCGCGACCACCCACTCTATGGCAGGCAGATTTCAATTCTCCCGAGGTTCCCACCACTCAGTATACACACTCTGTATAAAACTCAGTGAATCTGACAGAATAGTCACTCCATGGTTAGATTATATTATCTGATACAGCTGGCTTTAACAAAGTGGCTATCCAGGACAGGCACGGTGGCTCGCGCCTGTAATTCCAGCACTTTGGGAGGCCAAGGCAGGCAGATCACGAGGTCAGGAGTTTGAGACCAGCGTGACCAACATGGTGAAACCCCGTCTCTACTAAAAATACAAAAATTGGCCAGGCGTGGTGGCACGTGCCTGTAATCCCAGCTACTCAGGAGGCTGAGGCAGGAGAATCGCCTGAACCCGGGAGGCAGAGGTTGCAGTGAGCTCAGATTGTGCCACTGCACTCCAGCCTGGGCAACAGAGCAAGACTCCATCTAAAAAAAAAAAAAAAAAGAGGCCAGGCGCAGTGGCTCACGCCTGTAATCCCAGCACTTTGGGAGGCCAAGGTGGGTGGATCACCAGAGGTCAGGAGTTGGGAGACCAGCTTGGCCAACATGGAAAAACTCTGTCTCTACTAAAAATAAAAATTAGCCGGGCGTGGTGGTGCACGCCTGTAATCCCAGCTACTCCGGAGGCTGAGGCACGAGAATCACTTGAACATGGGAGGCAGAGGTTGCAGTGAGCCAAGATTGCACCACTGCACTCCAGCCACCTGGATGATAGAACGAGACTCTGTCTCAAAAAAAAAAAAAAAAAAAAAAAGGGAAGTGGCTATCCTGAGTGAATGTGACCTGTTCAGGGGAATTTTTGTTTTTATCTTTGAGATGAGAATCTTGCTATGTTGCCCAGGGTGGTCTTGAACTCCTGGCCTTTAGCAATCCTCCCATCTCAGTCTCCTGAGTAGCTGAGATTGCAGGCATGAGGTGCCACCACTGGGCATGGCTTCAGGCGAGTTCTTTTATTTTATTTATTTATTTTTTTAATTTGTATTTTTTGAGACAGGCTCGCTCTGTTGCCCAGGCTGGAGCGCAGTGGTGCAATCTTGGCTCACCATAACCTCTGCTTTCCTGGTTCAAGCGATCCTTGTGCCTCAGCCTCCCGAGTAGCTGGGATTACAGGTACATGCCACCATGCCTGGCTGATTTTTCTATTTTTATTAGAGACGAGGTTTCACCATGTTGCCCAGGCTGGTCTCGAACTCCTGGCCTCAAGTGATCTGCCAGCCTTCGCCTCCCAAAGTGCTAGGATTACACGCATGAGTCACCCACCCAGCCCTCAGTTGAGTTTTTTTTTTTTTTTTTTTTTTTTGAGACAGAGTCTTGCTCTGTCACCCAGGCTGGAGTGCAGTGGCCCAATCTCTGCTCACTGCAAGCTCTGCCTCCCGGGTTCATGCCATTCTCCTGCCTCAGCCTCCCAAGTAGCTGGGACTACAGGCGCCCGCCACCACGCCCAGCTAATTTTTTTTGTATTTTTAGTAGAGATGGGGTTTCACCGCATTAGCCAGGATGGTCTCGATCTCCTGACCTCGTGATCCGCCCACCTTGGCCTCCCAAAGTGCTGGGATTACAGGTGTGAGCCACCGCGCCCAGCCCAGTTGAGTTCTTAAAAGGAAAAGGACTCGGCTGGGCACGGTGGCTCACGCCTGTAATCCCAGCACTTTGGGAAGCCAAGGTGGGCAGATCATGAGGTCAAGAGATCAAGACCATGCTGGCAAACATAGTGAAACCCCATCTCTATTAAAACAACAAAAATTAGCTGGGCAGTGTGGCACGCACCTGTAGTCCCAGCTACTAGAGAGGCTGAGGCAGAAGACTTGCTTGAACCCAGGAGGCGGAGCGTTGCAGTGAGCCAAGATTGAGCCACTGCACTCCAGCCTGGTGACAGAGCAAGACTCTGTCTCAAAAAAAAAAAAAAAAGAAAAGAAAAGAAAAAAAAAGGAACAGGACTCTCCCTTACAAAGACATTTGGAGTGTGTGTTTCAGTCACGAATTTATTGCCTCTCAGCTCTGAACATTAGGCAAATGAAGTGCAATTCAATGTGTGCTCTGTGATAAACAAGTGAATTACTTTATTTCTCCTGTAAAGTGAGCACGCTGTTAAGCTTTCTCAGTAGAGGAAGCTGGAGGGACATTTCAGGCGTAGGCCGGAGGTCGCGGAGTGGGTGTGAGAACCTCTGGTGAAGCCTACTATGGCTCGAGGCCAGAACGTGGTACCTCTTTGATCTTGTAGCCTTGGCCTGGCAATAACTTCAGAACCCTCTCCACATGTTAAGCAAAGCCCCTGCCCGGCATACATGCCTTGAAGGCCTCCTGCTCGTATGGGGACAGGGACTCCCACTACATCCATGCCCCCGATGACCTCGCCCCCTGCCTGTACTCCAGAAGAGGCCAATTGCTTGCCCAGAAACTCCAGGCAAACCCTGGTCTGGCCAAACCAACAAACTCCTTTGCTATCTGGTGGGCTCAACCATACTTTGTCTAGTGAGGTCTGAATCCCTTCCAAGTCTGTTCTTTGGTTACTCTCCCTCAGTCCTAGGGAACCAAATATAGTTTCTTTGTATCTTTTAGTAACTCTTTTGCCATAATAATAATTCTGAAATCTCTCTCAACCTATTTTGGTTTACGTGGCTACCTAATCCGCAAAAGAAAAAAATAATTCTTTATCTTCCCCTGCTTAACCGACTGTGGTTTCTATCTCCTTATTGGACTCCAGACTGCTATAGGATGAGATGATTTGACACAAAGGAGATTCTCTTTTCCCGGCTGTGAAAATGGAGGGGCCATATGGCCAGGAATGAAGGTGGCCTCTAGGAGCTGACAGTGGTCCCAACTAATAGCCAGCAAGGAAACTGCCATCTCAGTTCTATAAGCACATAGAACTGAATTCTGACAGCCACGAGAGCTTGGAAGAGGAGGCCAAGCTTCAGATTAGAAGTCATAAACATGACCAGCTGCGGTGGCTCATGCTTGTAATCCCAGCATTTTGGGAGGCCGAGATGGGCAGAATGCTTGAGCTCAGGAGTTCAAGACCAGCCTGGGCAACATGGCGAGACCTCATCTCAATAAAAATAAAAAAAGTCATAAACATGTTTTCCATTAACTTAATGCCAACCTATGGCTATTTCACTACCAAAGGAATATACCCTATTTTTGCCAATTCTAAACTTGAAATACCTTTCCTTTTTTCTCTCCATACTTATTTTCTACACCAGACCTTCCAGCTCAAAGTCTAAAATTCCTCTTATCTGCCAAATTATAAAGGAAACAATTATAAAGTCAGACTAAGAAAAATAAACTTTTCCATATAGCAAGTAATATGCTGGGCCAGCTGCCTAGATTTCCCTTCCCTTCCCCTACAAACAAACATCTCAAATGTATCCATAAGAAATTCAAACAATTCTCAGGCCAAAAAAAACCCCCAAAACCCAAATGAAGGCAGGTACTCAGAGAGGAAGGTGACCATAGGTTGCTTTCTATAGCTTAAATGTATGTAACAAACAACACGGACTTGAGCTTCTGTTTACAGATCTCACAGGGCACAGCAAACAGTGGACAAGGCCCAAGGCCCATCCAGAGTAGAGTGTTTGTTTGTTTGTTTGTTTGTTTGAGATGGAGTCTCACTCTGTCACCCAGGCTGGAGTGCAGTGTCGCCATCTCGGCTCACTGCCTGCGACCTCCGCCTCCCGGGTTCACGCCATTCTCCTGCCTCAGCCTCCCGAGTCGCTGGGACTACAGGCGCCCACCACCACGCCTGGCTAATTTTTTGTATTTTTAGTAGAGACGGAGTTTCACCGTGTTAGCCAGGATGGTCTCGATCTCCTGACCTCATGATCCACCTGCCTCAGCCTCCCAAAGTGCTGGGATTACAGGCGTGAGCCATCGTGCCCGGCCCAGAGTAGAGTTTAATAAAACCTTCACCCCCTCCAAAAACTAGGATCCTAAAGGGTTATATCTTGAATTAAGGATAAATCAATCAGAATTCAAGAGGAAAGAAAGGGAGAAACAGGAAAATCCACAATCATAGCTGGTGATTTTTAGCATCCCTCTTTTCATAATTAAAAGTAGTAGATAAAAAACAAACAAAAAAAAACCACAATAAGGACATAGAAAATTTGAACCATCTTGACCTGATATAGAATACTACAACCAACAACTTCAGAATATAGATTCTTTTCAACTGCACACAAATGGTTGTCAAGATAGTCCACACGCATAAAATAAGTCCCAATCTCAAAAGACTGAAATCTTAGAGAGTATATCTTCTGACCACATGGAATTAAATGAGAAATCAATTAACAGTAAGAAGACATCTGGAACAGCACCAGATATTTAGAAATTAAACACCACAATTCTGAATAACCAATTGGTCTAAGAAATTACAAAAGAAATTAGAAAATATTTCAAATGGAGTAAAATGAAAATACACTTTATCAAAATTTGTGGGATATCACTGAAGCAGTGCTTAGGGGGAATTTTATTGTATTAAATGCTTACACTAGAAAAGACGAAATTAAATCCAAAGTAAGAAGGAAGAAATAATAACGTGCAGATGTCAATGAGAAGGACAAAAAGATACAGGAAAGTAACCAAGATAAAATTTTGATTATTTGAAAAGATTAATAAAATTGATAAATTCCTAACTGCTTCATTAAAAGAGCATCAAAAATTACATTAAAATACTTGATATATTAAAATAACAAGAGACATACTAGGTGCAGTGGCTCATGCCTGTAATGCTAGCACTTTGGGAGGCCAAGGCAGGCAGATCGTTTGAGCCCAGGAGATCGAGACCATCCTGGGCAACATGGCAAAATGCCATCTCTATTAAAAAACGAAAACCCCAAAAATCCAAGAGACATGTGAGATCTCTGCACCAAAAATTACAAAACATTTGTGAAAGAAACAAAAGAAAACCTAAATAAATGAAGAGATCCCATGAGGCTGGACATGGAGATACCAGTGAGATTAGAAAACTCAACATCATTAAGATGTCAGTTCTCTTCAAATTGATATATTCAACACAATCCCAATTAAAATCCCAACAGGTTTTTTTTTTTTTCGTAGAAACTGCCTAGTTGATTTTAAAATATATGTGGCTATTTTAGAATAACCAAAACAATCTTGAAGCACAAAGATGGAGGACTCACACTTTCTGATTTTAACATAACTCTGCAATACTCAAGACAGTATATTATCATAAGGCCAGACAAAGAGATCAATGAACAGAAGAGGCAATCCAGAGCCAGACTCATAAGATATAGTCACTAATTTTAGATGAAAATGCCAAAGCAATTTCACGGAGAAAGGATTTTCAAAAGCTGGTGCAGCAACAACTGGATGTCTATATTGGGAAAACAAAGCAAAACAAAACAGAAAAACAAAAACAAGGCATGACCTGTACCATTTTAGTGCCTACAACCTTCAGAAGCAGTCATGCCTAACTGCCAAAACCCTCTCCCCTGCCAAGCTATTGTGGAAAGCCTTCAGGTCCCAGTTCTCGCCTAATAACGGAATATAAAAACTAAGTTCAACAGGTCTCATATCTTTCCTTATCTCAATTTTTACCGGCATTTGAAACCTCCCAGGACCATCTATTATGACCCCATCCCCAGACTGCTCCGCACTCATCTCACTATTTGATGTAACAATGGTGCATCCCTTTCTTTTCTTCCAAATCTTCCCCTTTCTTCCAAATCCTTCCACTGTGTTCTCTGTAACTCTTGCTCAATTATCTGCTACTTGTTCACGTACCTCCTCTTCCAGCACTTTCCCTCTAGCTTAACTGAAACCCAGCTTCCCATCCCTTCTCACCAGGCTCTCTGAAGCAGAGAAGACTGCTTATGTTTACAGGCCAGATACCTCAGGCTTTGGCGACTGGGGTTAGTAACATCTTTGCTCCCCTTGTGCTGCCTCCTAACAATTTTCACCCAACCTTGTGAAAAGCTGACTCTAAAGAAGTGCAACTGCATGTCCTTAGGCAAATGAAGTGCAAGCTTGCTGATCACCAGCCTGATCCCTCCATGCTTTCCCAGGCACCACCCTTATTCACCAAAGGAGGCTCAAGGTTGCCCTTTTCTGACTCTTCCTCATCTACACAACATCAAAATGTTGGCATTCCTCAGGTTTGGTCGGATCTTTTCTTTACTTTTCTCTCCTACCCCTTCCCTTAGTGCTGGGTTTCTCAACCTCAGCACTATTGAAATTTTGGGCTGCATAATTCTTCACTAGGGGAAAGTGAGGCTGTCCTGTGCAGTACAGGATGTTCAGCAGCATCCCTGGCCTCTATCCCTGGATGCCAGCAGCAACCCCAGCAAAGAACCACTGCCTTAGGTAATTCTATGTGTTCTCATGGCCTCAAATCTCTCTGCTTTAGCTAAGTTCCTGTTTGACAACTCTTGGGCATCTTATGGCCATCTCAGTCCTAATTAGCATGTACCAGTTGAATCTCTCTTCAAATTCATCCTGTCCCAAGTCAGGATCATCTTAGTAAATGGCCCAACCTAGAACTGGGAGCCATCTCTGATTCTTCCTACATCTAATCCATCAGTACGACCAATAAATTCTACCTGCCAAATTTGCTCTCAAATCTGTGTGCCTCTCTTCACCTCAGACCAAACCATGGTGATCTCTCACTGGCATGCATGCAGTCACTTCCTGACGGGTGTTCCTGCTTCCATTCTCCCCGCCAAACAGTCTGTTCTCCACAGAGCAGCCAGAGTGATCATCCCATTCACACCACTCCTTCATTAAAAATCTTAAAGCATCTCCTATTCACTTAACATGAAACCCAAACTCCTTATTTAGTGTCAGCAGACACTGGATCTGGGCACTAGATGTGTAGCAATGAATTAACAAATCAGACAACCTCCATGTCCTCTTTAATGAGGAGAAGCAGATAGTAAACAAATCAAGAGCCAGAGAGGCCCAATCACTCCCCTCACAGCCCCTTCATTCACTTCCCAGTTTCCCCCATCCACTTGTTGCCACAAATACCTATTCAGTTATGACCTCGGAAGATTCCCCCTCACTTATCCTTCAGCCCCCTGCTGCTGTCAATCACACAAGGACCTGCACAGCATAAAATCCCACCTGGCCTGGGCCTTACATAAACTCTGAACCTACCACTCCCCACCTCACTATTAAGCCCAACATTACCCTGCCAGAACATTCCAAGCTACTTAAAAAAAAGAAAGAAAAAAGGGACAGGGCCTTGCTGTGTTGCCCAGGCTGGTCTCAAAACTCCTGAGCCCAAGCGATCCTTCTGCTTTAGCCTCCCAAGTAGCTGGGACTACAGGTGGGATACCCCTGTCCCCGGCTATCCCAAGCTCTTTACCCCTCAGTGCCTTTACATTTGCAGAAAGCCCTCCCTCCAATTTCCCTATGGCTGATTCCTCCTCAGACACAGGGTTTCACCATGTTGCCCAGGCTGGTCTCATACTCCTGGCCTCAAGCAATTCTCCTGCCTCAGCTTCCCAAAGTGCTGAGATTACAGGCATGAGCCACCAGACTTGGCTTCTATTTTGGATATAGTCTAGCTAATTAGTGAATAAGAAATTACAGAAACAGAATATCATAAATGATGGCCAATAATACAAAGAAAAATCAGACATTATGTACCCCTCTTGGAAGTACTCAACACCACTTATGAAGGAGACTGGTCAAAAAATTGAAGCTAAATCTGATCAGCCTCTAGATATGGCTACCAATTCATAGAAAATACAGAAGAACGTGTTACCACCATGAGTATGCAATTAACAAAGACCAGACTGCAACATTAAAGGGCAAACAACCCAGTTTTTCTATTAAAATTTCCAAGAAAAAAGAGAAAGATATGGAGAAGAAGCCTATAAAGAGAAATTTGAGAGACATTCACCAATTGCTACGTGTGGTCTTTATGTGGACCTTGATTCCAGCAAGCTGTAAAATAATGAGACAATTACGGAAATTTAAATATGATAGGATATTTGATGATATAAAGGAATTAAGTTTTTTGTGCATAATGGTATTGTGGTTGTACTTTTAAAATTTAGAGACACATATTGAAATGTTTACAGATGAACTGATATGTCTGGGATTTGTTTCAGAATAATCTGGGGTGGAGAGGAAAAGTGTGGGGATAAAACACGATTGGCCATGAGTTGATCATTTTTGAAGGTGGGTGGTAAGCAAATGAAGGTTCATTATCCTAACCTTTCTACTTTTATAGAGAGAAAATAGTATGTTTAAAAAGCTGAAAACCTTTGGGAGGCCAAGGCAGGTGGATCACCTGAGGGCAGGAGTTCGAGACTAGCCTGACCAACATGGAGAAACCTCATCCCTACTAAAAACACAAAATAAGCCAGGCGTGGTGGCACATGCCTGTAATCCCAGTTACTCGGGAGGCTGAGGCAAGAGAATCACTTGAAACTGGGTGGCAGAGGTTGCAGTGAGCTGAGATCCAGCCATTGCACTCTAGCCTGGACAACAAGAGTGAAACTCCGTCTCGGGGGAAAAGAAAAAAAAAAAAAGCTCAAAACCAGAAAGTTTAAAAAGGAAATACATGTTAAAGTAAATAGCAGCCCTGAAACCAATCAGCCAAAGTGCTGCGATTACAGGCGTGAGCCACCACGTGTGGTTACTTGGTTGGAAACCAAAGCGGTGCACCCAGGCCCCTGGGAAGTGATTATGTCCTGTGCTCAAACTAGCTCTAGAGCCAGGACCCAGAAAGGCCAGTGAGGGAGGTGAGGCTCAGCTCTGGATTTGCAAATTCCGAGACATGTGAGGTGGAGTTTCTGTGGGCTGTGCAGGTCCCTGTGTGATGGACAGCAACGGGGGCTAAAGAATGAGTAAAGGGGAATCTTCTGAGGTCATAACTGAGTAGGTATTTGTGGAAATGAGTGGATGGGGGAACCTGTTTGGGAAGTGAATGAAGGGCAATGAGGGGAGTGATCGGGCCTCTCTGGCTCTTGATTTGTTTTATCTGCTTCTCCTTATTAAAGAGGACAGGGGGTTGTCTACTTTGTTTATTCACTGCTACACTGTGCCATTACGCCCGGCTAATTCTGTATTTTTAGTAGTGTCCAGATCCAGTGCCTACTAATGCTAAATAAATATATGTTGAATGAATGAATTCTAATAAGGCTAAGTAAAATATTCACTATACCAGCCCTGTAAGGAAACTGTGCTTACAAATAACACAGTCCTTTGAATTAAAATAACTTATTTTAAAGATCACTGATTGGCCAGGGGCGGTGGCTCACACCTGTAATCCCAGCACTTTGGGAGGCCAAGGTGGGTGGATCACTTGAGGTCAGGAGTTCGAGACCAGCCTGGCCAACAAGGTGACACCCTGTCTTTACTAACAATACAAAAAATAGCCAGGCATGGTGGCGCACATCTGTAGTCCCACCTACTCAGGAGGCTGAGGTAGGAGAATCACTTGAACCTGGGAGGTGGAGGTTGCAGTGAGCTGAGATCTCGCCACTGCACTCCAGCCTGGTCGACAGAGTGAGACTCTATCTCAAAAAAAAAAAAAAAAATCACTGATAATATTACTTTGATTTTTATTGTGCTTTACTCTAAGTTTTCACACACAGCATCTTACTTAAAACTCACAAAACCACCCTACAACATAATCGTGCCAAGTATCCTTTTGCCTAAAAGAACCTAGGTCTCGTGATTCTTAGATAGTATTTATTTTCCTATATCATGATGCCAGTAAGATTTACAGTTAGTCAGGTGCTAAGACACAGCATGTTTTCCAAGAAACAACTGTGTCTTCACAATACATTACATTTCTAATTTCATGTGAGCTTGGTGACTCTGAGTAAACAACAATATAATTCAACATTAAAAATTAACCTAAGACCAGAAATATAGTATAGTAACTTAACAAGATTGTATGTTTAAGAGACAAAAGTGATCTTGTGCCTTAAAGAGGGAACCAGATATAACATTCAGATTTTCCTCTGCTGAACTATTAACAGAAACTGGATTCTACTGGCAGAGAACCTAATTTATACAGAGCTCAAACAAGTTGAGCCTCACGGAATCAAACTTTAAACTAGAACAAACTGGCACCAGAAAAAACTGCAACAAACAGAAGGCAATTTAAAAGTCCATGAATGCATTTCAAAACATGACTTTGAAAGCCAAAGTCTCTTTGGGTGTGCCTTACTTGAAAAGGGGCATTTTCAAGAAAATGTACCAGTGCCAAACAGTGAAATTTCCTTTGAATTTCAATTTTTTTAATAGAATCTCACTCTTTTGTGGAATAAGGTGTGTAAAATATTTGGGGTTTGAATTCCGTCCACATTTTTCACTCAGATATCATGCTAAATAGGATGTATGATCAGATTTCAAAGAAACAAAAGAAAAATGATTTCATAAAGTCAATACTATCCAGCTGATTTCCCCATAAAATGGCCTCCAGAAGCATTTAATGTTGGAACACTGTGTACCACCTTTATTAATACACCACTAACAGTGCTGATCCACTGTCAGTAGAGAAGTCACCAGAATTTGGGAACAAAGGAAAAAATGGACTAATGTCTAGACAGCAAGAGGCAAGGGCTCAAATCCAATTATTCATTTTATACTTGAAAGTGGAAATATGACTGGGCGTGGTGGCTCACGCCTGTAATCCTAGCACTTTGGAAGGCTGAGGTGAGAAGACTGCTTGAGCTCAGGAGTTCAAGACTAGCCTGGGCAACAAACATAGCAGGACCTCATCTACTAAAAATTTAAAAAATTAGCCAGGTGTGGTGGTGTATGTCTGTAGTCCCAGCTACTCAGGAGGCTGAGGCAGGAAGATTGCTTCAGCCCAGGAGTTTGAGGCTGCAGTGAACTATGGTAGTGCCAATGCACTCCAGCCTGGGTGACAGAGCAAGACTGTGTGTCCAGAAAGAAAAAAAAAAAAGTGGAAATACAAGACATGAGACTGACTGGAAACGTTTTTGTTTTCTTTTGTTTTAAATATCATGAAAATTAAACACATTTCAAAGACTATGGAGAACCAGGAAGTCACAAAATATTTTGGTGCTTTTTGGGTTTAAATCTCAAGTCATTCCTCTGTGAACTCATTCCCCCGACCCCCTTTTTTTTCCCTCCTGAGATGGAGACTTGTTGTCCAGGCTGGAGTGCAATGGCACAATCTCGGCTCACTGCAACCTCTGCCTCCCAGTTTCAAGTGATTCTCCTGCCTCAGCCTCCTTAGTAGCTGGGATTATAGGTGCCCGCCACCACATGGGGCTAATTTTGTATTATTAGTAGAGATGGGGTTTCACCGTGTTGGCCAGGAGTTTCGAACTCCTGACCTTGTGATCCGCCTGCCTCAGCCTCCCAAAGTGCTGGGAATACAGGCATAAGCCAACACGCCCGGCCCCCATTTTCCCTTTTATAAGGTACCACCACTGACCTTACTGCTCACATTGCAGAGATCTTCAAAGCAATAAAAACAAAGGCCTTTTCAATGACAGACCAATCCTTGACACCTGGATTGATATGGCGCTCCCTTACTGATTTCCATAGGCGATTCAGTAGGATAGGCTGATGGTCAACCATCGTACTAAAATCAGTTCTTGATGATACATGTATTTGCCCTCATTTACTCTTTTTTTTTTTTTTTTTTTTAAGATGGAGTCTCACTCTGATGCCTAGGCTGGATGCAGTGGAGCGATCTTGGCTCACTGCAACATCCACCTCCCGGGTTCAAGCAATTCTCCTGCCTCAGCCTCCCAAGTAGCTGGGACTACAGGTGCGTACCATCACGCGCAGCTAATTTTAAAAATTTTTTTTAGTATTGATGGGGTTTCACCATGTTGGCTAGGTTGGCCTTGAACTTGTAACCTCAGGTGATCTTCCCGCCTTGGCCTCCCAGAGTGCTGGGATTACAGGCGTGAGCCACCACACCAGGCTTCATATACTCTTTACAGCCAAACACAGTGATAAGAATTCCCTCCACATGCAACCTGTGTTCCACTCTGGAGGCTAAGTTATCACCTGAACAAGCTTCTTTTAACACTCTAACCAAAAAAAAAAAAAAAAAAAAAGACTAAATTTTAAGTTTCATCAGCTGGGCCTTAGTGTTTAAACAGTCAAACAACATCATTTATCACAACTTTTTTTTTTTTGAGACAGGGTATCACTTGGACCCCCAGGCTGGAATGCACTGCCGCAATGACAGCTCACTGTAGCCTTGACTTCCCCGGGCTCAGGTGATCCTCACACCTCCACCTTCCCGGTAGCTGGGACGACAGGCATGTGCCACCACAATCGGATAATTTTTTGTAGAGAAAGGGTTTCAACATGTTGCTCAGGCTGGTCTTGAACTCCCGGGCTCAAGTGATCTGCCCGCCTCAGCTTCCCAAAGTGGTGGGATTACAGGCGTGAGCCACCATGCCCGGCCTAGAACTTTTTTTTTTTTTTTTGAGACGGAGTCTCGCTCTGTCGCCCAGACTGGAGTGCAGTGGTGCAATCTCGGCTCACTGCAAGCTCCGCCTCCGGGGTTCACGCCATTCTCCTGCCTCAACCTCCCAAGTAGCTGGGACTACAGGCACCCACCACCACGCTCGGCTAAATTTTTTTTTGTATTTTTAGTAGAGACGGGGTTTCACTGTGTTAGCCAGGATGGTCTCGATCTCCTGACCTCGTGATCCGCCCGCCTCGGCCTCCCAAAGTGCTGGGATTACAGGCGTGAGCCACCACGCCTTGCCCCTGACCTTTAGTCTTTCACTTCCAATTTTGTGGAATGATATTTTAGGAGTAACAGATTTTTAAAGAAGAAGAAGAAAAAAAAAGACTGAATTTCCTTGCTTACTTTGCATATACAGACTGGATTTTTTTTTTAACAGCCATTTCCCCAAAGGAATGTGTCTTGCATATTACTGACATTTGGTATATTTCATTCATCGGAATATTTCTTGTTTTCTACGTGTTTCAAAAACCTGTGAGAAATACAGGACTTGATAACATTTTGAAGGCAGGAAAAACCCAAATTGTTTCTTCTTTGAGAGTCATGACTACCTTCTGGTGTGGAGAATTTGTCATTGGAAAATTTGACAATTTTGATTCTCACTGGTATGTTTAAAAACTGAATTAAAGGAATAGAATTTTTCTTTTGATATAGGATCACAAAACAATTCTAAAACCTACTGTTTTTACCACTGAAATTTAAACTGCGATATAGGTTTTAAATGTCTGGAATGCAACTGATAGGCTTTTCTTGAACTGTTAGTTTATTTGAAATAGAGTTTTTTCATGTTTAATTTGTATTTGAAAAAAAAAAAAAGAAAAAATTCCCCAAACCCAGATAACAACCAGAGCAAAATTGTTGTGCCTTCTATTTCTCTTTGATTTCAGTCTTGGCAATTGTTTAAAGAAAAGTAATTTTTTAAAAATCTGGATTTGTTTTATTAGGTTCAGAGTATGTGGGGAATTGTAGAATCCCTCTTTCATCACCTTGTATGTCTTCTGTTAACATATGTGTTATGCCTTATTCTAAAATTGATCTCAAATTGGAATGCCTTTGAAGACAGATGCTTCTATAGAGGTTCTTTGACCTAAATAGTTCAGCATTTGTATTTTTACTCTGATATCTGATCAGATTCCTAATCATAGCCCATAAGAAGGAATGTGACTTTATGTATGTATGTATGTATGTATGTATTTTTTTTTTTTTTGAGGCGGAGTCTCGCTCTGTCGCCCAGGCTGGAGTGCAGTGGTGCAATCTCGGCTCACTGCAACCTCTGCCTCCAGGGTTCAAGTGATTCTCCTGCCTCAGCCTCCCGAGCAGCTGGGACTACAGGTGTGCGCCACCAAGCCCAGCTAATTTTTTTTTGTATTTTTAATAGAGAATGGGTTTCACCATGTTGGCCAGGCTGGTCTCAATATCCTGACCTGGTGATCCACCCGCCTCGGCCTCCCAAAGTGCTGGGATTACAGGCATGAGCCACCGATCCTGGCCGGAATGTGACTTTAATACTGGACTTTGCTGATGTGCTTGTGTCCACATTTTCTCTTTAAATCACAGCTATTTTAAATCACAGCTATATGGTAAATTTTCTATTTTGTTATGGTCCTCTTTTATTAACGGGCATGCAGTGGGTGTTTCTTGGAAATGGCCAATTTTTATTAAAATGTTTCTGGAAAAAAAAGTCATGGTCTTTCATCTATAGGATGGGTCAGAACTGTTGCTTCCTACCTTACATGGGCACTAAACAGCACTTCTGTGAACACCAACACTTTCCATGTCTCTGAAGTCTCAGGAAGCTAGAAAGTTCTCTTCAAAAAAAGAGAATCACTGGTTCTAAACTCTAGAAAGAAATCCTGGCTGGGTGTAGTGACTCATGCCTGTAATCCTAGCACTTTGGGAGGCTTAAGATGGAAGGATCACTGAGGCCAGGAGTTCAAGACCAGCCTGGGTAACACAGTAAGACTCCATCTCTACAAAAATAAAAAAGTTAGCTGAGCATGGTGGCGCATGACTATAGTCCCAACTACTTGGGAGGCAGAGGCAGGAGGATCGCCTGAGCCTAAGAGTTTGAGGCTGCAGTGAGCTATGATTGAGCCATTCCAGCCTGGGTGACAGAGCAAGACCCTGTCTCAAAAACCTAAATTGAAAGAAATCCTTAGGATTATTTTTATGGTATGTGATCAATACATATATTTTGATACAGCTTACAATGAATTGTTAAAAAATTATCCTTAGTCTACTTGGTTATAATTCTAGCTCAATTTCTGTCCATCAGATAAACAAAAGTCACAGTAAAGAATAGCTTTATTAGCTCCATTAGTGAGATATTTCAGTAAAATAAGTAGATCTAAATACTTCACAATAGTATACCGGGCACAGTGGCTCATGCCTGTAATCCCAGCACTTTGGGAGGCTAAGGCAGGCGGATCACTTGAGGTCAGGAGTTTGAGACCAGCCTGGCCAACATGGCAAACCCGTCTCCACTAAAAATACAAAAATTAGCCATGCATGGCGGCGTGTGCCTGTAACCCCAGCCATTTAGGTAGCTGAGGCATGAGACTCACTTGAACCCAGGAGGCCGAGGTTGCAGTGAGCTGAGATCACACCACTGCACTGCAGCCTGGGCGACAGAGCGGGACCTTGTCTCAAAAGATAAATAAATAAGTAAATACTTCACCATAGTAAAATATAAAGTAGTATAATCATAATTTCCAGCTACTTATAAGCTTTAACATTTGTGCCAATTAAACAGAAGTTGTATTCCCAGAAGGATAGAGTATCTGTACAACTCTACATAAATATACTGAGCATATGAAAAGTGTGATATTTTCAATTTTAGGACACTATTTCTAGATATTACATGAGGGATGAGCTCCAATAAAACAAATGTGTAAATCGCACACACTACAAATACCAAGAATAATTACTTAAGAAAAAATTACTTACAAGAGATAGCAGCAAACTGAACAGGTCACCAACATGGTAATGATAACTCTAAAAAAAAAAAAAAATGCAAATGTCATTAAATAACTAGCAAACTATGCAAACATCACAGAATGGTTTAAGTCCCCTTTCCAGATTATCAAACTGGCATGGATTGCACACCAAGAAATTGGATCTGTATTTGCTCAAATATCCAGCAAACTGCGGTGTGCCCAGGGTACACCTGGGAAAAGTTTATGTAATTAAACATTTGTATTTAAAGAGATATGTGCTGATGCCACAGTGTAGCTGTCCAATCCAAATTTATCTGAAACTGAACAGGAAAGGCCGCAGTGACAATTAGTTTTGACAACTAAGTAATTACCCTATTTGGTAGTATTCTCTGTAATGAAATTAACACTGTACTTCTAAAAATATGACTCTCCAGCGATGAGCTCTCCCAATCTCCATTCATGTCTGAAAAAGTTACACTTTGATCTCTCATCAGCAGAATTTCAACATTTCTAAACCTCAGTTCATGCTGTTCTCTTCCCATCTCTTTTCTAAAAGCTCCCCTTCTGAATCTCCTACTCCTCAGAAGAAGCTCTGCCATTTTCACCCAACCGACCCACCCTCACATCCATCATCTTTTGTCCATGCCTTCTCTGCACCTCCACAGTCACCAAATACTGTGGATTTATAGTTTAAAGCATCTCTCCCCATGTGTATTTCCTCCTTCCCATTCCCACTGTCAGCAACAAAATTCACCCAGTTCTCCTGGCTTAACTGCTGGCAGATTCAAACTTTTCTCCTTCTCCTTCATTCTATAAACAATCACCAGGATTCTCTACTTAAGACCTTTTGATGTCCCCCCTCCATCATCCATCATTTGGTTTCCAAGAGGCATGTCCACGCCCTAAGAAGAGCAAGAGCATTTCCTAGAACTTGGGAACCAAATATTATAACTCCTGTTTTTTTAAGAGACAGGGTCTCTGTCGCCCAGGCTAGAGTGCAGTGGCATGATCATAGCTCCCTGTAACCTCCAACTCCTCGGCTCAACTGATCCTTCTGCCTCAGCTTCCTGAGCAGCTAGGACTACTGGTGTACACAACCAGGCCTGGCTAATATTTTTAATTTTTTTTGGAGAGGTGGGGTCGGGGGGGGGGGTCTCAATATGTTGACCAGGTTGTACTTGAACTCCTGGCCTCAAGTGATACTCCTGCCTCAGCCTCCCAAAGTGTTGGGATTACTGGTGTGAGCCACCACACCTGGCCCAGAACTCTTATTTTTCTTTATTTTTAACTCATCCTTTAGAAGTTCTGTGTGTCTTTTTTGTTTTTTGAGACAGAGTCTCACTCTGTCATCCAGGCTGGAGTGCAGTGGCACAATCTTGGCTCATTGCAAACTCCGCCTCTCAGGTTCAAGCGATTCTCCTGCCTCAGCCCAAGTAGCTGAGATTATGGGCATGCACCACCATGCCCGGCTAATTTTTGTATTTTTAGTAGAGATGGGGTTTTGCCATGTTGTCCAGGCTGTTCTCAAACTCCTGGCCTCAAGTAATCCACCTACCTATGCTTCCCAAAGTGCTGGGATTACAGGCATGAGCCACTGTGTGTGTATTTTCTTTGGTTAATATATTGGCACATTCATTTACTCGTTCAACAGATTTTCACTCACTGAATGTCCAGTATATGTATTAGGGTCTGAGGAGAGAACAGGAAACAAAACAGATAAAAACCACTGCCTTGTGGCCGGGCGTGGTGGCTCACGCCTGTGATCCCAGCACTTTAGGAGGCCGAGGCAGGCGGATCAAGAGGTCAGGAGTTCGAGACCAGCCTGACCAATATGATGAAACCCCATCTCTACTAAAAATACAAAAAAATTAGCTGGGCGTGGTGGTGCTCGCCTGTAATCCCAGCTGCTCAGGAGGCTGAGGCAGAAGAATCACTTGAACTTGGGAGGCAGACGTTGCAGTGAGCCGAGATTGCGCTATTGCACTCCAGCATGGGCGACAGAGCAAGACTCCATCTCAAAAAAATAAATAAATAAACAAAAAAAACCACTGCCTCATGAAGCTCACGTGCTACTGGCATAGATAGACAACAAACAAGATGAACACACAACAAACAACAATTATCTACCTATATATGCCAGATGGTCAGTAAGTGCTGATGGAGGAAAATAAGACAGGAAAGGGAGACGGGGTCTACCAGGGGTTGGAGATTGTGGTTGCAATTTTAGAGGATGGTCAGGAAAAGCCTTGCTGAGGAGGTGGCGTCTCAGTGCAGACCTGAACAAGGTGACGGAGTGTTCCAGGCAGAAGTAATGTCAAAGGCAGGGGGTGAGAGGGTACCTGGAGTTCAAAGAGGAAGGGGTCTGTGTGGCTGACACAGAGCAAGGAGCCTGGGGAAAGGTGAGGTCAAAGAGGTACCATGTGGCCTCTGAAAGGACTTTCACTCTTAAAAGGCTTTGACTCTGAGTGAAAAGGGAAGTTATGGCCGGGCGCAGTGGCTCACGCCTGCAATCCCGGCACTTTGGGAGGCCGAGGCGGGCAGATCACGAGGTCAAGAGATCGAGACCATCCTGGCTAACACGGTGAAACCCCGTCTCTACTGAAAATACAAAAAAATTAGCCGGGCGTGGTGGCGGGCGCCTGTAGTCCCAGCTACTCGGGAGGCTGAGGCAGGAGAATGGCGTGAACCCGGGAGGCGGAGCTTGCAGTGAGCCGAGATCGCGCCACTGCACTCCAGCCTGGGCGACAGAGCGAGACTCCGTCTCAAAAAAAATAAAAAAGAAAGAAAGAAAAGAGAGAGAGAGAAAGAAAGACAGAAAGACAGACAGAAAGAAGAAAGAAGGAAAGAAAGAAAAATAAAGGAAGAAGGAAAGAAAAGGGCAGTTATTTGGAGGGATTTGAGGAGAGGACTGACAAAATCTGATTCCAATTCTAAGGGATCTCTCTGCTGGGATGAAAGAGACTGGGGGAAGCGGGGCAAAAAGAAAGCAGAGAAAGCAGTTGAGAGGAATTACATAATCCAAGTGGATCAGGCTGGCAGCAGTGCAGGTAGTAAGAGTTGGTCAGTTCCTTGAAATACATAATTTATACATTACACTTATAAAATATAAATAAATATGTATGGGGGATTGTGCTAAAGAAATTCTGACAGTTGCACAATAAAAATGTTTGAAGACCTACAGAATCAAGTCCCCCGCTTCATTTGTAACTGACTCCCTCCACCCATCCTTCTCACCTCCCCCTACGTGCAAACATCAGTCCTTCATTCCTGAAGGCAGGTGCCTTCACTGTCCCCCAAAACACATTATATCTAGGATTCTCAATTCCAAGCCTTTACTCATCTTCCCCCAGTCCGTGCTCCACTGTGGAATCTCTTCCCTGTCTTCTCTCTTCTCCAAAAGACCATCTCATAGAACTGAAAGAGCTGAGGCTCCTTTGTATTACCTGCTTAATATTAATAGTTTCACATAAAAGCTCCCTCATTAACGTATCAGCTCCTAATATGCTTGGTCTTAGGAGCTGCATGCTGAGTGGTGAAATGCCACAATAACTGCAATTTACTTTCAAATGGTCCAGCAAAATTATATATACACACACTCAAAGCAAATATGAATACGTTAAACAATGACTGAGTCTAGGAGGTAATATATGGCACTTATTGTACTACTCTTCCTACTTTTCTACATGTTTGAAATTGTTCATGAAAAAAGGGGAGTTAGCTGGATGCAGTAGCATGCCTATAGTCCCAGCTACTCAGGAGGCTGAGGCGGGAGGATCACTAGAGCCCAGGATATCAAGGCTGTAGTGAGATATGAGCACGCTACTGCACTCGAGGCCTTGGCAACGCAGGGAGACTCTTTAAAACAAAACAAAACAAAACAAAAAAACAGGTATGGTGGCTCAAGCCTGTAATCTTAGCACTTTGGGAGGCTGAGGCCAGGTGTTTAAGACCAACCTGGCCAACAGAGCGAGATCCCATCTGTATTTTTTTTTTTTTTTTAATTTTTGAGACAGAGTATCGCTCTGTCGTCCAGGCTGGAGTGCAGTGGCGCAATCTCAACTCACTGCAACCTCTGCCTCCTGGGCTCAAGCAATTCTCCTGCCTCAGCCTCCAGAGTAGCTGGGATTACAGGCGCACACCACCACACCTGGCTAATTTTTGTATTTTTAGTAGAGATGAGGTTTCACCATGTTGGCCAGGCTGGTCTTGAACTCCCGACCAAGTGATCCACCCACCTCAGCCTTCCAAAGTGCCGGGATTACAGGCATGAGCCACCATGCCCGGCTAGCCCATCTCTATTATTTATAAATAAAATAATCAAAAAATAAAAATAAAATTAAAACAAACCACAAAAAAAGAAAAATGGAGTTGACTGAACTGGCAAACTCATCTCTGCGCTCTTTCCTTTTCTCCTCCCCCACATCTACTGGTTAGGAAGCCACTGTGAGAAAATGGAAGCTTTAGAGAATCTATGGATTCCTTTAGAGAAAAGAGGGAAATCATGAGAAACTAGAATGGTCAGGAATCAGGAAAGCTGATTCCAGGCACAGACCTGATTTTAGCTGGCCCTTTTCAGTTGCAAAAATAAAGAGCCAGGGGCTTTATTTAGGTCATCCATAAATTCTGAAGAGTTTTTTCCAAGTGATCGTAGGCTATTTTTTTTTTTAATAAAAGAAAAGATTCATAAGTTTTTCCTGGCTGAGCACAGTGCTCACAACTGTAATCCTAGCACTTTGGTTGGCTGAGGTGGGAGGACTGCTTGAAGTCAGGAGTTCAAGACCAGCATAGGCAATAAAACGAGACCCAGTATCTACAACATTTTTTTTTTAATTGGTTGGGCATGGTGGTGCATGCCTGTTGTCCCAGCTATGCTGGAGGCTGAAGCAGAAGGATTGTGTGAGCCCAGGTTGAGGCTGCAGCGGGCTATGACTGACCGTGCCACTGCACTCCAGCCTGGGCAACAGAGTAAGACCCTGTTTTAAGAAATAAATTTTAAAAAATCTTCGGCTGGGCATGGTGCCCAACTCCTGTCATCCCAGCACTTTGGGAGGCCAAGGTGGGTGCATCGCCTGAGGTCAGGAGTTTGAGACTAGCCTGGCCAACATGGCAAAACCCCATCTCTACTAAAAAATACAAAAATGAGCTGGGCATGGTGGCCCATGCCTGTAATCCCAGCTACTCGGAAGGCTGAGGCAGGAGAATTGCTTGAACCCGGGAGGCAGAGGCTGTAGTGAGCCAAGATCATGCCATTGCACTCCAGCCTGGGTGACAGAGCAAGACTAGGTCTCAAAAAAAAAAAAAATCTTCAGTAAGGAGATAAATAAAGGAACCCTGTGAGGAGGAAAGAAGGGAGAGAAACACAGATGTATTTGATGTTAATTTATCTTCCCCAAGAGACCCCTGCACATCAGAATGCTGAAAGTTGGGTAATTAGGAGGTTATAGGACCTAATGAGGCAGGGAAAAGAAAGGGCAAAAGAGAATTTTTTTTTTAAGGGATGGGGTCTCACTCTGTTGCCTAGGCTAGAATGCAGTGGCATGATCATAGCTCACTGCAGCCTCAACATCCTGGGCTCAAACAATCCACCCACCCAGCCTCCTGAGAAGCTAGGACCACAGGTCTACACCACCATGCCTAGGTAATTTTTAAAAAATTGTTTTTGTAGAGACCAGGTCTTGCTTTATTGCCCAGGCTTGGTCTCTATTTTCTGGCTTCAAGTGATCCTCCCACCTCAGCCTCCCAAAGTGCCGGTGTGAGCCACCATGTCAGGCCCATTTTTATTTTTTTGAAGATATTTTTGATCATTTAAATCAGAAATGCTCACCTGTATTAAAAATTCACCACAAGCTAGGGGCACTGCTCGAGCCTGTTATCCCAACACATTGGGAGGCCGAGGCGAGAGGATCACTTGAGGCCAAAAGTCTGGTAACAGCCTGGCCAACATGGTGAAACCCTGCCTCTACTAAAAATACAAAAATTAGTCAAGCATGGTGACGTGCGCCTGTAGTCCGAGATACTCGGGAGGTTGAGGCACGAGAAGCGCTTGAACCTGGGAGGTGGAGGTTTCAGTGAGCCGAGATTGTGCCACCACACTCCAGACTGGGCAACAGAGGAAGACTGTCTCAAAAAAAAACCCCAACTCACCATAGTGTGAAGCACTTCAGCTCCTTCACGTATCCTGAAAAATTTGATTTGCAGTATTTTCAAGAGGTAAAGGGGAACTAGTACTAATTCGGCTTTAATGTTTCCTTTTTTTAAAATCCCCACAGAAAAGCCTATTTCCATTTTAAAAAGAGGAAATGGGAACATGGAAAAGTTAATTAAATTGTGCACTAGTATTTCCTTTTTAAAAAAATCCCTACAGAAAAGCCTATTTCCATTTTAAAATGAGGAAATGGGAACATGGAAAAGTTAACTAAATCGTCAAGGTCACAGGGATCATCTGCCTAGGTGCAGTGTTTCTCAAAATGTATTATAGCAACTCTTCCTAGGAGAGACACTGCTCAATCCAACCAAGAGCAGGAAAAGCAAGGACTGCAGCAGAGGCTGTGAACTGGACCCAGATAATACAGGCACTTGACAATTGCCACATAATGACCTTTCAGTCAATGAATGAATGCATAAATGACAGGTGGTCCCCTAAGATTATAATGGAGCTGAAACATTCCTATCACCTAATGACATCTTGATGATCCTGAACCTGTGTGGGCCTAGAATAATATGTTTGTGTTTTAGTTTTTAACAAAAAAAAGTTTAAAAAGTTAAAAAAAATTTAAATGGAAAAAAACTTATAGGATAGGATATAAAGAAAGAAAATAGATTAGGTCCGAGGTGGCTTATGCCTGTAATTCTAGCACTTTGGGAGGCCAAGGTGGGAGGACTGCTTGAGGTCAAGAGTTGGAGACCAGCCTGGGCAACAAAGAGAGACCCTGTCTCAAAACAACAACAACGAATTAGCTGGGTGTAGTGGTGCACGCCTATGTCCTAGCTAGTGCAGAGGCTGAGGTGGACGGATCCCTTGAGCCTTGGAGTTCAAGGCTGCAGTGAGCTATGATGGAGCCACTGCACTCCAGCCTGGGTGACAGTGAGACTCTCTGACTCTTAAAAAAAAAAAATTATATAGCTGTACAATGTGTCTGTGTGTGTTTTGATTTGTTTTCAAAAGTTTACTCTTACATGTACAATGTACAACAGGCTCCAAGACAACACTTCATTCTAAGTATAGGTGGCAAAAGATGTTATAGCAGGGGGCCGGGTGTGGCAGCTCACACCTGTAATCTCAGCACTTTGGGAGGCCGAGGCGGACGGATCACCTGAGGTCAGGAGTTCAAGACCAGCCTGTCCAACATGGTGAAACCCCTTCTCTACTGAAAATACAAAAATTAGCCAGGCATGGTGGTGGGCACCTGTAATCCCAACTACTCAGGGGGCTGAGGCAGGAGAATTGCTTGAATCCAGCAGGTGGAGGTTGCAGTGAGCCAAGATGGCACCACTGCACTCCAGCCTGGACAAAAGAGTGAGAGTCCATCTCAAAGAAAAAAAAAAAAAAAGTTATAGCAGGGAATCCAGATGTTTAAATACAAATGGAATCAAGGGTCACCATCGATCACCTCAGGCACATGGAACAGCTTATTTTTTGCCGGATTTCTTAATTCCACCTATGACCAGGGGCCCCTTCCCCATGGCCTTCACTTTCAGCTCCTCCAGTTTCTTCTGCTCCTCTTTTTGTTTAAAAAATGTATCTTCCAGCCGGGCGTGGTGGCTCATGCCTGTAATTCTAGCACTTTGGGAGGCTGAGATGGGCGGATCATGAGGTCAAGAGATCGAGACCATCCTGGCCAACATGGTGAAATCCCGTCTCTACTAAAAATACAAAAATTAGCTGGGCATGGTGGTGCGCGCCTGTAACCCCAGCTACTCGGGAGGCTGAGGCAGGAGAATTGCTTGAACCCAGGAGGCGGAGGGTGCAGTGAGCCAGTATCACGCCACTGCACTCCAGCCTGGCGACAGAGTGAGACTCTGTCTCAAAAACAAACAAACAAACAAACAAACAAAAACAACAAAAAACCAACCTTATCTTCCCCATCCATCTCCTTGGCCTGCTTCTTGGGCTGTTTCAGGGGCTTCTTCCTGCCATCTGTGAAAATGGACATGGTGCCTGCAGCCTCTTCCCCAGACTCTGACACTGGACTTGTTTCATTTTTGAAGAGACAGGGTCTCACTGTTGCCCAGGCTGGAGTACAGTGGTGTGATCATAGCTTACTGCATCCTGGAACTCCTGGTCTCAAACACTCCCATCCCCCTCACTCAGCCTCCCCAGTAGCTAGGACCACAGGTGTGCACCACCATACCCAACTAATTAAAAAAAATTTTTTTCAGAGATAAGGTCTCGCTGTGTTGCCCAGGCTGGTCTCAAGCAATCCTCTTGTCCGGCTTCCCAAAGTGCTGCATATTATGGGTGTGAGCCACCGTGCCCAGCCTTGCTTGTGTTTTAAGCCAAGTGTTAGTACAAGAGTCAAAAAGTTAAAAATAATTCAAAAGTTTAAGTAAAAAAGTTACAGGAAGCTAAGGTTAATTTATTTTTGAAGAAAGAAAAATATTTTTTCAGAAATTTCATGTAGCCTAAGTATACAGTGTTTCTAAAGTCCACCATGGTATACAGCAATGTCCTGGTTCTTCACATTCACTCACCAGTCACTGACTCACTCACAGCAATTTCCAGTCCTGCAAGCTCCATTCATGGTAAGTGCCCTACACAGGTGGACCATTTTAAATCTTTGATATGTATTTTTACTGTACCTTTTCTATGTTTAGATACACAAATACCATTGTGTTACATTTGTCTATACAGTATTTAAGGACAGTAACATGCTGTACAGGTGTGTAGCCTACCTAGAGGCAACAGGTTCTACCAAATAGCCTAGGTGTGTAGTAGGCTGTACCATCTGTTTAAGTAAACTCTTTGTTCACACAAAAGCCCAACTAACACATTTCTCAAACATAGTCCTTTTGTTAAGTGACACATGTCTATATATCACTAGCTGGTCAAATACCTGAATCATGACACTCTCTAGGGCTAAGTGGAAACAGGATGGGTTTCATTACCCTGGATAATGGCAATGACATCCCAAGGAAGGGGAGAGAATGGTCTTTAAGAAAGGAATTGTCAGTGCTATTAGTACATTAATAAATGCTTCTTTGAGTACAAAGGCCATAAAGGCAGACAGTAGGGTAATGAAACAGTTGAAGATATAAACACAACAAAGAAGCACTTTGTTGTTCGCTAACTCCAGTAGGAAAAACAAGTCTAATTAACTTTGGTAAATACAATTGCTTTAATAATGCCAGAATTCTGACTCTGTCCATCAACCTCTATAGGTAGGAGAGATGACCCCATATAACTGGTGTTACCAGGGAGGAGGAACTTGATACTTAAAAATGATAAAAATTCATCTACCATGTATCTTTTAAAAAAAAATAATTTTAGACTAATAAAGCAAATGTATCCCAGGGAGCAAAAGGGGTTCAGGTCACAAAATATTAGGGAAGTAGTAAAAATCTTTTTCTTTCTTTTTTTTTTTTTTTTTTGAGACGGAGTCTCGCTCTGTCGCCCAGGCTGGAGTGCAGTGGCGCGATCTCGGCTCACTGCAAGCTCTGCCTCCTGGGTTCACGCCATTCTCCTGCCTCAGCCTCCCGAGTAGCTGGGATTACAGGCGCCCGCCACCACGCCCGGCTAATTTTTTGTGTTTTTAGTAGAGACGGGTTTCACCGTGTTAGCCAGGATGGTCTCGATCTCCTGACCTCGTGATCCGCCCGCCTTGGCCTCCCAAAGTGCTGGGATTACAGGCGTGAGCCACGGCACCTGGCCAAAAATCTTTTTCTTTTAATAAAGACAATAGAACTATTCACTCAACAGGTATTTATTGGGTGCCTCCTGTGCATACAAGGTACTATGAAAACCAGGCACTATGAAGCCACCAATTAGGTTCAAGAATAAAGCAAGAGATGGTGTTTCTGACAAACTGACTTCAGTCGAAGTTTCACCTCTCATCATCTTGAACTGAGAAAAAAATGACTGAGAAGCAAAAGAGGAACCAGGAAGAGGGTGTTCCAAGGCTCCTTTGAAGATTAAGCCTCTATTTTATACTACAGTTAAAAAGTTTAATTCCAAAAGAGACAAAGCTCTAACCAACAAAGAAGTCTGGAAAAACAAAATCTTTCTTAGCCAATCATTCTAAGCACTTCTTACACTCACATACAAGAGCCGGAGCGCCCTCCAAAAGGCATGACGCAGGGGTTTCTCAACAATACCTCCTGCTCTTTGGTAATTAATCTCGCTTTAGATCAGGCCCCAACCGCCTCCTGGCGCCCACTAGATGCAAGGCCTGGGCTCAATGTTGTCGAAGGAGCTTGTTCTGTACGCAACCGCGACAGCATGGGAGGCAGAGAAGCCAATTTCTGTTTTATTTATTTGATCCTTAAGTTCAGGCAAACGAGGCCTCATGTGGGTGGAAGGCAGGGCTAAAGGGGGACAGTCGACTAGGGACAAACCCCAGTTTCTCCCAGATTCGGCCTGCTCATTTCCGACTGCACCTCCCCACACAGGACTATGATGAGAAAAAATTCCCCTGAAACTCGTTTCCAAGGGGGGTCCACCAAAGGTCACCCTCCACTCGCTCAGGCCGGAGGACACTGAAGCTGCTGCGAAAAGGAACACAAGGAGTTCCGCCGGGTCGGGGGCCTGACTCTGCAGCGCGGGGGGCGCCCATGCAACGTTCTCTGACCCGTGTGGGGGTCGTGCCTTTCCCCGCCCCGGCCTGCTAGCTCCTCACCGCCCGTTCCTCCCAAGGCGGGCCTCACGCACTTACCCCCGGTTAGGACCCTTAGGGATGAACCAAGGCACCAAGAAGCCGACGAAGCCCCAGAACACGCTCATCACAATGAGAGGCACAGTGAGGCCGTGATACGCCATGGTCGCCGCCTGAGCGCCAACCCCTACCCCGTCGCCTCACTCGGATCCCACCAGGAAGTGTCAATAGCTGACCGCGTGACCAGCGTGTGCAAGCCCCGCCTCCCGCGCCCCCACGTGACCCGCGCGCCGGCCTCCGCCCCTCGGGGAGCCCAGAGGCAGAGCCCCGCCTTCGCCTGGCTGTCTCCTGGCTGCAGCTCCTTGGAGGCATGTCGCTCACCCCAGAGCTAGGGATTCGGTCACCCGGGGCTCAGCAAAGTGTTCTGATGAGAACTTGGCCCTTTTAGACAAAGAGTGTAGTTATCTACAGCCTCATCTACTTATGCAACAGACATAGAGAACTTAACAATAGTTGTCCCTTACTATTCTGAATTCCCGTGTGCCTGGCACTGGGCCATGATCTTTAAGTTCATGAGCCCCAGGCCGGGTGCGGTGGCTCACGCCTGTAATCCCAGCACTTTGGCAGGCTGAGGCAGGCGGATCACTTGAGGTCAGGAGTTCGAGACCAGCCTGGCCAACATGGTGTAACCCTGTCTCTACTAAAAATACAAAAATTAGCTGGGTGTGGTGGTGCGCGCCTGTGGTCCCAGCTACTCAGGAGGCTGAGGCAGGAGAATCAATTGAACTCGGGAGGTGGAGGTTGCAGTGAGCCGAGATTGCGCCACTGCACTCCAGCCTGGGCAACAGAACAACACTCTGTCTCAAAAGAAAAAAAAAAAAGTGCATGAGCCCGTGTTGAACTCCTCACTTCAGCCTATGAGGTAATTGTAATTATTATCCCCACTTTGCAGTTGAAGAAACTGAGGCCCAGGGAAGAGGATAAGGATCTTGCCCAAAGTCACATAGTAAGTGGCAGGGCCAGGATTCAACCCCTGATTATCTGATTTTCAAGGCCAGAGCTCTTAACTAGCGCACCACTATTTATCTTGTGTGCTGTGCCAGGCTCTGGAGTTACAGAAGTCAATCAGGCACCCCTGAGGGAGTTCACATTCTGGGGAGCAGATGACCTTGCAAACAGGCGACTCAATGCAGTGTGAAAGTAAGTGGACGACCCTGCAAGGCTTTCTACCCAACTCGTCCTTGCTGAGCCTTGAAAGACAAGTAGAAATTAGCCAGAATGGTAAGAAGAAAAACAGGCCAGGCATGGTGGCTCACACCTGTAATCCCAGCACTTTGGGAGGCCGAGGCGGGCAGATCACCTGAGGTCAGTAGTTCAAGACTAGCCTGGGCAACATGGTGAAATCCCATCTCTACTAAAAATACAAAAATTGGCCAGGTATGCACCTGTAGTCCCAGCCACTCAGGAGGCTGAGGAACAAGAACCGCTTGAATCCCTGGGAGGCAGAGGTTATAATGAGCTGAGATCGCACCACTGCACTCCAGCCTTGGCGACAGAGTGAAACTCTGCCTCAAAAAAAAAAAAAAAAAGAAAGAAAGAAAAAGAAAGGTAAAACAGTTTTGTTTGTTTGTTTGTTTTTTGAGACAGGGCCTTGCTCTGTCACCCAGGCTGGAGTGCAGTGGTGCTCCATAGCTCACTGCTGCCTGGAACTCCCGGGCTCAAGCCATCCTTCTGCCTCAGCCTCCTGAGGAGCTGGGACTACAGGTGTGCACCACCACACCAGCTAATTTTTAAAATGTTTTGTAGAGACAGAGCCTCGCTATGTTGCCCCGGTGGGTCTTAAACTCCTGGCCTGAAGGGATCCTCCACCTCAGCCTCCCAAAGTGCCGGGATTACTGGCATAAGCCACCGTGCTGAGCTGATAAACAGGGCTTAGAACGCTTGCTGAGAATTTTCACATATGTTAGTTATAGTATGCGCCAAGCTTGGAATAGACAAGGAAGCCAGTTCTCAGAGAGGTTGAGGAGCTTGATGATAAAGCTTACAGGTGAAAGCAAGATAGAAAGCAGGTCTTTAAATGCAATGTGCTTTACCAGGGACCATGGTTTCCTTGCAGTAGCCACATTGCATTAACTCCTGATTTCTTTCATCAAGTAGAATGGATTCCTGTATTAAACGGGAAACTGGACCAATAATCTTCAACATCTGTACCAACTTTTCGGACATGATTCTAAGCCTTTAACCTGATCAGCAATGTAGAAAACTAGTTTGTCTCCTTTGTGCTCATAATGCTTCCCCAAAACTTAGCCCCAGCAGAAATCCTATGGTCCTTAAGTTCTAGCCCAAACACCGCCTTCTCCAAGACCCATTTCATCCTGTTAGCGCATCTCTTTGGCCTTGTTGTATATGTATCTTGACCAACCCTCTACTAGAGGGCCAACTCCTTGAGAATAGGCACTGTTTCACTGATCTTTGTTTCCGGGAGGACTTTATACATAGAATGTGCTCAATAAATAACTGTGCAACTGAATTGAGTAGCTAAGAAGGGATGAGGTCAGAACAAAATTAGAGAAAGAAGTTCATTTCTACTTTCTCCTTCCTTCCTTCCTTCCTTCCTTCCTTCCTTCCTTCCTTCCTTCCTCTCTCTTTCTTTCTTTCTTTTTTCTTTTTTTGATGGAATCTCACTCTGTTGCCCAGGCTGGAGTGCAGTAGCATGACAATGGCTCGCTGCAACCTCCACCTCCCTGGTTCAAGCGATTCTCCTGCTGCAGCCTCCTGAGTAGCTGGGATTTACCAGCGCCCTCCACCACACCAGGCTATTTTTTTTTTTTTGTATTTTTAGGAGAGATGGGGTTTCACCATGTTGGCCAGGCTGGTCTCAAACTCCTGACCTCAAGTGATCCGCCCACCTCGGCCTCCCAAAGTGCTGGGATAATAGGAGTGAGCCACCATGCCCAGCCCCTTTCTTTCTTTTTTTTGAGGCAGAGTCGTGCTCTGTCACCCAGGCTGGCATATGGTGGTACAATCATAGCTTACTACTGCCTTGAACTCCTGGGCTCAAGGGATCTTCCCACCTCGGCCTCCATAGTAGCTAGGACTACAGGCGCATGCCACTATGCTGGCCTAATTGTGTGTGTGCGTGTGTGTGCTTGTGTATGTGTGTGTGTGTGTGTGTGTGTATGTGTGTGTAGAGATGGGGTTTCACCATGTTGCCCAGGCTGGTCTCGAACTCCGGCCTCAAGGAATCCTCCTGCCTTGGCCTCCCAAAATGCTAGGATTACAGGTATGAGCTGCCGCAGTCAGGCCCTTTCCTTTTAAAAATGGTAAAATACAGGTAACATAAAAGTTACTATCTTAACCTTTTAATTTATTTTTATTAATTTATTTAGAGACAGGGTCTCGCTGTCATCCAGGTTGGTGTGGTCTTGGCTCACTGCAACCTTCGCCTCCTGGGTTCAAACGATTCTCCTGCCTCAGCCTCCCAAGTAGCTGGGACTACAAGCATGCACCACCACACCCAGCTAATTTTTGTATTTTTAGTTGGAGACGGGGTTTTACCATGTTGCCCAGGCTGGTCTCAAACTCCTGACCTCAGGAGATTTGCCCGCCTTGGCATCCCAAAGTGCTGGGATTACAGGCGTGAGCCACTGCACCCAGCCCAGAACTTTTTCATATCCCTTCAACAACCACTTCTGGCCAGGTGCAGTAGTGAGACCCCCATCTCTACAAAAAATTTAAACAAAAAATTAGCTGGGCATGATGGTGCATGCCTGTAGTTCCAGCTGCTGCGGAGGGTGAGGTGGGAGGATTGCTTGAGCCCAGGAGGTAAAGGCTGCAGTAAGCTGTGATCACGCCACTGCACTCCAGCCTGGTGATAAAGCAAGACTCTGTCTCAAAAAACAAACAAACAAAAAAACAACCACCTCCCATATTCCACCCCCTAGCCCATGGCAAGCACCATTCTACTTTCTGTCTCTGTGAGTTTGACTACTCTAGATTCCTTCAAGAGGAATCATACGGCATTTGTCCTTTTGTGGCTGGCTTATTCACTTAACATAATATCCTCAAGACTCATCCATGTTGTGCAAGTGTCAGAATGTCCCCTTCCTTTTAAAGGCTGAATAATATTCCATGTGTGTATACAGTACGTTTTGTTTATCCATTCATCCATCGATGGACATTTGGGTTGCTTGCACTTTTTGGCTATTGTGAATTCTTTCCCATTTCTTAAACAAGTGGAAATTTTTGTCTTAAATTGATCCCTTTTTGTGTCTAACCTTTGCTTTATCTTCTGGGCAGCCTCTTTGAGAAGCAATGTCTGGAAGTACAAGGATGTAACTCTTTTTTTTTTTTTTCCTTTTTTTTTGAGACAGAGTTTTGCTCTTGTTGCCCAAGCTGGAGTGCAATGGCACGATCCCAGCTCACTGCAACCTCCGCCTCCTGAGTTCAAGTGATTCTTCTGCCTCAGCCTTCTGAGTAGCTGGGATTACAGGCACGTGCTACATGCCCAGCTAATTTTTATTTTTATTTTTATTTTTTAGTAGAGATGGGGTTTTGCCATGTTGGCCAGGCTGGTCTCGAACTCCTGACCTCAGGTGATCCACCTGCCTCGGCTTCCCAAAGTGCTGGGATTACAGGGGTCAGCCACCGCACCCGGCCAGGGATGTAACTCTGTTGTTGTTGTTGTTGTTTTTTGAGATGGAGTCTCGCTCTGTCTCCCAGGCTGGAGTGCAGTGGCGTGATCTCGGCTCACTGCAACCTCTGCCTCCCGGGTTCATGCCATTCTCCTGCCTCAGCCTCCCGAGTAGCTGGGACTACAGGCAGCCACCACCACGCCCGGCTAATTTTTTGTATTTTTAGTAGAGACGGGGTTTCACCGTGTTAGCCAGGATGGTCTCGATTTCCTGACCTTGTGATCCGCCCGCCTCGGCCTCCCAAAGTGCTGGGATTACAGGCGTGAGCCACCGCGCCCGGCTGGATGTAACTCTTTAGACACCAATTCTGTCTAAATCTGTTGGTTTCATCTGTGAAAGGAGAAAAGTTAGTATCTCAGTATTATATATGTGGGCTAGCATTAGCCTATAGCTCCCTCTATCAGCCAGTCTGTCAAAAGCATTTTATCACACACCAAATGAAAACTGTCCCCATTCAGTGACCCATCAAATGAAGAGATACTGTCTGCCCTCAAGGTGCTAAAGTCTTCAGGAAACAAATCAGACTCTGGACAGTGTGGTCCAAGGACCCTTGGGGAGTCCCTGAGACTCCCCAAGCAGGTCTTTTTCTTTCTTTCTTTCTTTTCTTTCTTTTCTTTCTTTTCTTTCTTTTCTTTCTTTTCTTTCTTTTCTTTCTTTTCTTTCCTTTCTTTCCTTTCTTTCCTTTCTTTCTTTCTTTCTTTCTTTCTTTCTTTCTTTCTTTCTTTCTTTCTTTCTTTCTTTCTTTCTTTCTTTCAGATGGAGTCTTACTCTGTCACCCAGGCTAGAGTGCAGTGGCGTGATCTCGGCTCATTGCAACCTCCATTTCCTGGGTTCAAGCAATTCTCCTGCCTCAGCCTCCCATGTAACTGGGATTACAGGCGACTGCCACTGCTCCCAGCTAATTTTTGTATTTGTAGTGGAGGTGGGGTTTTACCATCTTGGCCAGGCTGGTCTCAAACTCCTAACCTCGTGATCCACCCACCTTGGCTTCCCAAAGTGCTGGGATTACAGGCATGAGCCACCATGCCTGGCCACCCCAGCAGGTCTTTTCTAACTGTGAATCTCTGTAAGGCTGAATTTTCTTCCTGTAGTTCATCTAAAACAACATATCACATCAGATTGAATGCAGTAGTATTATGAGAATGCATTTGTCTTCTATTAAACCAGAGGTCAAGGCGTTCTCCCAAAATGTAACACAATGTTACTCTTCCAACCACATGTTTTGTTAGTTTTGGAAAAAACAGCTATTTCTCATATAAATGTTATGTTAACATGTTATGGGTTTCTTGTTGCTCTTTTTGTATGAATTTAAAATAAATATGTTGGCCAGATGCAGTGACTCGCGCCTATAATCCCAGTGCTTTGGGAGGCTAAAGCAGGAGGATCACTTGAGGCCAGGAGTTCCAGAGCAGCCTCGGCAACATAGTGAGACCTCCATCTCTACAAGAAACAATTTTGATGTGGTGTTATCTCCTGTAGTCCTAGCTACTTAGGAGGCTGAAGAGGGAGGATTGCTTGAACCCACAAGTTCAAGGTTACAGTGAGCTATAATTGCACCATTGCACTACAGCCTGGGTGAAGACTGAGATCTTGTCTCAAATAATAATAATAATAATATAATAAAATTAATATGTTAAAATTTGAAGTTTTAATTTCTAACATGACAAATATCAATAGCTATAACCTATATAAATGTAAGTCCCTTGGGTCCTCCATAGTTTTTAAATATGTAAACAGGTCTTGAGACCAAAAAGTTTGAGAAGCACCACTAGAGGAAAAACCTCAGAGGCCCCCCAGCAGCATCAAGGAAACAAGAGTTGACTGAAACACTATTGTGCAACGAGCTGAGGAGCCCTTCTTTCCTAAACTCAGTCCTGTAGGTAAAAACAGGCATGCAGAGTCACGAAGATATGGTGTCATAAAGCCCCTTTCCAAGCTACTCTGGAAGCTTGGAAGTTACTGGGGCAGCTGAAAACCCTAGCAGGATTTATTACTCCTTAGCCCAGTAGTGTATATGGAATGTGCACTGTGTATGGCCACCAGTACTACTGCTGCCACCGTTGCTGGAGTGATTGCCACCTGCCAGACATTGGACTAGGTGCTTTGAATTATCTGTCTCATTTAATGCTCACGACACTGAATATAGGTATTTTTAAATCTATTGTACATAATTTTAAAAGGCTTAGATTTGGTTTATTTATTTATTTATTTATTTTTGAGACAGAGTCTTGCTCTGTCTCACCCAGGTTGGAGTGCAGTGGCGCGATCTTGGCTCACTGCAGGCTTCACCTCCTGGGTTCAAGCGATTCTCCTGTCTCAGCCTCCTGAGTAACTGGGATTACAGGTGCCCGCCACCACAACTGGCTAGTTTTGTATTTTTAGTAGAGACAGGGTTTCACCATGTTGGCCAGGTTGGTCTCAAACTCTTGACATCAGGTGATTCACCTGCCTCGGCCTCCCAAAGTGCTGGGATTACAGGTGTGAGCCACTGCACCCAGTCCTAAAAGGCTTGTAACTTGTAATTTGTAACTTGTCCAAAGCATAGCTGTTTTCAGTGACAGAGCTTGGATCTGAACACGGCTCTTTGTAGCTCCTGTTCTTCCCACTAAGCCATGTTGCCTCTCCTATTTCTTTTTTTTTAAGCAAAATAATTTTATTTCCTAACATATGGTAACATATACATCCAATATGTGCTCCCCTTGCACATCTATTCACAAGTGACTTCCAAATGACAACTGCCTTGATATTTAAGCACGTGCTGAAAGTTATCTTAGTTGAGATATGAAAAATGCTTTAGATGGGTAATGTTCTGAGTACATGGGATTGGTCACAGCAGAATTTACTTAGATGAGTTCTACACATTTAAAGCTTTGAAAAGCTACTATTTTACATCTAATACATCCAGATGAACACGATGCAGCAATATCAGCTTGTATTCCAGAGAAATCCCATTAGTTCTTCTGGTGATGGAACCACGTATCCACGTCTGTTGGTACTGTGCAGGCAGATTCACAGGGTGGTGGTAAAGCATCCACAATGGCTCTGGCAGCATCAGGATCACACTTGAACAGGCTCTCAGACACAGTTTTGTTCATGCAGCTGATTCCTTTTCCATTCATTTTCTTAGTCACTAATGCTTTCCAATGGTCATGAGTGCTTTTAATAATATCAATTGCAAAGTCCTTATCTTCAAATTCTGCATTAAAACAAACTCATTTTCTGGTTTTCCATCAGGAACCTTATACCTTCTAAACCAGTCCACAGTAGCCTCTAAGTAGCCGGGTTTCAGCCGTTTGACATCACTGATATCAGTATAATTGCCTGCATCAGGATCATCCATATTAATGGCAATGACTTTCCAGTCGGTTTCCCCTTCGTCAATCATAGCCAATATGCCTAGAACTTTCACACCAATTATTTCACCTCTTGCACATACCTTGCTTCCAATTTCACACACATCAATTGGGTCATTGTCACCACAACAGCCAGTATGTTTATCATTGTGCCCTGGGTCTTCCCAAGTCTGAGGGATGGCACCATAGTTCCAGACATATCCTTTATACGGGAACAAATTCGCAACATAGCGAAGTTTTCTTTTTTTCACATCTTGTTTAATGGGGTTTAAAGGGTCCTTTGTAGCAACCTCCATTTTTGCATTAGACCACAGTGGTACTTCAACTACCACGTGGAACACATCCTTATCTGCATAAATTGGAATATCTTGAAATGGAGACATATATTGTCCTTTCTCATTTTTGAGGAAGACTCGGTACTTCAGGGAGAAGGGCGTGGCGCGCTCCTCAGTGCTGAAGCCGCTCATGGTGCCGGAGTCCAGCCGCCACCACTGCCACAGAGCCACCAGCCCACATGTGGCGCCGACTGACAGCCTCTCCCATTTCAAGAAATAAGTCGGCATACAGAGAATCCTAAATTACACACAACTTCACAAGATTCAGACATCATCTGCTGCATAAGATGAGACCTTTAAAAGCCTATTCTAGAACTAGCCACCCTTGCCAAGAATAAATTGGAAAGTGGTTGATTTAGTGTTTTTTTTTTTTTTTTGGTTTTTTTTTTTTTTTTTTTTTGAGACGGAGTCTCGCTCTGTCGCCCAGGCTGGAGTGCAGTTGTGCACTCTTGGCTCACTGCAAGCTCCGCCTCCCAGGTTCATGCCATTCTCCTGCCTCAGCCTCCCGAGTAGGTGGGACTACAGGCACCCACCACCATCCCCAGCTAATTTTTTTTTGTATTTTTAGTAGAGACGGGGTTTCACCGTGTTAGCCAGGATGGTCTCGATCTCCTGACCTCGTGATCCGCCCACCTCGGCCTCCCAGAGTGCTGGAATTACAGGCGTGAGCCACTGCGCCTGGCCTCTTTTTTTTTTTTAGACAGAGTCTCGCTGTGTCACCCAGGCTGGAGTGCAGTGGTGTGATCTCGGCTCACTGCAAGCTCCGCTTCCCGGGTTCACGCTATTCTCCTGCCTCAGCCTCCTGAATAGCTGGGACTACAGGCGCCCGCCACCACGCCCGACTAATTTTTTTGTATTTTTTTTTTTTTTTTTAGTGGAGATGGGGTTTCACCGTGTTAGCCAGGATGGTCTTGATCTCCTGCCCTCATGATCCTTCTGCCTCGGTCTCCCAAAGTGCTGGGATTACAGGTGTGAGCTGCCGCACCCGGCCAATTTAGTTATTTCTGATGGTCAAAGAACATTCTCATATCTGTGCATGTTTTTGTAATTATGGTGTTCAGATAATAAATCAACCTTATATAGCTGTTTAAATTTGGATGGCCTGCTTTTCTCATGAGGACTTTCTCATGGATCAAACTTTCAATAAACATTCAATTGAATATGAATATAATAAATACTGTTTTTGGAAGGCTACAAAAGAAACTGGAAACAGTGCCTCTGGAGAGAACCGAGTGACTGAGACTCAAGGTGACAAAGAAACATACTTTTCACCGTCTACTTTTTTGTTTTACCTTTTAATTTTGTACCATATATAAGCACTACTTATCTAATTAAAAAATACCAGTTTAAAAGGACAATGAACAAGACTCTGGTAAACTATCAGATAGGAACTGCTCAAAGTCTGCAGCAGCAGCAGAGAATGCTGGACTCGTGGTTAGTTGGGTTCTGTCTGGTTCCTGGAAGATTCAATTACTTGCTCATCCAACTCACGTCAAAAGTCCTGTGGCTTCTGGGTGCGGTGGTTCATGCCTGTAATCCGAGCACTTTGGGAGGCCGAGGCAAGTGAATTGCTTGAGCCTAGGAGTTGAAGACCATCCTGGGTAACATGGCGAAAACTCGTCTTTACAAAAACTACAAAAATTAGCTGGCAGTGGTAGCATGTGCCTGTATAGTCCCAGTTCTGGGAGGCTGAGGTGGGAGGATCGCTTGAGCCTGGGAGGCAGAGGTTGCAGTGAGCTGAAACCATGCCACTGCTCTCCAGCCTAGGTGACACGGCAAAACCTTGTCTGAAAAAAAAAGAAAATTATGTGGCTGAACATCTCATGCCTATGCAATGTGAAAGCAGACATTCAAAAGCAGTTATCTGAAGTTTAAAAGTCTGGCATCTTCCCAGAATAGCAGAAGGGAACCACTCAAGGGAATGGACATCCGCAAATGTGATGAAAAGGTCAGTAGAAAACTGTATAATTCATTCATTCCAGAAAACAAGCTAATACCCCATGGCCTGAACTTTGATAGGCAGGCCCACCCATCTGGCATTCTCCAATCCTCATTTCCTGCAGCAGCCCAAACACATCACTGTTGCCCTTAAACCCTTCCCTTTTTTCAAGAATCAGTATTTGTCTCACCTCCCTGGAGAAAAACTTTTCTCTATGTTCCTGTGAACGAATTCCATTGCCAATCTCCTTTAAGACAATAGCTAAAACTTCCTGAGCACTCTGTGCTTTACACACAGTATCTCAAGTAATAAGTCTGACAACTCTATGAAGTAAGTACTAATTTTATCTCCATTTTATAAATGACAAACCTGAGGCCCAGAGAGGTTAAGCAGTTTGCCCAAGGTCACACAGCTAGGAAATGACAGAGCTAAGATTAGAACTCAACTTGAGGCCTAGTTCCTGCTCTTGATCATGCATTATTATTATCAACCTGGCTCAGTATAAGCAGTGTGGTATGATTTGGATACCTACAGGGGGATTGCAGCTCTCAAAGCTCTTATTGGTCATTTTTCTTGGAATAAGTTGCTGAAAACAAGCCAGGTCTGATTCCTAGATGATATCATAACTTAAATTTACTAATGAAAGTAATGGCTGGAGCCTGGAGCTCAGACCAGGTTACAGACTGTAGAGTAAGGAGCTGTGAGTTTAGTATGAAATCTGACTTTCATGCAACTCTTAGAGTCCTAAAATATGTATTGGTTGAGAACAAAGACAAGAATCAAATTAGAAAATATAAATTTCAGAATTTACTAGTTAACCTACTCACTATACTCATTAGATACATAGCTCAGCATGTTAATGATTATACAGCTGCTGTATGGTGGGCACCTACTCTTTTATTTATTTGTTATTTTTGAGGCAGGGTTCCGCTCTGTTGCCCGGGCTAGAGTGCAATGTCATCATGGCTCACTGCAATCTTGACCTTCTGAGTTCAAACAATCCTCCCCACCTCAGCCTCCTGGGTAGCTGGGACTACAGGCATGGGCCACCACACCTGGCTAGTTTTTAAATTATTTTGTCGATATGGGGTCTCACTATGTTACGCAGGCTGGTCTGAAACTCCTGGGCTCCAGCGATCCTTCCACCTCAGCCTCCCAAAGTGCTGGGATTACAAGCGTGAGCCACTGTGTCTGGCAGCTTTTTACATAAATAGAAAAACAGAGAATCAGAAAAATGACCTCCCAAGAACAAGAGCAGGATTTGAACCCAAATCTGTCTGACTCCAGGGACAGGACAGTATCTGTCTACCTTGTATCAGTGAGTTCAGTGTATCAATGCCAAGTCAGAGAACACATCTTGAGTTTTGTGGTTTTTGAACTCACTGATTTTTTTTGTTTTTTTGAGATGCAGTCTCGCTCTGTCTCCCAGGCTACAGTGCAGTGGTGCAATCTTGGCTCACTGCAACCTCCGCCTCCCGGGTTCAAGCGATTCTCGTGCCTCAGCCTCCTAAGTAGCTGGGATTCAGGCGTGCGCCACCATACCCAGCTAATTTTTGTATTTTCAGTAGAGACGGGGTTTCACCATGTTGGCCAGGCTGGTCTCGAACTACTGACCTCAGGTGATCCACCCACCTTGGCCTCCCAAAGTGCTGGGATTACAGGTGTGAGCCACTGCGCCCTGCCAAACTCACTGATTTCTTTTCTGAAAAATAACTGCCTCTTTGAGTGCAGAGTGAATGTCAGAATTGGACATATAAGTAAACTGAACAATGATAGTGAAATTAACATTTGTATACTCATAGCTTTCAAAGAGTACTCAGAAACGGCCCATCTGATCTTGCCATTTTATCTTTGCATTTTCGATGAGATAAGAAGGCAGAGCAGGTATTATCATCTGTTTAGAAGTCCAGAGATGAGTAACTTGCTCAAAGGCTGATGACTGCCCAGTGGCAGAGCTAGGATTAGACCTGGACAGTTGGTGATAATGCTTTCCTAAGTAGCACTACCGGCTGCAAACACATAGGTTCTTGTCTGTTCCACATAAATATGCAGTCTCTTATCAGACTCCAGTGAAAGGCTGACAAGAGTGAAGGAAGGAAGACTAAAGATAAGTGGCTAATGTGGGAAGTGAATGGCCTTTTGATGCAGTCAGGCTCAGGTTCAAATCTTGGCTTCATTTCTTATGCTGTGATTTGGACAGTTAACCTAAGCTTGTTTTCTTCATCAGTCAAAATGGGAAACAACACTGATTCAATTAACATTTATTAAGAAATTCCAGTGTGTCAGATAAACCATTACTAGAAAGTCATAAAAGGCTGTTTGATACATTTTAATCAATACATTATTATTTTTTAGGCTAGTCATGGTGGCTCATGTCTAATTCCAGCACTTCGGGAGGCCAAGGCAGGAGAATCACTTGAGGCCAGGAATTTGAGACCAGCCTGGGTAACATACTGAGACTCCCATCTCTACAAAAAAATTTAAATATTAGCTGGGTGTGGTGGCACATGCCTGTAATCCCAGCTACTTGGGAGGCTGAGGTGGGAGGATCACTTGAGCCTGGGCTGTCAAGGCTGCAGTGAGCTGAGATCACACCACTGCACTCCAACCTGGGTGACAGAACAAGACCCTCTCTTGAAAAAAATTTTTTTGTGTTTTTTTTTAGGACAGGTGCAGTGGCTCATGCCTGTTAATTGCAGCACTTTGGGAGGCTGAGACAGGCGGATCACTTGAGGTCAGGAGTTCAAGACCAACCTGGCCAACATGGGGAAACCCCGTGGTGGCGCAGGCCTGTAATCCCAGCTACTTGAGAGGCTGAGGCAGGAGGTTCACTTGAACCCGGGAGGCGGAGGTTGCAGTGAGCTGAGATAGCGCCACCGCACTCCAGCCTAAGCAAGATGGAGACTCCATCTCAAAAAAAGTTTTTTTTTTTTTTCCCACAGGGACAGAGGATTTTGGATGTGGCCCTGGAGATACATTTTCTAAAAATTTTTATTCACTACATACCTCTCAAAGGAATTAAATCTTTTTTTCTAATTAAAAAAATTAATTTTTTTTTTTTTTTGTAGTGGTGGGGTCTCAGTAACCAGGCTGGTCTTACACTTCTGGGTTCAAGCCATCCTCCCACGAGTATCCCAAAGTTCTGAGATTACAGGCATGAGTCACTGTGCCTGGCCAAAGGAACTAAATCTTGAAGATTTAGTTGCTTGAAAGTTAGACCAGGAGTCTAATGCGGAGGCCAATGGAGGCCAGGCAAGAAGCGTATGGGAGCAGAGCAGGTGGGATAGGGAACCGCCAAGCCCTTGGCTGCACTTAACACTGCAAAACAGGGAGAGCCCCGTGGAGCCAGGTGAAGCAGGTGATTCTCTGTGGAGTCTCCCACATTTTAAATGTTGGAAAATATAGTGAAAAACAGTATCTCAGTTAAATCTTTCCTGTAGGCTGCCAGTTTCTCAAGTTAGTTCCAGAGGAAAAGGGGCTTTTTAGTCACATGAAAATGGCAATTGCAAAGTCAAAACTTTGGGAAGATAAGCCTGGTCAGGGAGCTGCACATGATTTGGTTTAGTTGGCACTTGGAGAGAAAGCTGGGGAAGCCCAAGTCAGGAGGCCAGAGAGCAATCTGTCAGGCGTGAGATGTGACAGTGCACATTACAACTGCTACTGAGTGGGGCAAATCCCTGTGTCAAGGACCAGAGCATGGCAGCTCACGCCTGTAATCCCAACACTTTGAGAGGCCAAGGCAGGAGGATCATTTGAGCCTAGGAGTTCAGGACCAGCCTGGGCAAGATGATGAGGCCTGTCTATATAAGACTAGAGCCCTGCCCTTTCTACTTCATCAGCACAAGAGTCCAGGCAAGAGGAGGGCCATTTAACCCTACCCCTGCGATTTTGCTGTTCCACACATTAAATAGGAAAAGACTGGCAAAGGGGAATTGATAGTAAGTGGAATTTATTTATAAAACAATGCAAATACTATGTGGAATTAGGAAGCATTTCCCATTTTTATTCATAAAATTATTACTTAAAATTGCAAAAGTAGATTTACAGAGGCACAGGTAACAAAACAGGAAATGAAATGTTCCAGACATTCCGAAAAGTTCGAAAGAAACACACCCTAGCCTCAAAATCTCCGGTTAAACCGTGGTTGCACAACAGGTTCTATTTATTCCTGCATTTTCTCAATAAGTTCTTCTTTATATTTGCCTTTCTCTTTTCCAACTTGTCGAGACTTGGCTTTGCGTTCAAGAATTTTTTTCCGATCCTTGTCCAGTTTTAGCCTGGTGATAACCACCTGTTGGGAGTGAGAAAACAGGTCTTTATTTCTGCATCCCCACCAGCTATTGAGCAATATAGACATCATAAGTTAAGTAAGACCTCAGCCATTCAGCTTTTAAGGAACTGAAACTCTGGAAGGAAAACAGACCCTGTAACACAATACAAAATAGGAACACAAAGGAAAAATAGCATGTTCCACTAGGTAGGCATGAGGGCTACAGGAAGATATATTCTCTCTTATTCCTCTGAATATTATGTGGTAGGGGAAGTGATGCCTAGAACACTTGGAAGCCTCTTGCAACCAGCTTAAAGACACAGCCATCGGCCGGCCATGATGGCTCACACCTGTAATCCCAACACTTTGGAAAGCCGAGGCGGGCGGATCACGAGGTCAGGAGATCGAGACCATCCTGGCCAACATGGTGAAACCCCATCTCTATTAAAAATATAAAAATTAGCTGGGCGTGGTGGTGTGTGCCTGTAGTCCCAGCTACTTGGGAGGCTGAGGCAGGAGAATTGCTTGAACCCAGGAGGTGGAGGTTGCAGTGAGCCGAGATCGCACCACAGCACTCCAGCCTGGTGACAGAGCGAGCATCCGTCTCAAAAAAAAAAAAAAAAAAAAAAAGACACAGCCATCACCAAGAAAGGCAAAACAGAAAAGAGAAGAGAAGAAAAATCTGGATCCTTGATGATATCACAAAGCTACTGAATCAATCAAGTCCACCTGGCCTGCCTCAGCCAACTGTGCAGGGAGTACCAAAACACCAATAACTTTGAACAGTATTGACACACTCCATGGCTGCTACTGCCACTCAGTCCTTGACCATACCTTGCTTGGGTGAATGCCCACGTGGACAGTTGTGCCGTTGGCCTTCTCACGCTGCACCCGCTCGATGTAGATGACATATTTCTTTCTGTACACCTGGACTACCTTGCCAATTTGCTGACCTTTGTAGTGTCCTCGAACTACCTAAGAGAAAATACAAAAGAGAATCCCCCTCCATTTGTAGTGCATGATCATAAAGAGGAAGCTAACCATCAGGAACACATGGGCTAAACATATAACTTTGTCAAAAGCAGCTTAATCCTGGCAGTCAAAAATTAGCTACTTTTCTGATATAAATCTGTGTTGTGCTATGGTTGGGTGGAGATTTTTTACCTGGATCCCACAGAAATGTGCGATATGAGCTTTAGAGGAAAAAGGAGAATACAAAACTACATATAGAATATACTCTGAACTATATATATATACATATATATGTCAAGTATCCCTTATTCGAAATGCTTGAGACCAGAAGTGTTTTGGATTTAGGGTTTTTGGGATTTTGGAATATCTGCATTACTAGCTAAGCACCCCAAATCTGAAAATCTGAAATCCCAAAAGCTCCAAAGAACACTTCCTTTGACCATCACGTTGACAAAGTCTCAGATTTTGGAGCATTCTGAATTTGAGATACTCAAACTATATGAGTGTATGTGTGTGTGTATATATATAATATATATTACATATGTGCGTATATGTATTTATATGTCATATATACATACACGTATCATATACATACACATATGTACTTATATGTAACATACATATATGTCATACATACATATATGTACTTATATGTCATATATACATATATGTGTATACATACGTATATATGTGTATATATGTATATATACACACACATTTCATATATATAGCATGACACAGTGGGATAAAATATATATATAAATATTGGTAACAGCTGCCATTAGGCAGGAAGCAGGATTACAGATGACTGATTTTTAGATTTATATTCTTCTAAATTTCAACATTTCTACATTTAATACAAATATTTTAAAGTCAGAAAAAAAATTTTAAATCTCACAGACTGTTTTACTGTACTAAAAATCTACTCTATTCAAAAACCAACTAGATTAGGGTTTCCTTGAAAGCAAGAGCTTATTTATTTATTTATTTATTTTTGACACGGAGTCTCGCTCTGTTCCCCCAGGCTGGAGGGCACTGGCATGATCTTGGCTCACTGCAACCTCCACCTCCCAGGTTCAAGTGATTCTCCTGCCTCAGCCTCCCAAGTAGCTGGGATTATAGGCACGCACCAGCAGGCCTGGCTAATTTTTGTATTTTTAGTAGAGACCAGGTTTCGCCATATTGGCCAGGCTGGTCTCGAACTCCTGACCTCAAGTGATCTGCCTGCCTCGGCCTCCCAAAGTGCTGGGATTACAGGTGTGAGCCACCATGCCCAGCCACAAGAGCTTATTAAACACCATGCATGGGGGCCGGGCACGGTGGTTCACACCTGTAATCCCAGCACTTTGGGAGGCCAAAGCCGGTGGATCATGAGGTCAAGAGATCGAGACCATCCAGGCCAACATGGTGAAACCCTGTCTCTACTAAAAATACAAAAATTAGCTGGGCGTGGTGGTGGGCGCCTGTAGACCCAGCTACTCGGGGGGCTGAGGCAGGAGAATCACTTGAACCTGGAAGGCGGAGGTTGCAGTGAGCTGAGATGGTGCCACTGCACTCCAGGCTGGCGACAGAGCGAGACACCGCCTCAAAAAAAAAAAACCACCAGGTACGATGTGACTCTGATTAATAAGCATAGAGGAGATACCACATATAAAGAACTAGAGAACCCCAATACTCCTAAAATGTCTACGTATAGCTTGTTTGGCTTATTTTCCAAGGCGATTTTTAGGTTGAAGAGGACAATCATATCTCAGTGAAAAATCTACCACAGACTACATGACCAGAGACTCTCAGGACACACCTGGAAGAAGTCTTGTTAATACCATCAAGACTGAAGAAATACACACATACACACTTTTTTTAAGAGACAGGGTTTCACTATGCTGCCCAGGCTGGTCTCAAACACCTGAGCTCAAGAGATCCACCCACCTTGGCCTTCCAAAGTGCTGGGATTACATGTGTGAGCCACTGCACCTGGCCAAGACTGAAGAAAGATCTTAGGCCGGGCATGGTGGCTCACAGCTGTAATCCTGGTACTTTAGGAAGCTCAGGCAGGTGGACTGCTTGAGTCCAGGAGTTGGAGACCAGCCGAGGCAACATAGCAAGACCCCGTCTCTACAAAAAAAAAAAAAAAAAAAAAAAAAAAAATAGTTAGCCAGACATGGTGGCATGCGCCTATGATCCCAGCTACTCGGGAGGCTGAGGTGGGAGGATCACTTGAACCCAGGAGGTTGAGTCTGCAGCAACCTGTTTTTGCACCACTGTACTCCAGCCTGGGTGACAGAGTGAGATCCTGTCTCAAAATAAAATAAAATAAAAAATTAATTTAAAAAATTTTTAAAAAGAGAAGTGGACAACCTCTGGACATAGTGAAGAGGAAGACAGGAGACAGGATAAGACTAAGTCGGCTGGTCGACTAGACTGGAGAGGTGAGGATGAAGAGGGAAGGATGATACTCAGAGTCTGGCTTGGGCAACCAGGTGGATGGCAATGCCATTGCCAGATGCAGAGATCATAGGGGAAGCCCCGTATTTTAGGAGGAAATAGTTTAGTTTGGAACATGCTAAATTTGAAGCATCTGGGGACATTCTAACAGAGAATTCAGACACAGCTGGAATGCCAACTGGGCCAGCAATAGAGACGTGGGAGTCATCCACAGAGAGGCAATTAGGAGCTTCATGTTGCTCAAGGAGTGATGGTATGAGAAAAGGGCAGAATGTACACATGTGAGAAAAGCCAGCATTTTGGAAGAGCTTGTGAGAGATTAATGTGGCCAGAGCGAATGGGAAATCATGCAAGTGTGGTGTTACAGCAGCCAAGAGAATGTCAAATTCTGTGGGACTGTCAAGAACACAGAGGATAAGGTATTTAACAGATCTGACAACAAGGTCATCAACAGTGGCTGTGGCTGGAATGCCTTCACTGAGTGCTGGGATGGAGGCCATTAACAGTAAAGTGATGAGTGTACCAGGTGAGAAGGTGAAGGTGAGAAAAGACAGTCCAAAGGAGCTTGGCTCTGAAGATGAGAAGGGGATAGATGTTTGAGGGGGATGGAAAGCTAAGGGAACTTTCCTTTATTTTTTATTTTTAAAGAAGGGAAAACATGATTGTGTTTAAATGCTGATGGAAGGAACAAGTATGGAGGAAGACGGTAAAAGAAACTACAGAGAAAGAAGATAAGGGACCAAAAAAGCTCCAAGAGAAGAATGGAGCAGCACCCAGTGGCAGATGGATTAGGCTTAGGCAGAAACAGGGATATTTCTTTCTTTTTTTTTTGAGACAGAGACTTGCTGTGTTACCCATGCTGGAGTGCAGTGGCGTGATCTTGGCTCACCACAACCTCCGCCTTCTGGGTTCAAGTGATATCTCATTGCCTCAGCCTCCCTTGTAGCTGGGATTACAGGCATGTGCCATCACGCCCAGCTAATCTTTATATTTTTAGTGCAGACGGAATTTCGCCATGTTGGCCAGGCTGGTCTCGAACTCCTGGCCTCAAGCGATCCACCTGTCTTGGCCTCTCAGAGTGTTGAGATTACAGGCGTGAGCCACTGCACCAGGCCTGGGATATTTCTTTCATTGTAACAGAAGGGAAAGAAAATAAGAGGGGTGGAACTACAGGTAAACGTGTAGGTGTGGAGCCACGATTTCTGAAAGTTCCTGGCTGATAACTTCAATTTTCTCTGTAAAGTAGGAGGAACCATCACCTACTCAGAGAAAGAGGAAGGTAAGTGAGATTCAGAAGATCCCGTGAGAGGAGGCAATATTAACAAACCCAATCAGGGCTATTTTATTCTCCTGGTGGAGAAGTGTTCAGCCAGCATGGCCTTTGGCTGAAACAATTCATACCTCTTAGGCATTCAAAAAATGGCAACAGGCAGCCGGGCGTGGTGGCTCACGCCTGTAATCCCAGCACTTGGGGAGGCTGAGGCGGGTGGATCACCTGAGGTCAGGAGTTCGAGACCAGACTGACCAACATGGTAAAACCCCGTCTCTATTAAAAATATGAAAATTAGCCAGGCATGGTGGTGTGTGCCTGTAATCTCAGCTACTTGGGAGGCTGAGGGAGGAGAATGGCTTGAACCCGGGAGGCAGAGGTTGCAGTGAGCCGAGATTGTGCCACTGCACTCCAGCCTGGGCAACAAGAGTGAAACTCTGTCTCAAAAAAAAAAAAAAAAAAAAAGGCAACAGGCCAGACACTGTGGCTCATGCCTGTAATCCCAGCACTTTGGGAGGCCAAGGCAGAAGGATTGCTTGAAGCCAGGAGTTTGAGACCAGCCTGGGCAGCAAAGCAATACCTATTTTTAAATAAATAAATAAATAAATAAATGTCTCTAATTTAAAATATATATATATTTAACAGCAGCTCCTTCTCCCTCTTTGCCCTCCTTCTCTGTCTCACCTTCTACATCTTACCTACTCAAAAAATTTTTTTCATTCATTCAACAAATATTGACTGACCCTTCTCCTCTCTAAGTGTCAGGCTCTGCACTGAGGTCAGACAACAAACAAGATGAACTCTCTGGTTTCATGGAGCTTAGCCTGATGGCCAGTAAGCAGTTAATGAGTACATAGACAAATACATGACCACTAACTGGAATAAGTCACATAGGAACTTACTGGGATGATTAAAAATGGTCTTTTTAATGGTCTAATCATAATTAGGGTAATGGCTATTTGGTTTTACATTTGCCAAAACTGACCTGTGCATTTTACTGTGTGTAAATTATGCCTCAGTTAAAAATAAAATGATTTCAAATTGTGCTTACTGCTACGAAGAAAAAATAAAGAATGCTAGGCTATAATATTGGTTAAAGGATCTGGGAAGGCTTCTCTGAGGAACGGACATTTAAGGTAGGACCCGAAGAATGAGGAGTTACCTATGTAAAGGAGAGAAGGAAGAGCACTCCAGGCAGAGAGAACATTCCAGCGGGAGAAAAGATCAAGGTGTATTTAAAGACCCCAGAAGCCCAGTGTGGTTAAAGTGTAGAGCACATGGGGGTTAGGAGGAGATGAGGATGGAGAAGTAGACCAGGATTGGCCCATAGAGGGCCTTGCAGTCAATGATTTTAGATTTTTTTTTTTTTTTTTGAGACCGAGTTTTACTCTGTTGCCCAGGCTGGAGTGCAGTGGCGCAATCTTGGCTCACTGCAACCTCTACCTCCTAGGTTAAAGCGATTCCCCTGCCTCAGCCTCCCGAGTACTTGGGATTACAGGTGTGTGCCACCACACCTAATTTTTGTATTTCTAGTAGAGGTGGGGTTTCACCATGTTGGCCAGGCTGGTCTCGAACTCCTGACCTCAGGTGATCCACCCACCTCAGCCTCCCAAAGTGTCGGGATTACAGGCGTGAGCCACCGCGCCTGGCCATGATTTTAGATTTTATAAGCACATCAGGCACCATTGGTAAGCACCTGGCTAACTCCTCATTTCTCAGGTCTTCTCTTAAATGTATTAGTTCCTCAGAGAAGCCTTCCCAGGTCCTTTAATCAATATCATAGCATCCTTTATATTTTCTTCATAGCAATGAACACAATTTGAAATCATTTTATTTTTAACTGAGGCATCATTTACATACAGTAAAATGTACAGGTCAGTTTTGGCAGATATAAAACTGCCAAAGGATTTTTTTTTTTTTTTTTTTTTTTTGAGACAGAGCCTCACTCTGTCACCCAGGCTGGAGTGCAGTGGCATGATCTTGGCTCATTGGAAGCTCCCCCTCCCGGGTTCACGCCATTCTCCTGCCTCAGCCTCCCAAGTAGTTGGGACTACAGGCGCCCACCACCACGCTCAGCTAATTTTTTATATTTTTAGTAGAGATGGGTTTCACCGTGTTAGCCAGGATGGTCTCAATCTCCTGACCTCATGATCTGCCTGCCACAGCCTCCCAAAGTGCTGGGATTACAGGCGTGAGCCACTGTGCCTGGCCGTTTTTTGTTGTTGTTGTTGTTGTTTTTGAGACAGAGTCTCACTCTGTCACCCAGGCTGGAGTGCAATGGCACAATCTCGGTTCATTGCAACCTCCGCCTCCCGGGTTCAAGCGATTGTCATGCTTCAGCCTCCCGAGTAGCTGGGATTACAGGTGTGCACCACCACGCCTGGCTAATTTTTTGTATTTTTAGTAGAGATGGAGTTTCACCATGTTTCCCAGGCTGGTCTCAAACTCCTGAGCTCAGGGGATCCACCCGCCTGGGCCTCCCAAACTGCTAGGATTACAGGCGTGAGCCATCATGCCCAGCCTGCCAAAGGTTTTAAATAGGACCTGATTTGCAAATAATACCACTCTGTGGAAAATGGACAAAGGTAAAAGAGGGAACTGCAATGCTGCCTTGAACTGGACAGGAAATAGGTTCAAGACTTACTTTGGAGGTAGAATCAACAAGCCTTGATGGTAGATTACAAGAGGGGGTTAAGGAGCGTTGTTAAAGATAACAAAGGTTTAGGGGCATATGCAGCTGGGGAGATATAAATGGCACTTACTGGAGATGTGGAAGATGGGAGTAGAGTTGGATTCTGGAGGCAGTGAGAGTGTTAGGATCAAGAGTACTCTTAAGAAGCTTGAAATGTCAATGGGCTACCTAAATAGAGATGTTCAGTAGGTAGTCAGATCTATAGGTCTGTGTTATAGGTAGTCAGATATACAGGTTGTCTAAAGTGGTCTGGACTGGGATATAAAAGAGGGAGTTGTTAGCACACAGCAGACATTTAAAGCTCTAAGAACGGATTATTACCTATTCTTTACCTACGTAGAGAACACAGAGCAGAAAGAGATGCTAGATGTGTCCACTGGATTCAGTCACGAAGGGATTATTAGTGATCTACGTCAAAGTAGGTTCTATAATGTAGTGGGGACAGGGAATAGACTGAAGAGAATCCAAGAGTGAATGGGAGATGAGGAAGTGTAGACAGCTCTCTTGAGGAGGTTGGTTATGAATAGAGAACAAAGTGTAGTAGCTGGAAGGAAATGTGGGCTAGGGAAGTGAATCCAAATTTTCCAGCTCTCTTTGAAAATCCAAGAATCTAACAATGGGCCTGCATTTCCCCCAGGCATCAATGGGCTAAAGGTAGATGATTATATCTTATATGTGAGGCTTGAGCTTTCCAGTTTGCCATTTTCTATCCCTACCTATCCCCTATAAGTATTTGCAATTCCCCCATTCTAGAACATGTCTGATGGGAAGGATCCAGGAGAGAGGGGGTTGAAACTGCTGATCATACCTCTGAACTACTCTTTCCACTCTTCCTGTCACACTTCCGGCTTAACTCCACATTTTTTCCTCCTTAACATATCCCCAAACCTTCAAAGAGTCCCAGTGTCTCAGATGATACACCAAGCCTCATCACCTTATGTCATTTCATTCTCTAAGACAATAGCTCTTAACTGAGTGAGGGAAGAGTTGATTTTGCCCCCCAGGGAGCATTTGGCAATATCTGGAAATATTTTTGCTTGTCACAACTGTGAAGGGAGGGAGTGCCACTGGCATCTAGTGGGGAGAGGCCAGGGACGCTGCTAAACATTCTACAATGCACAGGACAGCCCCCACCCCCCACCCCCCACAACAATTATCCAGTCCAACATATCAATAGAGCTGAGGCTAGGAAACCCTGCTCTAAAACGTGATCTCCATGAGAACAAGGGCCTCGTCAATCTTGTCCTAGAACAATCTCTGGTAAGTGCTCCATAAATATTCCTTTGAGGAATGAATCTAGCCCCTGCTTATTTCACTCATATCCAACTCCCTTCCCTCCTCTCATGCATTCTAAGCTCCAATCACAGAGAACAGAGGGCTTGTACGTTCTCACATGGGCCAGTCTTTTAGAAATTATGAAAGAGTGACTCGCTGCATCTTTACCAGTTCTCCTGCCAAATCCAATGCTATCACATGGCCAGCTCCCACAAATCTCTGTCCATCAATCCCACTACACCCAAATACACTAAAACACTACTCTCACTGCAGCACCTTCCCCTACAGTCTGGTTCAACAAGCCACCCTGGGCAACAACACTTGGCAAACTAGCAGCCAGAAGGTTAAATCAAAAGTATTTTTGGTGGGGCACGGTGGCTCACACTTGTAATCCCAGTGCTTTGGGAGGCTGAGGTGGGAGGATCACTTGAGGCCAGGAGTTCAGAGACCAGCCTGGGCAACATAGCAAGACCCTATCTCTACAAAACAAACAAAAAAGCAGGTTTTTGCTTGGTTGACATACTGTTTTATTAAATTTTACTATTACTATTAAATAATTAAATGCTCTAAAGCAACGCAGGCACTCTCTGGTGGCTCTGAACCCTATCTCTGGCCTAACACATCTGAAGGGTCACACTACTTTCCAGAGTCCTGAGGCATGTGAGTCTGTGACTGCTCCACGCATGACGTTCTTAGGCAACGGTGTCCGAGCGCCACTAGCGCCGGAGGGAGACGTACCTGGACCTCGTCGTCCTTGCGGATGGGCATGGAGCGGACATTGTACTTCTGCCGCAGCTCCTTGGAGAGCGGGGATGACATGATCTTCCTGCGCACGTGTGAGGGGGCATTGAAGTGACGTTTGCGGTTTTTACTGCGGTCCGAGGTAACGAAGGGATTGAACTTCATGGTGACCCTCTACAAAGGGCGGAGAGAGACGGAATGAAGGGGCGCTCAGTGGGTTACAGGGGCCTGTTCTCGACCCAAGACACTCCTCATCCCCCAACAAAGGCTCTACAGGGGAGGTAGCCTCTGAAAAGGCAACTGAGGGAGGACAGAGAGATGCGACTAGTCTGACTATCACATAAAGTGAGGCGTGTGTGGAGGTCGCATGCCCGTCTAAAGGGGTCGTGGGGGAGAGGGTAGCACTGGGACCTTGAGGCTGAGGAAGGAATGCTAGGGTTAGGCAGGAATGGGTGGTCGGGAGGTCACTCAAAGAGAGCTGTGGGGTGACATGTGTTCCCGCGACACATAGGGCAGGGTCTCACGGGGCGGTAGAGTTCACTGTCCGAGAAAACTCCAGCCTCCACTCACCCGGCTACTAGCTGCCTCAGACCCTGAGTGCGCAGGGCCGGAAGTGAGTTTCCGTGCCGCGCAAGCGCAGAAAGACATCGAAGCCCCATTTCCGTAGGAGCGAAGTCGAATGGCGCCCCCAGCGGCTTGGGGTGGGATCTCAGTGCCTCATTCCTGGCGGCCCCGGGAGGGCGATGCCAGTGAGTACAAGGGCCTGCTTGTGTAGGGCCTGCGGTAGAGGCTTACTGGTGTTCTTTTTTTTTTTTTTGAGACGGAGTCTCGCTCTGTCGCCCAGACTGGAGTGCAGTGGCGCGAGCTCGGCTCACTGCAAGCTCCGCCTCCCGGGTTCACGCCATTCTCCTGCCTCAGCCTCCCGAGTAGCTGGGACTACAGGCGCCCCCCACCACGCCCGGCTAATTTTTTGTATTTTTAGTAGAGACGGGGTTTCACCCTGTTAGCCAGGATGGTCTCGATTTCCTGACCTCGTGATCCGCCCGCCTCGGCCTTCCAAAGTGCTGGGATTACAGGCGTGAGCCGCCGCGCCCTCCTACCTCTACTTTTTTCTATCTCTGGGACTAAACGGCGGCCGGCGGCGTGCCTGCGGGTTTGTGGCCGCCGCCCCGCCCCTCTCTCCTAGACCCCGCCCCTCTCATCCAGTCCCCGCCCACTCCGGCCGCTCCGCGCCCACCTGTGGCCCTCTTGGCCCTTCTGCCCGTGCCTGGCCCCGCCGGGTCGCTCCCGAGCTCCGCGTTTCGTTCGCCGACCCCTGGAAGACTGCCTGGAGGCCCGGGCGCCACCCAACCACTGGCTAGGCCGACACTTTGCGCGGACCCTGGGTGTAAAAGGTCCCCGGGTCTCTGGTCCCGACGGAGCTGTGAGGGAGATCAACCACGCCCCCTCCGTGGGCACCGTGGCGGCAGGGAAGGAAAAGGGCTCTGGGTCTCGACTCTCTTCGGGTTAAGAACCGACGGGGTTTATTCTATGCAAGGTGTTATTAACTCCAACTCTCCCTTTCGTTCATTCATTCCATATATGTTGAACGACAACTTAGTGCCAAATGCCGGCATGCTGAAACTCAGAGAGGGAAGATGTCTTGCAAGTACAGCAGCCACACCCAGGCAGGTCCCGTGCTCTCTCTTAGTTTATCAGTGTTCCCTGACATGTAGTGGTGACATTGTTAAACACCTGCGTTTACTAATACTAGATTTTTTTTTTTTTTTTTTTTGAGATAGAGTTTCGCTCTTGTTCCCTGGGCTGCAGTGCAGTGGCACCATCTCGGCTCACCGCAACCTCCGCCTCCCAAGTTCAAGCGATTCTCCTGCCTCAGCCTCCCCAGTATCTGGGATTACAGGTATGCGCCACCACGCCCGGCTAATTTTGTATTTTTAGTAGAGACGGGGTTTCTCCATGTTGGTCAGGCTGGTCTTGAACTCCCGACCTCAGGTGATTCTCCCGCCTCGGCCTCCCAAAGTACTGGGATTACAGGCGTGAGCCACTGCGCCTGGCCTACTAATACTAGGTTTTATTCCGGGCCCTTCACAGTTAATGTTGGAGGCCTCTGGAGGATGGCCACACCTGGGCTATTTGCAGAAGCCTGGACAGCACAGCAGGCAGAGTTAAAGCAGTTAAGGCAGTATCAGCTGAAGGGCCACCCAGCTGTGCGTGTGCCCAGGCTCCAAGAATAAGGAGGTTGGGGGGCAGTCCTAAGAAAGGAAGTCATTACCTATCGGCAACCCAGGAGCAGACGCTGGCATAACGGCGCACACACAGTAAAGGTCAGAGGTTCTTCTTAGAATAGTCCTTAGGTGTTAGTCAAACCCATGCCCTGCCCCAAGGAGTTCATTCATTCATTCACTCATTCATTCACTCACTCACTCACTGGTTCTGTTTATTCACTCATTTCTCTATCACATATCCATTTATTGTCATTCACCCACTTATTTACTCATACATTCATTCATTTGCTCATCAATTTATTTGGTACCTACATGGAGCCAGGTACAGGTCTTGATTAAAGAGATCTGGGGAGGAGTGCTCCCAAGAAGTTCAGAGCCTCACTGGTGAAGGAAAGCCATGTAAAGACAGATCTTGAGAACCCAAGATCATCAAGGAGTATCCATGATCAAGCAGAGCAGGGAAGGCTTTTTGCTTTGTTTTGTTTTGTTTTTAACATGCTGTGTGGTTCAGTAAAATTAAAACAGGCACAATGATATCCTGGATGACAAGAGCTGGAGGCTGTCATTCTAACAATGTAGTGAGACTGGCTGTCTTGTCTCATGCCCACCCCTGGAAACATGCGCAGGAACTCAAAGCACCTAGCACAGAGGAAGTGTCTGGTGAGTCTTTTTATTTCTCGAGGCAGTGGCTGCATGGGGAAGTGCTTGAGCCCTGGCACCCAAATCGCTTGGGTTTGGATCTCTGCCACTGCCTGGTTCTTTGGCTTTGGAGAAGATATTCAGCCTCTTGGTCACTCAGTTTATTCCCATCTGAAAAATGGGAATAATGATAGTACTTACCTCATTGGTTTGGTGTCAGGATTTTTTTTTTTTTTCGAGATAGAGTCTCGCTCTGTCGCCCAGGCTGGAGTGCAGTGGTGCAGTTTTGGCTCACTGCAACCTCCACCTCCCGGGTTCAAGTGATTCTCCTGCCTCAGCCTCCTGAGTAGCTGGGACTACAGGCGTATGCCACCACGCCTGGCTAATTTTTGTATTTTTAGTAGAGACAGGGTTTCACCATGTTGGTTAGGCTGGTCTTGAACTCATGACCTCAAGCAATCCACCTGCCTCAGCCTCCCAAAGTGCTGGGATTACAGATGTGAGCCACCACACCCGGCCTGGTGTCAGGATTAAATGAACCCTTAGCACAATACCTGGCACAGAGGAAGAACTTAATAAATGTTGGAATTTATTTATTTATTAGATGGATAATAATGGCTCTTCTTAATGGGCTGAGCATTTACTGTCAGGCATTGTGCTAACAGGTTTACAAGCATTACCTCATTTCAGTCCGTTAAATAACAGTATGAATTGTCCCTTTTACAGGTGAGAAAACTGAGGCTCTGAGTGAGATGGGAACAAAGGATGGACATAATCTACCATTAGATGCTCAATATGGTTATTATTTATCTTGCAGCCCATAAAGATAATAATGCGATCCGTATTTATTAATCTAGGAAGATGTCTGTTAAGTGAGGGCTAAGCTATACAATAATATGAACAGTATGATCCCATTTTGCTTATCAAAAGGCATCACTAAAATGTTATCATTAAATGATCATCTCTGATTAGTGGGATTACGGGTGACTTTCGTTTTTCCCCTTTTACTTTTTTTAGTATTTGATAATTTTCCTCCAGTGGGCTTATGAGCCTGTGTTATTTGTGTAATTAAAATTACATTTTGAAGATTTAAAAAATTGTAAGAACGCTGTCCCTGCGAATGTTTAATTTAGATTTTCTCTGCAGGTTGTTTTAAAGGAAAAACAAAACCAAAAAAAGCACCTCCTGCTCTGACCACCCCTATTTCCAGTTTTCCCTTTTGGCACAGCAAAGATGACCTTGGGACTGAGGTGGAACCATGTAATTCTTCGTAATCCCAGAGTCAGGCAGACCTGGGTATGAATTCCATCTTTACTAACTGTGTGACTCACTGTGTGGCCATGCCAAGTTACGAGGTCTCTCTGTTTCCTCCTTCCTAAAAAGGAGATAACATCCATCTCGAAGGAAGATCTGGCCTGAAGAGCAGTCACTCTTGCCTGGCATGCAGAGAATGCCAAATCATATTAATGACTGGCCAGAATGAAGTGCGTGACCTCATCACTCCATAACTGACAGGAAACAACTGCTAGGGCAAGAAAAAAGGGTCTCCAGTGAGTATTCTTGTCCACACACATCCCCACTCACGTTCCTGGACCACTGCATCTAACTGCCGCAGCAGCTAATGAACCTTCTGGAATAAAGGACCAGTTTCTTAAGAAGGGATTGAGACCTCCAGTGGCCTCCCACATTGTTTCCGGCAAGAATTTAAAAATTATTTGTAACATATAGTAATAAAAACTAACCACAGGCTGGGCGCAGTGGCTCACGCCTGTAATCCCAGCACTTTGGGAGGCTGAGGCAGGTGGATCACCTGAGGTCAGGAGTTCGAGACCAGCCTGACCAATATGGTGAAACCCTGTTTCTCCTAAAAATACAAAAATTAGCTGGGCATGGTGGTGGGCGCCTGTAATCTCAGCTACTCAGGAGGCTGAAACAGGAGAACTGCTTGAATCTGGGAGGTAGATGTTGCAGTGAGCCGATATCGCGCCATTGCACTCCAGCCTGGGCAATGACTCCGTCTCAAAAAAAAAAAAAAAAAAAAAAAACTAACCACAGCTACTATTTATGAACTCTAGTGCCACACCCCATTTCTTCCCAGGTTTCACCCCCTCTTCCCAGGTTTCACCCACCCCAACCAGTGTTGTTTGCAACACTTCAGCTTCTCTCCTCACGAAGCACGTCTCCAGAGACGCCTCTTCCGCAACTTCCCAGGGAAGCCATTTCTGCCTGGACCCACCACAGCTCCCAACCTGTCACGCACCCCTGGAGGGTTTTGCTCTGTAATCCTGATTTAGAAATCCTCTTATATGAAACCACTGTAATCCACATCTGGTTAGACAATTGGAAAAGTTCATTGAAAGGAGAAATAATAAAAATGGCATCCATCCCTTAAATGTTGTATGCCAACGTAAAACACATTCGACAATGACCCTGGGCTAAGGCTCTACCTTACAGAGAAACCTGTATCGGTGTTCCCCTCCATTTTCCTTACATAAACCAACCAAAAATCTTCAGTTGTTCCGTTCTCTGTCTCTCTCCCTCTCCACACCCACCTTCCCTCTTCCTCTCTCCCTCCCTCCCTCTCTCTTTCTCTCTTTTTTGAGACAGAGTTTCACTCTGTCACCCAGGCTGGAGTGCAGCGGCTAGATCTTGGTTCACTGCAGCCTCCACCACTCCCCCCACTTCCCCCCCGCCGCCCCTGCCCCCACCGCAGCCTCCCAGGTGGCTGGGACTACAGGCCACCACGCCCACTAATTTTTGTATTTTTTCTATAGAGACGGGGTTTCATCATGTTGCCCAGACTGGTCTCAAACTCTTGGGCTCAAGCAATCCTCTCACCTCAGCCTCCCGGTGCTGGGATTATAGGCGTGAACCATCGCGTCCGGCCTCCCAAATCTTTTACAGTTGTCTTGTTCACTTCTCATTCAGCAGCATTTTGAGTTGGGAGGGGTAACAACTCACCTTAATCAAGTCTCTCTAAAGCATTCAACTTAGTTTTACTAGGTTCATTTCTTGTAGCTCATTGGTTTAACTAATAGTTCCCCAAATCACATCCTACCAGTATAAAAGCACAACTGGTATAAACACGTTTGGGAACACACATAACTCAAGTATCAGGATGTAAGAGCGAGAGCATGGGGAGAGTTAAGAATTTCTCACAGACTGATTCCCTCCCACATTCATCCCTGGTGTGTTTATCCGTGTTAGGGCTGTTCTGATGAAAGTCTTGTAGGACTTGGCAGCAAGATGGGAAAGATCCATGGAAGTCCATTGCTCATAGCTGATGATGATCTCTCATTGCTGAGCTTAGGGTTGAAAAAGGAGTGCCAGGTCCTTTGAAATCAAGAAGAATTTATGAATCACCTTTCATTTATGGAGCCCTTAGCTCAAAGCTCTAAAGTTAGTCTTTTCTCAAGATTATATCCTATTTGGGAATGCTCATAATGGTCCAATCACCATTTGTGAAAACTTACTGTGTACCAGCAATAAACACTCTTCTACATAGACAATCTCATTCTAATATAATTTCTGTGCACGTTATAGATTCTATTTCTGAAACAGCCCTATGTGGTAGTTTTATTACTATCCTCATTTTCACCCAACAAATCTGAGGCACTGAGAGGTTAAGGACCTGGACTGAAGCTGCACAGCTAGAAGGTGACAGACCCAAGAACATTCTGTAGGGACTCAATAAAGGAATGACTTAATCTAAGGGGGCTTGACTTTCTTTCTTCTTTTCTTTTTTTTTTTTTTGAGACGGAGTCTCGCTTTGTCCCCCAGGCTGGAGTGCAATGGTGCGATCTCAGCTCACTGAAACCTCTGCCTTCCAGGTTCAAGCGATTCTCCTTGCCTTAGCCTCCTGAGTAGCTGGGATTACAGGTGCCTGCCACCACGCCCAGCTATTTTTTGTATTTTTAGTAGAGATGGGGTTTCACCATGTTGGCCAGGCTGGTTTTGAACTCCTGACCTCAGGTGATCCACCCGCCTCTGCCTCCCAAAAGTGTTGGGAATACAGGTGTGAGCCACTGCACCTGGCCAAAGGGGGTTTCACTTTTTTTTTTTTTTGAGATGGAGTCTCGCTCTGTCGCCCAGGCTGGAGTGCAGTGGCACGATCTCGGCTCACTGCAAGCTCTGCCTTCTGGGTTCATGCCATTCTCCTGCCTCAGCCTCTGGAGTAGCTGGGACTACAGGCGCCCGCCACCACACCTGGCTCATTTTTTGTATTTTTAGTAGAGACGGGGTTTCTCCATGTTAGCCAGGATGGTCTCGATCTCCTGACCTCCTGATTGGCCCACCTCGGCCTCCCAAAGTGCTGGGATTACAGGCGTGAGCCACCGTGCCTGGCCGGGGTTTGACTTTCTGATCATCCTCACAGATCTCCTTTTCAACTCTTCTACCTTCTCTCCTCTAGAAGTGAATTCCATTCTGGCTGTGATTCCAGCCTTTGGGTCACCCAGCCCCAGTCAAGGTAGAAAGAATCACACCATAATATTTCTGAAAATCAGCCTTTTAATCTAGTTGAACCCAACGAGTGGGGAAAGAACTAAAACATTTTTTTCCCTTCAGATTTTGATTATAAGAATAACGGGTCAGAGGTGTCTCTTCCATAGGAAACTGACATCCCCTATGTCCTCAGAGTTGTTTTTTTTTTTTTCTTCAAAAAAATGCATAAAAGAATTTCAACTCATGTGCATGCCACACATTTCCATCCCCACCCCACCCTGCCCCACCCTCTACAGGCACACATATTCACACACCAAAGGGACTCCTTCCTGTAACTGGGGAACAGAATGTAAAAAAATCCATCCAAGTGGCCACCGATACCAGAAATAACCAAATGCATTTACACTCACAACATCAGTCAACTCACATGCACAAGGAGAAGCGTCTCCAATCGGAGCTTAGAGCCAAAAATTACAAATGGCAGAGACTTGAGCTATCCATAAGATAATTTTAAAAATCCTTCCACTGGACACTCCCCTTCATTACAAAAGTATGCAAACAATCTTGCTATAAATGGAAAACAGGCGTGTGGCTCTCTCCCTGGGACATGAGGGCATAGCTAAAATTCCCTGGGTGGAATTAATGCCTGGACCATTGCTCCTCCCTTTCAGGACAAAAGGGAAAGGATGAAGAGGAGCAGCAGGGTAGGGACCCACCTCAGGAGCAGGTGGGGCACCCTGGAGCTGCCTCAGGGGCTGGGAACGTGTTGGCATGTGACCAGCTGATGGAGGAGCACAGTGTCAAGTGGGCCACGATGGCTGTAGAGAAACCCAAGTGCTCTGCACCCGTAGGGAGTCCAGAAGGTAGAGGTCCACGGACAGGACAGGCCTGGCCTGCTTTGCTTCCTCCACCTAAGGCCTTGGGACCGATGGCGTCCGTCTGAGAGGCTGCATGATTATTTTAGGGTTGCAGGAAGGATGCTTCCCATCTGGACGTAAGTGCACAAACCATGTCTATCTGGATCTCAAAAGATGACTTCCCCTTTACACAACCCCCACTCCCTGCCACTGCAGATCCCAGCAGAGTGGTGGGAGATCTTGGCAGTGGGAACCAGAATGCTGTTGCCACACAGCACACAGGCTGAGGCACATTGGTGGAGGGTTCAGAGGAACGAGGAGAAGAGAGGAAGAGGAATCTGTGACCCGCCTTGTGACTGGTGGGCAGATTCAAGTCTCTACCGCTGCTGCTGAGCAACTGGGCATCTGCTTCTTGGAAGAACAAGAAAGGGGTGGGGTAAAGACTTGAGGCCTGGGTTCTAGGTTGGGCAGGAAGGGATGGGGCAGAAGTCAGGGTTCCATCTATAGTGACAAATCATAGGGGCTTGCTTGGGAAGTACCATCTTTCGTGGAAGGTGCCGGGTGTATAAAGGAGTACCTTTGGGCAGCCTGGTCCCAAAGCTGAAAGCCCAGGTCTGGTGCCTCTGGGGCAGGTTGGCTGCCCAGGGGAGAAACCAAATCATTAATGTGTCCACCTAGTGGGGGCTGCGAGATTGTCGAAGCCTGGCTGAGAGCTGATCGATATGCATTCTGGGATGTTCCCCTGAGGGAAGAGACTGCAGCTCTCCTAGGAGGGGTCCCCAAGATCCCTGGACTCCCCACCCCTTGCCTGACTCTGTTCTTGGGGCTCCCCAGGGAAAGGGGAACTGCAACTTCAGGCAGTGTAATTTGTCTAAAAAGAAACACGGGGAAAAGAGGTAGCTGCAAAACATCGAGCCATCCTCTACTTTCCCCCCACTTCCCACACACCCTTTGGGACACAGCCAGATTTGGGACCAGATTGAGGGCCAAAGGAGACAGGGCACTGGAGGCAAGGCTGGCGATGCCCAGGGTCCTCGGCCATTAGGCTGGGTGTGGCGTCAATGCATCTTGCCCAGCTGGATCTTCTTCCAGGCCTCAGAGGCTGTGAAGATGCATGAGTCCAGGATGCCGGCGACGGTGAAGGTCCCGCCAATGATGGCACAGATCTGCAAGAGGGCAGGGGTGGGGTGGGAGTGTCAGAAGTCAGTGCTGGAGGATGAACCAGGCCAGACCCCTCCCACATCATGAGATGATGGGCTCTGCAAGGCAGACATTGCCCGTTAAGCCCATAATACCCACTACATAGTCACCAAGTCCGGAACATACTTAGGGCTCAAAGAAAACCAGTTGTTGGATGGTGGATTTAATAATAATAAAATAATTTTCACCATTATGAGCTCCTTTAATTCCCATATTCACCCTCTGAATGAGGAAGGGAATTATTAGACCCATTTCACAGCGGAGGAAACTGAGGTTCATCAGGTGACTTGCCTAAGTTCACCACTAGCAGAGATGCAACTTGAACACAGGTACGTCTTAACTCTGGAGCCTGTGGTCTTAACCTCAACTCTGAATTTATCACATATTTACAATCCCATTTGCAGATGAAGGAAATGGAGGTTCTGAAAGGCAGTCCCAGGGGCCCAAGGTCACACAGCCAAGAAATGGCATCCTGGGACTTGATGGGTAGTAAGCAAATAATCATACCAATAAATGCAAAATTATAGCCAAGGCAAGTGCTACAAAGGACAGAGAGGCCTTTGGTGCTACCAGAAAGCTTCTATTAGAGCAAGGTTTCTTTTTCTTTTTCTTTTTTTTCTGTCTTCCAGGCTGGAGTGCAGTGGCGTGATCTCAGCTCACTGCAAGCTCCGCCTCCCGGGTTCACGGCATTCTCCTGCCTCAGCCTCCCGAGTAGCTGGGACTACAGCTGCCTGCCACCGCGCCTGGCTAATTTTTTGTATTTTTAGTAGAGACAGGGTGGGGGTGTTTCACCGTGTTAGCCAGGATGGTCTTGATCTCCTGACCTCGTGCTCCACCCGCCTCGGCCTCCCAAAGTGCTGGGATTACAAGCATGAGCCACTGTGCCTGGCCAGGGCAAGGTTTCTAATGGCACCATTGACATTTGGGGCCAGAGAATTTTTTGCCACAGGGGCTGTCCTTTGCAGAAGGATTTAGCATCCCTGGCCTCTACCCAGGAGATGCCAATCATACCCCCCCCCGCCACGCTGTGACAACCACAATGTCTCCAAACATTGCCAAATGTCCCCAGATGTCAAAATTGCCCCTGGTTGAGAATGGCGGTAGCAGGAGGATAATGAATGTCACCTGTTATGTCTGTACTTCATAACTGTCTGCCACATCATAATATACTAACCACAACAAAATACACAGTACTTACACAGCACCTTCCCTGGGCCAGGTGGGTTACAGTGCTCCATGCCTACCACCCCAGTGAATCCCCAGCTCAACCCTAGGCAGTAGGTACTATTCTTAGACTATTTCACAGCCAAGGAAACTGAGGCACAGAGACCCTGAATCCCTCGTCCAATGCCACAGCAAGTGGCTGAATAGGGGTTCAAAACTTTGGAGTCTGTGCTCTTAATGTGACACCCTGTTGCTTCTCAGGCACAAAACACCCACCTGATTGAATCACAAAGCTTTGCAGTTGTCAGAACACCATTTGGGACTAATCAAACTAATGTTATGTTTTACTCAAAATGTTATGGCCTACAAATTGCCTTCTGATGACTTCAGAGAATCAAAGCATGGATGATGGAAGACAAATGAAGTTCACAGAAGGTTTGCAAGGAAACTTATTTGTAGGGACAGGGTCTCACTCTGTCACCCAGGCTGCAGTGTAGTGGGTGATCATAGCTCACCACAGACCCCAACTCCCAGGTTCAAGTGATTCTCCTGCCTCAGCCTCCGGGGTAGCCAGGATTACAGGTGATGCCACCATGCCTGGCTAATTTTTTTTAATTTTTAATTTGTAGAGGTGAGGTCTCGCTATGTTGCCCAGGCTGGTCTCGAACTCCTGGACTCAAGTGATCCATCTGTCTCAGCCCCCCAAAGTGCTAGGATTACAGGCATGAACCACTGTTCCAGACCTTGCAAGAAAACTTTAAGCATATTTTCCTCTTGAGCATCTACTTTATGTCATTTATAAGAACCAACACCTCCCATCCTAGGAGCAGCCATAGGCCTCGGAGCAGCAGGAGCCCTACAGCCCATGAAGGAGATGCCTCTTCACTGAGGTACCCATGGGGTACAGAGAGGGAAGTAACTTGTCCGAGGTCACACAGTGCATGTGGCACTCACTCTTTCCCCCATGCCACATTTAAGGGGCATTTAAATGACCACAGGACTCAGAAGAAATAAACAGTTGTGTGGCCCCAGAGGACATTAGCAGCCCCAGAGGCACCACAGGTGGACGGCCAGCTACTGACCTGCAACCTGTGGGGAACTCTGGGAGCCAAGAACACCTTAATAGATGAACTGGTGCCCAGTGGTGGGAGGCTGGGAGACATAGCAAAGGCGAGAGGGAAGTGCGAATCAAACCAGTGTTTATTTTTTTAAATGATATTTCCATGAGATGAGCTAAGCGGGGGCCTGTGAGGCCCAGGATGGACAGACCAGGTCTGTATGGATGGGTGGCAGGGTAGCAGCTGGTCCTCCAGTAATAACAGCCCAGGAAACCGGAGCGGCCCCCCAGGGAGTGGAGAGGACTGGGGGCGCTGGGGGGATTATGGTGAAGTGTTTTAAGTGGGCAAGGCCCCTCCCTGCCGGCCTCAGAACATGACGCAGGGGGACTTTTCAGGGAAGATGACGGCAGGGGAGCTGGTTTATTTCGGTAGAGTGGATCAGATGATGGGAGATTTTATACCACAAAACGCTTTTAGAGCTTGGATCAGAAGATAGGAAAATGTGACTTACGTGCAATGAAGCAAAAAATAAAAAATAACCACACACACACACACACACACACACACACACACACAAAACACATCTGTATTCATCTACACACAATTTGGAACCCAAATGCTTATGACTCACAGACACCTGGCACCCAGTCTCAACTCTCCTTTCATGGGGCTGGCCCAGACCAGAGGGAGACAATGTGTGTATTGAGGTACACAGGAAAGCACATCGCCTGAGGGGAAACTGAGGCCCTGGGGCATGGAAACTGCTATGCAACTGGCTCAGTCACAGGGTGAGTGACTGCAAGCCTGAAGGCTAAGGGGGAACCCTGAGGCAGACTACCTATGAGTATCTACTGATTTTGCTCAACGTGCCCCCATCACCCCGCATCTGTTGAAGGGGCTGGTCACTGTTCACTTGAGGAGGTGAGGGGAGGGGAAATCCTCACACATTCCAGGGGGGTTTCCTCAAAGCTGAGATAACTCAGCTGGGCACAGTGGCTCATGCCTGTCATCTCAGCACTTCGGGAGATGGAAGGGTTGCTTGAGTCCAGGAGCTTGAGCCCATCCTGGGCAAAACAGTGAGATCCCCATCTCTACAAAAAATAAAAAAATTGGACAGGTGTGGTGGCTGTAGTCCCAGCTACTCTGGAGGCTGAGGCTGAGGATCATTTGAGCCCAGGAGGTCAAGCCTGCAGTGAGCTATGATTGCACCACTGCACTCCAGCCTAGGTGACAGAGCAAGATCATGTCTTTCTTTTTTTTTTTTTTTTTGAGATTGAGTCTCACTCTTGTCGCCCAGATTGGAGTGCAATGGGGTGACCTCGGCTCACTGCAACCTCCACTCCTGAGTTCAAGTGATTCTCCTGCCTCAGCCTCCCAAGTAGCTGGGATTACAGGTGCCCACCACCATGCCCAGCTAATTTTTGTATTTTTAGTAAAGACTGGGTTTTACCATGTTGGCCAGGATAGTCTCGAACCCCTGACCTCAAGTGATCTGCCTGCCTCGGCCTCCCCAAAGTGGTGGGATTACAGGTGTGAGCCACCATGCCTGGCCCCGTGACTTAAAAAAAAAAAAAATGCTGAGAGAACTCTAGTGGCCAGGCCCACATTGCCACGGCCCTGCTTTCATTATTTTATCTCTCATCCTTCAGGCCTCCCTGACACACTGGCAGTCAGTAGGAGGTGACTGGCATGAGGTGACGTAGAGTCACAGGAGAGGGTTCTGGTGCTCCCAGGACTGGCACTTCCTGGATTCTGACATATGGAAAGATTCAGAAATGCCCAGTGCCAGGGCGTTCTCACACCTGAACTCGCTCAGGGAAGTGGCTGGTCATGGCTGTCCCTCGTCTTAGAAGGTCACCATACCTTCTGGAACATGGGGAGATGCAGCCACAAGGCTGTGCCAGGTGGTGTGTCTGCCTTGGAATTCAGGCCCTACATGGGCGGCAGCAAGATGACAGGCTTTGCCATTTAGGATTCCTGGGATGATGTGGGAACAATGGGATCCAACAGCAGATATTCTGAAGCTGGAGGAGATGCTGGCGGGATCTCAGGAACTCACGGAGGGGAGGGCAGGGGTGCCGCTGGCAGGAGGGAAGACGCTGATTGGCATTTCCCTGGGCTGTGGGGATGGGGCCTGGGAGGAACACTAATGAATGAAACTGAAAAGAAAGCAAATTGCAGTCGTGACACTTAGTTCCCACAGCCTGTTGCTGTTCACACAGAGGAGCGAGGAGAGCTGGGCCTCTCCAGGGGAGTCCAGGACAAAGCTGGGGCTGGGAGGTGTGCACCTCCCTGCTGGACATGGTGAGGGTGGCATGAGGTGAGGGCTGGGGAGTCCACCCGGCTTTCCTGCCATGGCAGCAGAGAGCACCCAGCCTTTGGAGGCTGCATCGTGGCATCACTTACTAATTCTAGCCGTGGGAGAGCCTTTCTGGGCCTCAGTTTCTTCATCTATAAAACAGGAAAGCCAGCCGGGTGCAGTGGCTCATGCCTGCAACCCCTGCACTTTGGGAGGCCAAGGTAGGAGGATCACGTGAACTCAGGAGATTGCGACCAACCTGGTCACTTGGTGAAACCCTGTTTTTACTGAAAATACGAAAATTAGCTGGGCATGGTGGCAGGTGCCTGTAATCCCAGCTACTCGGGAGGCTGATGCATGAGAATTGCTTGAACCTGGGAAGTGGAGGTTGCAGTGAGTCGAGATTCAGCCACTGCACTCCAGGCGAGGTCACAGAGCAAGACTCTGTTGCCAAAATAAATACATAAAAATAAAAATAAAACGACAAAACCCCTGCGGCTCTACTGAAAATACATCTGGAGCACCTAGCACCTAGTAGATGCTCAGTAAATGAAACCTGATCTTAATCTTTCAGTTCACTGGAAGGCTCTAACCTTATGGCCAAGAAATGGGATTGTCTCAACCTGAGACCCACTTTAACCAGAAAAATCAGTAAAATATTACTTATTCCCCAGAGCACGCCTTTGGGTCTCAACTTCCATTCTCTCTCTGGCACTTTTAGCAGAAGGCAAGACGAGTCATACAGGAACAGGACCGCAAGAGTGTCCCAGCACCGCAGGCAGATTCTTTGTGGCCGCTGGGGGCCCACGCACTCTAAGGGCCCTCTGAAGTTACACAGCAACCCATTCAACAGAACAGGTAGCTGAGGCCCAGACAGGGTGTCCTGTTCCCTCAGGCAGTTGCCAAGATGTGTTTGTGATGAAGAACATCCTTGTGGGGCAAAGCACCTTAGGCCAGAGGTGGGTTCCATCCTTTGGCCAGTGAGGGAGCTCCCTGAATCTCACCACCTCAAGCCTATTGGGAAAACTCTCATTTTCCTGAATGCCCAAGGGAGAGAAGATAGCAGACACAACTGACCACATGGGAGGTGCACAAGACGTGTTTGTTGAATAAATAAAGGAGTGAGAGAAAGAATGAGGAGCCAATGGGTGGGTTCCAGAGTGAGGGAATGAATGACTACTCAGGAAAGGCACAGGGTTCCACACCCAAGGCAGCGGCAAAGGTGACTCGCTCAGGGGTGTCAGCCGGGGGCGTGGGGAAGGCAGTGCTGATGAAAAGGTGGGCCTGGAGGGGGAGACCCTGGATGGGGCAGGCAGCAGGTGCCCCTCTCCACTAAGTTGCTGTGCCTGGAGACCCTGCACCTGGAAAGCGATGCCATAGAGGGCCTGGGCTTTGGAGGCTGGCAGAATTGGCTTGGACTCCTCTCATCCATGTGCTCTTGTGCCACCCTAGCTCCCAGTGCCTCAGTTTTCTGGCTTTTAAAAATGGGAAGACTGGCCGGGTGCGGCGGCTCACGCCTGTAATCCCAGCACTTTGGGAGGCCGAGGTGGGTGGATCACCTGAGGTGGGGAGTTCGAGACCAGCCTGGCCAACAAGGCGAAACCCTGTCTCTACTAAAAATACAAAAATTAGCTGAGCGTGGTGGCAGGTGCCTGTAATCCTAGCTACTCAGGAGGCTGAGGCAGGAGAATTGCTTGAACTCAGAAGGTGGAGGTTGCAGTGAGCCAAGATCGTGCCACTGCACACCAGCCTGGGCAACAAGAGTGAAACTCCGTCTCAGAAAAAAAAAAAAAGGAAGACTAATCCTCACCCCCTAGGACTGTGGTGGCATTGACTGAGAGTGGCTTGGTCCCTTGCCACTGCCACGCTCTTGTATCTCCCAACCAGGCCTCAAGGCTCAGAGACAACCTAGGGTGGGATCTTCCCCGTCGGGGATGAGGGAGCAGGGTCACTGAGCCAGGGAGGGCCACCTCGGCCAGTGCATGCACCACTGCTCTGGGCAGCAGCCACAGCTCCAGAAACAAAAACAAGGACAATTCAATACCTGGGCCCCAGTGAGTCTGAGGGCAGTGCAGGAAGTGGCATTCATCAGACGTCATCCGATAATGCCCCTCTGTTCCCACCAGCAACTTCCTCCCAGGGGTCCCGTCAGCTTCTTGGCCTTCCACTGTGACTAGAATGAAGTCAGCTTGTCTACCTTTAAAAGGGGTGCGTGTGTGTTTCCCTTACATTTTCATTATGGTTCTTAATTCCTTATAATATGAGAAGGATGTGTTCCAGCCGCACTGGAGCGGGAACTAAATGCCTGTTTTTCCACCAGCACGAACGCCTTCCCAGTGCATCATTACTCCCCTCCCCATTACTCTCCCATAGCGTGCAATGGAGAAGCACCATACACACCGCCGTGGGAGGCGAGATTGTGGGCTTTGGAGTAAACACTCCTGCGGTCCAATCCCAGCTCTGTGGCCCTGGCTGGGAAAGCCAGTTTACCTCTCTGAGCCTCAGTTGCCCCATCTGTAGAATGGGGCCCACTGCAGGGACCGGGATGACACTGTCCAGCTGCCTGCTGTACCCTAAGTGCCCAGGAACTGTTCAGTCACTTTCCCCGTTCAGTCAGCACTGCTTTAAAAGCGTGTGGAGGAGGCGCCGCATGAGGAAATAAATAATGAATTGGAGTCTCATCAGGCTCCAGCAGCGGCAGACAGGCTGGAGCCGGGGATGAGAACACCAAAGTCGTGGAGGAGGCAGAGGTGGGGGGTGTAGTCGGGGAAGGGAAGTGGTTGACTGGGCCCTGGAAAGGCTGGGGGTGGGGGAGGAGAGCGTGTGGTATCAGGCCTTCCAGAGCTCCGGGGGCCTGGGGAGAGGCCTCCCGCTGACATTTTTACAATTCCTATGGGCTGCAAAATACCCATCCACCCCACCTCGCAAGAACCTCACTTTGGTTGAGCACCTATTATGTGCTGGGTCTGAGATGGCACCTTCTCCTCTTTTCTCATTCAATCCTTGCCACTGCTAGGTGACCCTCATTTCACAGACAAGGACACAGAGGGTCAGAGAGGGAATGACTTGTCCACAGTCACAGGGCTACCGAGTAAGCAAGGATCACTAGAAGCCAGGTTTGGGAGGCTGCAAAGGGCCTGCTTTTTCTGTTAGCCCACCTGCCCTCATTCCCAGCCGGAAGACTCTTCCTAGCCCCTCTCTTCATGTACAGATAGCTTCCATGCAGGGAATCTGTCTTCTCAATTCTGTTAAGGTTTACGTAGCAAATATCCTGACCTAAGGGGTCCCCGTCAGCAAAGTGTTGGAAGTCAGAAGCTCTGCAACTATAAAAACCAGCCTGGTGTGCAAAATGGAGCCCACTCGGTCTCACGTTCCTCTTCCGCCTCCGAACCTGCTCTGGGAACGCACGCGCCAGGAGGCCCCTCTCTGTACAGACCCAGTTTGGAGCAATCTGTCTCTGGAACACCTTCTTGAAGATCTAGTTCAGCTTGGAATACCACGGAAGGATCTGAACTGAAGCGTTTTGCACATTTCCAGACCTGAATCACCAAGCTCCTAATATGGGTTCTGTTCTGTCCCTCCAATAACAGAAATCTTCTTGGTTGGGGGTGGACCAAGGTGTACACCTCTCCTTCTATGTGCTCATTGTTTGACACCTATTTATTACCCACATTGATGCACTGGATCTGGAGACCAGAGATGACTAAACCTGGAGCTCGTGGAGCTTCCCTGGTGCTTGTGGTCCAGGGAAGAGAGACACCGAGGGAACCCTGAGCAGGGTAGCGGGGGCAGAGAGGAGAGAACCGAGGCGGCATATGGGAGCTGGGAAGGCTCTCCTGCCACCCCAGGGCCAAGATGGTCATTTTTCCAACTCACATCATCTTAGTGGGTAGAACCTTCTCAGTTTGAAGTTTGTCTCTTGTCAATTCTTTTTTTTATTTTTTATTATTATTATTTTTTGAGACGGAGTCTTGCTCTGTCGCCCAGGCTAGAGTGCAATGGCACGATCTCGGCTCACTGCAACCTCCTGGTTCAAGCGATTCTCCTGCCTCAGCGTCCCACGTAGTTGAGATTAAAGGTGTGCACCACCACGCCTGGCTAAGTTTTGTATTTTTAGTAGAGACGGGGTTTCACCATGTTAGGCTGGTCTCAAACTCCTGACCTTGTGATCCGCCCACCTCGGCCTCCCAAAGTGCTGGGATTACAGGCGTGAGCCACTGCGCCCGGCCTTGTCAATTCTTCTTAATGCCCCTGCCCTCTTCCCTGCCCCCAGCACTTGCTGCCTTAGTTTCTGGCAAATGTTTGCAGAAGCCTAAACAGGTGAACAAAAGGTGTTAGATATGGGCAGGAAAACTTGCAAACTATCAGCCAATCTGCCTTAGATGGACGTCGGCTTTTTTAATGGTTTGTGTGAAGCTGTGATTTCACCATGCATATTCACAATAAAACTTTGTTTCCTGCTCTAATAGTTCTTCCTGATTCTCAGGATGAAAGTCACTGTATCAAATGATCCTGATGTCTGTCCTACCAAGAGTTCTATGACTTCTGGGGGCTTTGTTGCTGCAACACCCCTGACAGCCCTTGTTTTGGAAGATAGAGGCTCCTGAGACAGTGCTGGGGGTAGGGGATGTTGCAGAGGCAGGCACTGGGGTCAGGTCCGAGCCTTGCCATTTACTGGCTGTGAGATCTTGGATGAGTTTTTTCACCTCTCTGAGCCTCAGTTTAATCCATTTATAAAACAGGAACAAAATCATCTACCTTGAGAGGTTGCTGGGGGGGCTAAAAGAGGTAACTATGTAATTACTTGGCACATAGTAGGTGCTTAATAAGGGTAGCTATATGATCACTTTTTTCCCTCATCCTGTCTGGCTAGGGAAAATATGATCACCTTTTTTTTTTTCTTTTTTGAGACAGAGCTGGAGTGCAGTGGCACGATCTTGGCTTACTGCCAAGATCTCCTGTCTCAGCCTCCAACTGCCTCAGCCTCCACAGTAGCTGGGACTACAGGCGTGCTACCTGGCTATTTTTTGTATTTTTAGTAGAGACAAAGTTTCGCCATGTTGGCCAGGCTGGTCTTGAACTCTTAGCCTCAGGAGATCTGCCCACCTTGGCCTCCCAAAGTGCTGGAATTACAGGTGTAAGCCACCGCGCCCAGCTGAAAATATGATCACTTCTTTAGGCAGCTGCCTCTTACACATTTCTGAGCACCTGTGTCCAGGTCAGGCCCTTCACTGGATGCTGGGGACACAGGTAAGTCAGACGCGGAGGTCATCATCAGGCCTGACAACCATGCAGGGCAATCTAAAGTCTGGGGGATTAGTCCCCAGGTTAGAAAGCATGAAAGAGGGCAGCAGAGAGGAACGTCTGTGGGTGAGGCTCCCTGTAGCAACTCTCCCTCATACCCAGGTTAAGCCCTGGCCAAGGGCCCTGAGCACCACTTGAGTTAAGGGAGCTGCGCAACTCTCCAAGAATGACAGGTTTTGAGTAGCACGCAATGGGAGGGTGTCATCGCCATCCGGTACTTCTTGGTGGGCAAAAACCATCCCGGTCATACTGGCCCAACTGGCACTTTGTGACTTCTGGCTGTTCCTCCAAAATAAAATAAACCATGCAAGGAAAGAGATCTGACACCTCTGAAGCCCTCCAGTCTGTCACCACAACCCACTTGAAGGCAATCTCAATCTCAAAAAGGGAGCTACAGCAAGTGGCACAGGACAAATGTGTGTGTGGGAGGGGAGCACTTTGGAGGGGATTACTTGCATGTCGTCAAACACAATCTGTTTATTCCCTTGGCGCTGGAATGTTCTAATATAGCACAGAGCATCGCTCTGAGCAAGGTGCCCCACGTGCCGAGAGAGAGAAGCTCCAAGAAGCCTGGCTAAAGACTTCCAGGAGGAAAAACTGTTGTAGGCTAGGGATAAACAAGCCCTTTTGGGACAATGAGACCCTGGAGGGGGCAACCTGGAAGCAGCCAGGTACTAAACACTTGGCAATGCATCTGGGAGGCCCCATCTGCCTCTACCCTCCCTCCCTCCAGCCCACCCACAGCTGCCTCCCAGCCCCGCAGCCGCCACATGACGACATCCCGACCTAAGCCCCTCTTCATCTGCAGCCCCTCTAAGGAGCTATTTGCAGAGGCCCCCATTTGCCGTTTAGGGGCTTTGCACGCAAGTGTTTGATTTTTAAAAAGAGAGAAAGAGAAGCCACAGCAGGTGCCTCCACTTCCATCCTGGCCCCACCCCGCCCTCCGAGGGCTCCCAGGGATCTTTGTGCCGTGTGTGTACGTGTGTGTCTGAGTGCTGGCGTCATCCCCACATCTGCTGCCCTGTGACAAGGGCCTTTGAAGCTCCACAATGACGCCATCTGCCAGGGACAGCCGGCCGGCTGGCTCCTTCAGAGCTGACCCCACGGTTACCATGGCAACCAAGGTGGTGGCACAGGGCCTTCAGAAGAACCACCAGGCTAATGATGTCAGGAGGTTCCCTGCAGCAGTGTGGCCCACAAGCCCAGGGCTTTGCCAGCCCACGCTTGAGCAGAGGTGGATGGGGCAGAAATGGAGGACAGGCTGGTGGCCAAGGACAGGAAGAGAAGGAGGAGTCATAGAGGCATTGGGTCTCTGACGAAGGAAGGGTCTTCCCCGTGGCTTCTTGGAGCCTCCTGCTCTCAGAAGGTCAGCGGCTCACTGGGGAGTTTGTCACCTGCCAAAGGGGGTGGCATGGACTTCATACGACATGTTATACTGGGCGCCTCTGCGCATAGCATTCCCTTTCCCGGGCCCTTCCTCCTCAGCTCAAGGCCCATCACAGGGTTCTATTCTTAGAGCTTCCCAAACAAAGGGGATGGCGCCCTCTTGTTTGCCTGCAGTGTCTGGCGCACATCTCCACTAGAGCCGGTCACAGCTCCCTGTGCTCACTCATCTGCCCCTCCAGCAGGGGGCTCCTTCAAGGCAGGGACTGCGTATGATTCAGCTGACCCTGGTGCCTGCTACGGGGGCCGGAACATAGTGAATTCTAGCAAATGTTAAGTGAATAAATGAAGTTGCTTCATTTCTCAGCCACTTGCCAAGTGATTTCTTTTTTCTTTTTTTTTTTGAGATGGAGTCTCACTCTATCGCCCAGACCCGAGTGCAGTGGCGTGATCTCGGCTCACTGCAACCTCTGTCTGCCAGGTTCAAGCAATTCTCCTGCCTCACCCTCCCAAGTAGCTGGGACTACAAGCATGTGCCACCATGCCCGGCTAATTTTTTGTACTTTTAGTGGAGATGGGGTTTCACAATGTTGGTCAGGCTGGTCTCAAACTCCCGACCTGGTGATCCGCCCGCCTCAGCCTCCCAAAGTGTTGGGATTACAGGCGTGAGCCACCGTGCCCGGCCGATTTCTTTTTTTTTTTCTTTTTTTTTTTGAGATAGAGTCTCGCTCTGGTACCCAGGCTGGAGTGCAGTGGCATCAGCTCAGCTCACTGCAACGTCCGCCTTCTGGGTTTCAAGGGATTCTCCGGCCTCAGCCTCCCGAGTAGCTGGGACTACAAGTGCCCACCCCCATGCTCAGCTAATTTTTGTATTTTAACTAGAGACGAGGTTTTGCCATGTTGGCCAGGCTGGTCTTGAACTCCTGACCTCAAGTGATCCCCCGCCTCGGCCTCCCAAAGTGCTGGGATTACAGGCATAAGCCACCGTGCCCGGCCATTGCCAAATGATTGTAATGCCCAGAGTCTCAGCTGCTTTCCATACAGGAGCAAACAGAAACGGGGACAGAAAAGAGCCTTCTGAACCCTACTGTGAGGCATGGCTGGAGGGGGTTTCTCTGCTATAGTCAATGTACAGACCCTAGGGCCTCTGAGGAGTGGTCTAGACCTTCATGGAGGCACCAGGGAACCTACTTGTATCTTTGTGTGTGGCTTATCGTGGGTGTGGAGTAGGAGAGCTGCAGTAAGAATCAGCACCAAGACCCACTTGGGGTGTGCTACCCTGCGGGGTCTTGGGTTAAATCATTTGCTCACAAATCCCCTGATTTTTTGGGTCCTGGGGTTTGTGCATCTCCCCTCAGGGTAGCTGTACCCATGTCCCTGCACACCAATAGCACATGTGGGTTCCCAGGGCTTCACATCTTCCCAATCTTTGTAGTAGCAGGTTTTCAATTTCTTTCTTTTTTTTTTTTGAGACGGAGTCTCACTCTGTTGCCCAGGCTGGAGTGCACTGGAGTGATCCTGGCTCACCGCAACCTCTCCCTCCCAGGTTCAAGTAATTCTCCCACCTCAGCCTCCCAAGTAGCTGGGATTACAGGCGCCCACCACCATGCCCCGCTAATTTTTGTATTTTTAGTAGTGTTTTGTCATGTTGGCTAGGCTGGTCTTGAACTCCTGACCTCAGGTGATCTGCCCGCCTCGGCCTCCCAAAGTCCTGGAATTACAGGTGTGAGCCGGGCAAGTTTTCAATTTCTGTCAGTCCAATAGGATTCAACTGGGTCTTTTAATTTTTTTATTTTTCTGAGACCGGGTCTCACTGTTGCCCAGGCTGGAGGGCAGTGGCGCCATCATGGCCCACTGCAGTGTCAACCTCCCACGCTCAAGCAATCCTCCCACCTCAGCCTCCCAACTAGCTGAAACTACAGGCATGCACCACTATGTCTAGCTAATTTTTTAACTTTTCTTTTGTAGGGAGGGGGTCTTGCTGCGGTGACCAGGCTGGTTTCAAACTCCTGGCCTCAAGTCATCCTCCTGCTTCCACCTCCCAGAGTGCTGGGATTACAGGTGTGAGCTACCACGTCTGGCCTGAATTGAGTCTTGTTTTAAATCCCATCCCTCCAATTTCTAGTGAACTTGGGCATCTTTTCACTGCCAATATCACCTCCTCTGTGAAGAGCTGGTCCTTGGCCTTGTCTGCTTTTTTGGTTGTTAACTTTTTCTTACTGATCTGTAGGAGTTCTTTACATATGAATTCTGAAGGCTACCCCTTTCCCATTTGGATGGCAAGTATCTTTTCCCAGGCTGCGTGTGAGATTTTTGCTTTATGTTATGTGCCGTTTGTTGAACAGGAGTTTCTAACTTTTATGTGGTCAAAGAGAACAGCAAAAAACTGTTCTGAGGCTCATGTAAGCACCAGACTTATGACACCCTTTGTATCTCTCTGTCTGTTTTCTGGGGATTTTTGTTTTTTAGAGAAAGGGTCTCGCTCTGTTGCCCAGGCTAGAGTGAAGTGGCACGATCATGACTCACTCTAACCTTAAAATCCTGGGCTCAAGTGATCCTCTCACCTCAGCCTCCTAAGTAGCTGGGACTACAGGTGCATATACCACCGTATCCAGCTAATTTAAGAAGATTCTTAGAGACAAGCCTTCACAATGTTGCCCAGGCTGGTTTCAAACTCCTGGCCTCAAGCGATCCTCCCGCCTCAGCCTCCCAAACTGCTGGGACTACAAGTGTGAGCCACTGTGCCCCGTCCTACTTGGCTTTTCACATCTGCAAACAGCTTCTCCTTTCACAATCTCCTCTGAGTCCCACAAGGCCCTGGGAGGTGGCAGGAACAGAGATGATCGTTCTTACTTCACAGATGAGAAGGCAGAGACCCTGTCACAACATCCCACTGTTCTGCCTCCTGGCACCCACTCTTTCCTCTTCCAGTAGCTGGCCCCTGCCTTTTCTCTTGAGAAACCTCATTCCTCACAATCTGTGTCCCTGCGGTTTGGATGGGGTTGACACCAGAGAGGGTACAGGGCCTAAGCCTGGCCAACCAGAGCATTTGATTTCCCAGGCCACAAGGATGGCATGAGGCCTGAGCTGGGCCAGTGAGAGCTCTGTCCTATCTAGGACTTGGTTAGAATGACTGAGAAAGAGGCCATTTCTACTGGTAAATTCTACTTGAAGATGAAGCCAGTGTAGCGGAAAGCAGATCCGAAGATAGAGACCTACTCCTGGCAATGTTGGAGGCTGGATCCAGCCATGCCTGAGGCCTTCTACTCCTCAGGCCAGCTCAAGGTCTGGTTCTGGATCTTCGGTAACAGAGTCCTGACTAATACTGACCTAGTTATTGCGGGAAATGAAAGAGCCAAGGCCCTTGATCTTGAACCATCATTACAAGCATGAAGAAGTACAGAAGCATAAGGGCCTCCCAATGCCATATTTATCTTTAGGTCTCAGTTTCCAAATCTGTGAAGTAGGGATAGCCACCCTGTCTCTTCCACCTCAGCTAACTCTGGCTTCTTCAGTACCTCCTGGGCCTCTTGGGTGAAGAAGGGCACCCTGACCCTCCTGTTCTGACCCTAAGGACCTTCTGAATGGGAGGCCAGGAAACAGTAGACATGATAGAAATAATCAGCATAAAGGAAAACTAACATCAGCTTGAATCTGCCCTAGAGAAAACTGGATGTGGTAGAGACCATGGCAAAAAAGAGAGAACAGAGAGGAAGGAAAGGGAAAAATCGGACCCTATCAGCAGCTATAACTGGAAATTAGACCTGGAAAAAAAAATGAGTTCAATCTTTGGTGCAAAATTTACACATTAAAGGATAAACTCTGCTAAGAATAATTTCCATAACAATAAAAAGCTGGAGAAAATCCTAAACATCTAGTGGAACCATATGGAGATTTGCTTCAGGAATTAAATGGATTTCAGGGCATTCCCCTCTGGAAAATACTTTCTAGACAAAACGTCATCGATACTGATGTGTTTCTGACAACATTTCTCAGCATCCTTGGGGTCGAAGCCTCCTGTGCCCAGCCAGAGCCCCTAGCCCTGCAGGCTGCCTCCTGTTTCAGCGAGAACAGGTGAGGGGTGCCAAGGAAAGGGGCCCAGAGCAGGCGCAGGGTGGCTGGCTCAGGGCCCCACCCACTGCCCCAGGCCACTCACCGTGGTGATGAATCTGTACAGCGGCTGCCGTCTCTCTGTGTACTTGACCGTGATGGGGCTGAGGTCGTAGCGGAACCAGATTGCAGGGATGATGCGGCCCGTGTGGCTGTAGGCGACGTATTCCTGGGGTAGAGGATATAAGAATCAGAAGTACAAACTGTGTCTCAGGGGGGGCGGGGACTGGATTGCAGAGGGCCCCCCAGCAACCCTCCAGAAAGGGCTTTCCTCCCTCTCTGCCCCACGAAGCCAGACTCCCCCACTCCCTCTCTCACATCCCTTCCCCTGGAGGCCCTGAACTCTGCCGTGCACAGCTGGGCATTTTTGATACCCTTGGTTGTTTAGAAATTGACCAAGTGAGCTGCAAGCAGCACCAGAATCAGAAAATAAATTAGAAAGCAGAGCTGTAAAAGGAAAAGTGCAATTTTTGGCTATTGCCTCCTTCAACCTCTGGGCCACGCGAAATCCATTCATTTATTCAACAATGGTTTGCTGAACGCCTCCACTGTGGTGGCCCATGGCTGGCTGCTGGGGACCCCGAGGTGAGCAAGTCCTGCCCTTTACCCAGAGGGAGTCGCAGTCTGCAGAAGGAGGAAGACATAAGAATATCCCTAACACTGTGACATCATGCATGTGGGATGGAGGAACATGGAGAGTTGAGGGGAATGAATGAATGACCCATTCTCCCGGGCGGCATCTGGGAGACTGGGGAGGGGACATTCTGAGCCACACATGATGAATAAGCAGGAGTCCCAGTGTGTGTGTGTGTGTGATGGGTGTAAATGCCACGTGGGGAGTGGGCTAGCTTCTTCAGAGGAATAGACTGAACTGCAAAGCCAGAAGGCCCCGCCCTGCCACCAACCTTCCTGAGAATGCACACAGCAGGGACTAAGGATACTACGAGGCTGAGCTAACAGTGCATCCTTGGGCCAGCCCCTCCCTCCCTCAGGGACTTGGCTTCCCCATCTAAACACGGATGGGCCTGGGATGATGATCCCTGGGATCTCTCCAGTTTGGGCACTTCAAGGTGCTAAAGTCTGCAACAACTGGAGGCCAAATTGAACCACTGGGGTACCCCCAACCCCACATGCTGAGCCTGAGGAGCCCAGGCCACTCCGGGGGTAAGTAACACTGAGCCCTGACCTCCCGCTGGGTCGCTGCTGCCTGCTCCCAGGGCAGAGTGCGGCTGCAGCCATAGAGAAGCTAAGCAAGCTGTATTTGGCTGCTGGGCCTTGCCAAAGCATTGGGAAAAGGAGCTTTGTGCAAGGGAAGACCAGCTTTCTCCAGGAGAGCTGCTGGGGCAGGATGACTGTCTGGGTCACAACCCAGAGCTGAGGGACAGAGAAAAAGAGTGAAAAATAGCAGCAGTCAGTATCACTTACCTAAAGGCTTTTTTTTTTTGGTGGGCTAGGCATTTTTGAAAACATTGCCTCATGTGACAGCACTCTTATAAAGTATCATCTCCATTTTATGAATGAGTAAACTGAGGCACACAGTGGCTATGTGACATGTCCGGGGTCAATAGCTAGTGAATGACTGAGCTGGAATTTGAACTGCAGCGTGGTCCTGAGCTTGCATCTGTGCTTTTCCATCTGTTAGCTGCTATGAGCATGTGAGGGTTACAATGAGATGCCCCCTGTGAAACAGTGAATAAAAGAAACAGGGGCTCCCGGGAACATCAATTTAGGGTGAGTCAGAACAGAGGGACTAAGTCATTGGACAGAGAGCAGCTCGCAGGTGGGCAGACTCACAGCCCCTTCCTCAGACCGAGGCGTGAGGTGATCAAGAAGCCAGGCTCTGGAGCCCAAGGAAAACCTGTTCTAATCCCCACTCAGCCACTTTATAGCTCTACAACCACCTCTCAGTGCCTCAATGGTCAAATCAACAAAATGGGCTCAATAACAGTCTCAACATCAGAGCTGTCATGATGATTGAGAAGACGGAAGAAGAGAGCTTAGCATGTCTAGCCCCCAGGAAGTACTCAATGAGTGACAGCTATGCCTCCTACTGTTGTTATAATTAACTGAGCTAAACAGGTATCACTTATAAGGGGTTTGGGCAGCCTTGGAACAGAAGAAAAAGGACAGTCCTGGTGGTAAGTGGGAAAAACCCATCCGCCAGGGTCTAGCAGGGGCATTTCAACCAACAGGTTTCAAGTATTCATGTCCCATTGGTGGGATACCCCCAGGGAAGCCCAAGGCTGTCTTGTCTTGAGACCACTAATTGCTGGGTCATCCCACTCTGCAGACTCTGACCATGCTCTGCTGCCCACTAAGGCCTGGCGTCTTCTCCATGACTTTGAGTGTTGGGGTCCTGGGGACACCCCTGTCAATCAACAGCAAATTAATCAACAGCCATCTTGGTGTGACTCAGTAGCCTCATGAGTTTGGGTAAAGTGCCTGTGCCCTGAGAGCAGGAGTGTCTGTCTGTGTTGAGCACCCAGGGGTCTGTGTCTGAAGGACTCGGACCAGATGCAGGGCTGTTTGAGACCTGCAACCCCAGGACCTTTGTAGGACAGAGACTACCTGCTCTTTGTCAAACGCATCACACCCTATCTCCTGGTTAGATCTGTTCTCCTTGACTCTGAGACTGCCACATGGCAGGGACTGGGCTTTTCAATTTTACCCAGGGACAGCGCCTGGCCCAAGCTAACCCCCAGGAAAGGCCTCCAGAAAGGAATCAGAAGAAAGTGCGTCGGTGCAGCCGCCTGTCATCTCTGCTCTCCGTCAGCAGAGGGCGCCGCCGCACACAGCTCGGCCCAGCCACCGCCCGCGCACCTTGTTGGCCACCGTGTACTGGTAGGAGTACCGCTGCTTGCCACTCTTGTCCTCATAAACCGTGGGCACAATCTTCAGGATGTAGTCGTGGGAGGCCAGGGCTGCGGGAAGGACACAGCAGAATGAAGCAGGGGGACGGGCACTGCCCGCTGACAGCTCTATGTCATTTCAATCCTAAGCCTAAATTCCCTGGGCACGGCAGGGGGCTCATTCCCCAGTTTTACCACCAACCAACTGCTCTTCATCTTCTCCCCTTGGATACCGGGAATTGGGAGACTCTATCCATCAGGATCTTTCCTCCTGCACTGTGCACATCATTAAAATTCTGGAAACAACCCAAATGTCCATCAATAGAGCAACCATGAAAGAGTGAGTGTTGGCCAGGCGTGGTGGCTCACGCCTGTAATCCCAGCACTTTGGGAGGCCGAGGTGGGTGGATCATCTGCAGTCAGGAGTTCGAGACCAGCCTGCCCAAGATGGTGAAACCCCGTCTCTACTAAAAATTCAAAAATTAGCCAGGCGTGGTGGCAGGTGCCTGTAATCCCAGCTACTCAGGAGGCTGAGGCAGGAGAATCGCTTGAACCTGGGAGGCGGAGGTTGCAGTGAGCTAAGGTCATGCCACTGCACTCCAGCCTGGGCGATAGAGCAAGACTCTGTCTCAAAAAAAAAAAAAAAAAAAGTGTGGGTGCTAGGAGCAGCTATTCTCCAACAGGGAAAAGAACCAAGTCATGGGACAGGATACACATGTGTCCATGGATTGGGGGAGGAGGAGACACTCTGTATCCATGTAAATATATAGGAGAATTATCTGGAAAGATGCCCAAGGAACCACGGGCAGCTTTAGCTTCTGGGGAGGAAGGCAGGATTTGAGAAAGATCCCATTTCATTGTACATCCTCTGACATTGTCTGAATAGTTTTACTTTTAAAACAAACTAGGTTTCAGTATTAAAAAGAAAAGAGCCTATCAACCAGAAAAACTGCACCAATGAAGCACTGATGAACTGAGAATGGGGAAAGAAATCAACGGCAGATCAGTTCTTCCTGGATGGGGGAGCTGCTGAAGGCAGGGATGGAGCCTTACTCAACTCTGTGTCCCCAGAGCCCCGTGCAGGGCCTGGTACCAAGTGGACCGTGGCAAATGCTTACTGAATGAATGAACGGATGGAAGGATGATTGGACAGGGGCATGAATGAAAGCACAGATGAATCAGCTGCTGATAAGCGTGAGGTAACTGGAATCCAATGCTGGGCTGATAGAATGCTGGCCCAGAGCTGCCAAATATCACTCAGGAAAGGTATGAACTCTCCTGGGCCTTCTGGGATGCTTACAGGAAGCTCATGGGCCTTCCACAATCTCGGGTCACGGACTACAGAGCTAAAATAACACAGAAATTTAGGCCTGTGGGTTCTAAGCCTGGTCGCAGAGTCGAGTCAGTCCTCTTCTGTAAGAAGGCTGGGAATGCAGACAGCATTCACTGCCCTGACACTCCCTCCCTGCCCCTTCCTGCCAAAGCCATATCTCAGTAAGCAAAGGAAGTGCTTCTTGAATTGTTTTGAGTAGGTTCCTCTGAAAACCCGAGAAAAGTCCTGCAGCCGCAGAGCCCAGTCCATGAAGACTCCAACATCCCTCTGTTCAACCCTGTAATGGTTCTCAGATGTCAGAAGCAGTCGAATCATTTGGAATAAAAAGACACCTGGACCTCTTTCCAGGAGCATCCCGCCAAATGGGTCAAGGGTGGAGCTCAGAATTTGCATTTTTAAAACAAGAGCCCAAGACCACGCTTGATAGTGGTGTCCAAACGCCCATTGCCCTAGGTTAAAAACTTGAAGGAATGAAAAAGTGAATGCCTTATCAAAATCACCCCTGTAATATTTCTTGTTAAAATTTGTACAAGGCCGGATGTGGTGGCTCACGCCTGTAATCCCAGCACTTAGGGAGGCCGAGGTGGGAGGATCACTTGAGGTGAGGAGTTCAAGACCAACCTGGCCAACATGGTGAAACCCCATCTCTACTAAAAATACAAAAATTAGCCAAGCCTGGTGGCACACACCTGTAGTCCCGGCTACTAGGGAGGCTGAGGCAGGAGAATCGCTTGAACCCGGGAGGTGGAGGTTGCAGTGAGCTGCCACTGCACTCCAGCCTGGGCAACAGAGCGAGACTCCATCTCAAAAAAAAAAAAATTGTACAAAACACAGGTGATCACCAAGGACAAAACAAAAAATCACCATAAATTCACCATCCTCAGAAAACTATGGTTCACAGTCTCACATATAAACTGCCAGACATGTTTATACATATATTTGTATTTTCCTAAAATAGGACCATACCGTATCTTTTTTTTTTTTTTTGAAACGGAGTTTCACTCTGTCACCCAGGCTGGAGTGCAGTGGCACGATCTCGGCTCACTGCAACCTCCACCCTCTGGGTTCAAGTGATTCTCCTTCCTCAGCCTCCTGAGTAGCTGGGACTACAGGCGCCTGCCACCACGCCTGGCTAATTTTTTGTATTTTTAGTAGAGATGGGGGTTTCACCATCTTGGCCAGGCTGGTCTTGAACTCCTGACCTCGTGATCCACCCGACTTGGCCTCCCAAAGTGCTGGGATTACAGGCGTTAGCCACCGCGCCCAGCCATCTTTTTCTAAGAACTGAACATCATGATCAACTTTTCAGGTCTAAGACACAGAACATAAGCTCTGCAGAGTTTGTTTTATTCATCTCTCTATCCCCAGAACCTAGCCCAATGCCCAGCATATAGTAGGTGCTCAATAAATCTTTGCTGCCTGACTGCCAGTAAGGTCCTGACACACCTCGCTCATCTTGGGCAGTTACCATGCTCAGTCAACCCCCTATGGCTGGACACTGACGTGGTTCCTCATTTTCAATTTTATAAACAATGACCTAATGAACATTATTTTCCTAGATTTTTGTACACTCTCTTAATTATTTCCTTAGCTTACTCTCCTATGAGTACAATTGATGACTCAAAGGCAATGACCATTTTTAAGGCCTTTGATACAATTTGCCAAATGCCCACTGGAGACACTGCAGTTAATTACACCCATGTGGATTCCTTGTGAGCTGACCATTCCTAGAGACTGCTGGCTCCAACCTGGTCTAGGCCAGCCCACATTCCCTTCAAGCTCACTCCTCCTCCCCTACCCGCAAAATCTTCTTACAGAAAAATTCAAACCTAAAACATAGGGAATTGTATAATGGACTCCCACGTACCCATTTCCCAACTTCAGCAATTACCAGCGTATGGCCAATCTTGTTTCATCCCTATCCCGCCACTGGAGTGGGGCCCAGAATCTGCATTCTTAAAACCAGCAGCCCATATATATGTATGTGTGTGTATACTTATATACACACACACACACACACATATATATATATGACAGCCCATATTATGTGTATACATATACATGACAAGCTGGTTTCATTCCAGTTATATCATTCAGGACCAGTTAAACAATTCAGTACCACAATACAAGATACAATTTGATATAGGAAAGTTTCTCCTTAGATTCTGCCCTAGGGGATCTCGTTCCTGAAGTTAGCTGCTGACGATAATGAAGAGAACGGCCAACATTTATTGAGCACTCACAATGTGGCAGGCCGTGTACTAAACTCTGTACACGCATCTCATTAATCCTCATAGCAAGGCTTAAGGTGGAGAGGATTCTTCCCACTTTACACATGCAGAAACTGAGGCTTAGCAGAGTTAAATGACTTTCCCAAGACCACAGGGCTGGGAAAGAGTGGAGGGGGACACTGGAGGCCGAGGTCCTCATGACCGCACTCCACCACCATCTGGCAGGAGCTCTTCCATAGTGGCCTCCAGGCCTCTTATCATCGATCATATACCTACTATACCCTGGGTACAGGGCTGGGTCCTGGGGACAAAGCAGTGGGCAAGGCAGAGTGCCATGTTATAGCTGGCGCAACAGCCAAGGGCAGCAGATGACTGGGAGAACAAGGTGATTTCAGAGAGTGGTCTATGCTAGGAAGAAAAAACAGGTTTGTCCTTAGGAGTGAGGGTTACTTTAGATAGGGTGACCAGTGAGGGCTTCTTGGAGACGGTGGCGTTTGAACTGAGACCTTAATGCCAAGAAACAACCCCCATAGCAAGACCTGGGCACAGAGGGACCTACAAAGGCAACGGCCCAGTGCCAGGGACTGAGCTTGGGAGCTGAGGAAATAAAAGCCAGCCCTTCCCCAGCTGTCCATTGCTTGATCTCATGCTTTTTTCTCTCCACTTGAGCCAGCCTGAGATAGCTTTCGCCACTAGCCCTGGAGAAGGCAAGGTTTTCTGTCCACACCCTCTCTCTGCTTGCACACTCTGGGCCTTCTTAGCTTGATCCTCTTTCCTGTCCAGCAGCTGAGGGTCCATCGTAGCTGCAGACATTTGTGGACGGCCGACGTCGGATGACATGTTACCATGACACAAAACGACAATGACCACGGCACCACACCAAGAATCATCTACCTCTATTACAACCAGACATTTGCACTCAAATAAGGAGGTGCTGCCGTATACTTATCCGTTGCTGGAGGCAGCATGAATGGGAACCAGACACAGCTGGAAAGCAATCGGGTAACAGAGCGCCAACCCTGTACATATCAGAGGCATTATTGCCACAGTGAAACACAGGAAACGACAGACACTTTCGGTGAGAAGACAATGACTTAGAAAAGCAGAGCAGAGTGGGGACAGATCACCTGAGGTCAGGAGTTCAAGACCAGCCTGGCCAACGTGGTGAAACCCTGTCTCAACTAAAAATACAGAAAATTAGCTGGGCATTGTGGCAGGCACCTGTAATCCCAGCTGCTCGGGAGACTGAGACAGGAGAATTGCTTGAACCCGGGAGGCTGAGGTTGCAGTGAGCCGAGACTGTGCCACTGCACTCCAGCCTGGGTGACACAGTAAGACTCCGTCTCAAAAAAAAAAAAAAAAAAGCACAGCAGAGCTGCAAGATGGACAACTGTGCTCCCATTACAACTGGAAAGTAAGAAAATCGTGGCTATGTAATAAGGTCAAGTACAAAAAGCAGACGGTAAACTGCAATCCATGCCTTGGAAAAAAAGAAAAGTGAGTTCTGCTTATGGACAAGGACTCACAGGGACACAGAAAAATGAGGTTCGATTTGTCGGGGGGGCAGGTCACAGAGGGATGTTTTCTTTGCCTTGGATCCCTGACAATGGGAGAGCAAACGCATTTCAGGAAATAATAAGAAAAGATGTGGGTTAAAAGGTGAGCTCAGGTGAGGAAATAAGAAAAATCCAGGTACCCTGTGCAGCAGTGGGTCTGCAGGTCTGCTTGAGCACACAGGCCTCCCGGGCCCATTCTGTGCACGTGTCTGGGGCCATGTGAGCTCATGTGTGTTGGTGTGCACGAAAGGTATGCGTGCTCTCCTGTCTGCGTGTGGAGATGTGCGGTTCTCTTTGATCTGGGCCAAGGTGCCAGGGAGCTAAGGAGGGCGAGGACTCTAGGAGGAGCCACTATCGATGGGAGGAGTCTGAGCAGGAGGAGAGTGAGGTGTGGGGGAGGCAGCCATGTGGTCACAGCTGACTGGGCCACCCACAGACCTGTTCTCACGGTGCGACCTGGAGGCAGAACAGATCCTGGTTCTGCCATAGCTCCCTGTGGGATCTTAGGTAATTAGTTCAACTAAGGATGATGATGTGGCTGTGATGAGAGCAACAATAATGGTAATAGCTGGTATCCACTGCGTGCGTGCGTCTGCTGTGCCCCGGGACAAGCCTTCTTCCTTCTCCATCAGGGTCTGGGTCTGGACGGGGCTGGGTCCACCTTCCCACTGGTTAGCTGTGGGAATGGAGTGTGAGCAGCAGCCTCCCTGCCTTGGAGTGGGTGCTGGACAGGCACCCCCACCTCTCTGCCCTCCCCCTCCCTGCCTGCTGTACTGGGCATCTTGGAGCAGAAGGCTGTTCCCAGCAGGGATACATACGGTTGGAGGTGAGTCTGTCTGCTCCCCCGAGAGCATTGAAAGCTCCGTGGATGTTCTGGACCTGTGGAAAAATGCAGTGAGGGGATGGTCCCCAGGACACCTCCACCTCCAGGCCTGGCCCTGGTTGTGGGGGATGGCCAGGTACCACCTGGTCTAGGAACCCTACCAATGTGTAAAAGGGGGCTCCAGCGGATTTGTGGGGAGCAAGAGGCAGCAGGGGCCTGGCACATAGTAGGCACAAGCTTGTTTCCCATCTCTAGCCCCTACTATGTGCTGCTCCATCCTGGCCCCTTCATATAATTTCATTTCATGCCCCTAATGATGTATTATTGGGCCCATTTTACAGAAGAGCAAATCAAGGCTTGGAAAGACACCAAAACTTGCCCGGCTGGTAAGTGGCTAAGCTAAACTCTGAAATCAGGTCTGTCTGACACTAAGCTGGACTCTTTCCATGAAGTCACACAGAAAATTCAAGTGAACATGGATTCTGGGTCCCAGAAAGTTTCTCCTGAGATCCCAGGGTCCTCTGAAAGGCCCATAGAGGAGTCCAGGCAGGGATGCCCCAGAGCTGTGGGCCCCCCATCATGTCTGCTGCAGAGAACGTATAGCAGATGTGAAGAAAACCCTCCTCCGGGCAGTGGGGTGGGCTGCTGTAGAGTAGGGCTGAAAACCACATCTCACCTTTTCTCTGAGGACAATGGGAAACCAGGTTGGCCTCAAGGAACATCTAAAGAAGGACAAGGCATACCTGGTAAATGGAGCATGCTACCATGGGCATGGTTAACAGGGGTTATCGAGCTAGACACCCTGGAGGCCTTCCTGGAGGAAATGACATTGACACCAAGATCTGGAGGAAAGTGGGAAGTTAAACTGGCAAGCAGCATGTACAAAGGCTTAAGTATGGAGACAGGCCCACGTGGCCCCCAGGAGGAAGGAGAGTGAGGTGTTTGAATAGAAGGAAGGAGGAGACATCGGAGAGGTACGTGGGGACATGATTCTGTGGCCACTCCAGGAGCAGTGGGCAGCAGCGGGGTGGCATAATCCCTGATCCTGGTCTCAGGCGGCTGATGTTTACTGAGCACTTAACACACCTGCATGTTCTCAACAAGCAATTCCTCAACAACTGGAAGGAACTGCAATTTCTCAACAAGGAAAAGGAAGTTTGTCTATTTGCTGTCTTGAGACTGACCGTGTGAAGGCTTCATTTCTAACCCATGAGAACGGTGGTTACAGAGACAAGAAGGCTAGAATGTTCTCTTCCATTGTCATGTGACATGGCTTTATCTCACATTTATTTGTACCATTTATTTTTATTTTTATTTTTTCTTTTTTTGGGAGGAGTCTTACTCTTTCTCCCAGGCTGGAGTGCAGTGGCATGATACCAGCTCACTGCAATCTCCACCTCCCAGGTTCAAGTGATTCTCCTGCCTCAGCCTCCTGAGTAGCTGGGATCACAGGTGCCTGCCACCACGCCCGGCTAATTTTTGTATTTTTAGTAGAGACAGAGTTTCACCATGTTGGCAAGGCTGGTCTCAAACTTCTGACCTCAAGCAGTTCGCCCGCTTCAGCCTCCCAAAGTGCTGGGATTACAGGAGTGAGCCACCGCACCTGGCCTGTACCATTATTTGATCAACATCTGTCTTCCCCCCTAGACTGGAAGCTCCAGGTGGGCAGGGACCATGTTTGTCCTCACCAAGGTATGCAAGGCCTGGACACGGTAGGTACTTTGTAAATATTTGTTGACTAGATGGATGGACAGAAAATGAATGGATGGATGGGCCCTAAGCTAAGTTCTGTACATTTTTTTAAAAAAATCAGATTTCCACCCCACTAATGACTAAACTTGGGACTGTAGTTTCTGTGTCCTTCTGTTTTGCCCCTGCACGTGGCAATGCGAGACCGCTGCTCCTCTCCCCTCCACCTGCCTCGGTCTGGGCCCTTCCCTCACCTCCCTGCCTATAGTCTTGCCTCCTGGGTCCATCTTCCTCATTGCAGATGGGTGCTCTGAGTCACCAACCAGACCTTCAGTCTCCACCTTCCTCAGTCTACCACGGGTCTCTCGCACCCCACACACCCCACCTGCCGGCTCCCATTTCAGGCAAGTGCTCTGGGCCCTCTCAGCTGCCAAGCGAGCCCTTGTGCCCTGGACCATCTCGGCACAGAACATGCCGTGTCACATACGCTTACTGATCCATTTTTCTGAAAGTAACCTTGAGGGTCTTTCACATGAAAACCACCAGCTGGGCGCTCTAGGAGAGGGGTGATGTTTGAGACGCCCCCTGCCTAGGACCCATTTCCCTGTTCTGTTCCTGGTGAAACCCTTCTTACCCTTCCAGGCTTGGCTTAGATGTCACCTTAACGGTAACTCTTCCTAGTGCCCAGAGAGGGCAGAGGGCACTGGGTGACAGAGCCCCTGAAGGCCCACCCCCGGCCATGCCATCTCGAGTGTCCCCTGCTCACCTGTAGCGTGTCCCCAAAGGAGAGCTTGTGGATGACATGCGTCATGTCTGGGTTCTGTGGCTGGGCTGTGGCACTGTGTGTGGACACGTGGAAGTTGCCGGGGACCTGGGGGAGAAATGTGAGTTTCAGGAGTTTGGTTGACTTCTCCAGGGGGCGGAACATTGGGGCCTCACCCTGTGTGATCCAGGGAGGACACTGGAATCAGGCAGATCTGGGTTTGGATCCTGCTTGTATCATTTTCAACTGTGCAAAGGAGTCACCCCATCTCTCTGGGCCTCAGGCTCCTCATCTGCAGAATGGGGGCACTACCATAGCTTCCGAGGGGGCTGCCAGGACTATCTGGTGAGAGGGTGCATGTGAAGTGCCCATCTGGGCGACGGGCACAAAGCCAGGACTCATGGCAGCTGCTCCCCCTCCAGCTCTGTGGATTCTGGGCGGCTGACCCCACAGTCAGCTGGGGGATGACCTTTGAGCTTGCAGACTAATGGGGATTCCTCAGACTCCAAACCCCTATCATTTCCTACCCAAGTTTGCCCCAGTGCCCTAGACGGGGGATCCCTGATGGACAGACTGTGGTAGCCTCATCTCTTCCCTGGGTCTCAAGCCCTCGCAGAGCCAAGCCAGCAAGAGGTGCTGGATGAGTATTTACAGAACAAAGGATGCTGGTGACAACCATGTGGCAGGAGCCACTGCAGCTTCTCCTTGTTTCAGCACGAAGTCCCTCCTCCTCCCCCTCCTCCCCCTCCTCCTCCCAGATGCTTAGACTAGAACCCTTAGTATGATCCTGGAACCCTCCTCCTCCTCCCAGATGCTCAGACTAGAACCCTTGGTATGATCCTGGAACCCTCCTCCCTCCTCCCAGATGCTCAGACTAGAACCCTTGGTATGATCCTGGAACCCTCCTCCTCCTCCTCCTCCCAGATGCTCAGACTAGAACCCTTGGTATGATCCTGGAACCCTCCTCCTCCTCCTCCTCCCAGATGCTCAGACTAGAACCCTTGGTATGATCCTGGAACCCTCCTCCTCCTCCTCCTCCTAGATGCTCAGACTAGAACCCTTGGTATGATCCTGGAACCCCCCTTTCTCACTCCCGACGTCCCATCCATCAGCTGAAACCCTGTTAGCTCCACCTTCCAAACACACCTGGCGCCTGACCTCTTCTCTGCTGCCCTGGTCCAAGGTCGTCTCTTCATGGACAACAATGGCAGGCTCCTCCCTGGGCTCCCAGCTTCCATGTTCCCCACAGCCTGGGCCTTTTCCCAATAATGACTGTTAAGATCTTTTTAAACCCTACATCAGATCTCATCACTCCTCTGCCCAGAACCCTCCACGGCTTCTATTCTCTCAGAGTCCAGGTCCATGTCCTCGTGGTGGCCCACAGGCCACATCTGGCCGCTGGCCAAGCATCGTGTCCCCACCGCTTGGCCTCCTGCTGCTGTGTCCTCTGCTGCTTCCTGTCTGGTCTCCTGCCGTGCCGGGAACAGCATCCAGTGTGGCCCCATTTTAGGCCTTTGTGCCTGCACCCCTTCCTGGGACCCTCTTCCACATGGCCCTCCCTCGGACCCTCAGGGCCCAACAGAGAGGCCCTCCACGTCCACCTGTGCAAAAGAGCACCCTGGCCCCCATTCCCCATCCCCTTACCTGCTACAGCCTCTGGGATCACCTGCCATCTCATACCCATCCTGTTCTCGTCTGCCTCCTCCCATTAGCATGTCCACGCCCTGCTGTGCTCCCCAGACTCCGACACATAGCAGGTGCTCAATAGACACTTTTTGAATGAATGAATGACTAAACAAACAACACTGAATCCTTTGACTTTGTCATCTGATAATTCCCATTTTACAGAAAAGAAAATGGAGGCTCAGAGCAGTGAAGAAACTTGCTAAGGTCACATGTCGAGAGCTGCAGTCTCAGCTCACGTCTGTTGGACGCACTGCTCCCTCCTCTGATGCCTGGATGCCATCTACCTCCGCAGCCTGGGCTGATGGCCACATGGCGCCAGTCCTTCAGGAGATGCCGGAACTGGGGAGATGAGCAGACAAGAATCTGGCCTTGGCCAAGCCCCTGTGACACAGACTTGGAACAGACAATGAGACTCTGTGGGATCCACCCTGGCCCAGAGGAATTTGCAGACCATGGGGGTTACAGGGAAGGCCCCCGGCTCAATTGAGGGTGCAGGCTGTATTCAGGGAGGGCTTCCCAGGGGGAAGGACATCCTGTGTTAAGGCTCTGAAGATGAGTCTGCATTACTCAGGAAGAGAGCGAAAGGCATCTGGGCAGAGGGAACAGCATGAACAGGTGCAGAGGACAGAAACTTCCCAGCATGTGGGCTGTCTAAGGAACTAAGAGTCTGGTATTATTGAACTCCAAATGAGACGGAGGTGGCGGTGCTGGCAGCAGCAGGAAACAAAGAGGCACAAGGGAGGAGTTGGGGCTGTTTATCAAAGGTCCCCAGATGCCACACTGAAAAACTCGGGGGTTACCTTATTCCAGCCCAATGAAGAAGACTGTGCGAGCTGTGTCCGAGGAGGGAATATAGCTTATCGTGCAGCAGCCCATCAAAGTCTGATTTTGTAAGCATGTCTGTTTCAAACACAAAGTTGGGGACTTCCTGCAGGAATATTCCTACTTCAGCAGGGCCCGAGCTTGTGGCTGACAGGGGAGGCATCAAGCTGACAGCCTGTAGCCTCGGCCTCAGCAAACTCGCAGTGGAGCGAGCTGCAGGCTACAGTGGAGAAGGGACACTTGCTGGGTCAGGAGTGGAGCAGAAACAAAGGCGTGGCAAGATCTCCCTCGAGGGACAGCATCGCCTGCTTCAGGGACCCAATAACCCATAGTAGAGCGGTTGCTCTGAGTTCTACACTTGGCCCCAAGCCCAGCCCCACTTCCTAGCTGGGGAGCCTTAGGCGAGGTCAGTAACCACTCCATGCCTCAGTTTCTCCATCAGCGAAATGGGCGTAAAGCCAGAAGATTACTGGGAGGATTCATTGAGGTGATGCATACAAAGCAGCCCGCAGCTGGCCTCAGATCGGGTTTGTAGGGTGAACATGTTTGTCATCGGAGCCAACCAAGAAGGGCCCTCCCGGAAGAGGGAACACTCACAGGCAGGGCGTGAGGAAAAGCCCACTGTGGGTTTTAACATTTATGCCTCATTTTCACCGATAAAAATAATGCCTGGGTACATTTTCATGATAAAACAGTCATGAGACACAGTCAGACTAAAGACCCTGTTGCTGACCACCCCTGGGAGTAAGAAACCCACAGCCATAAGGCGTGTGTCCTCCCAGAGGTTTTCTACGCAGTGACACAGGGCCTTCCGCAGATCGGGCCATGGCAGAGTTCAGAACTGGGATTGGGGCCTGGGCCGCGTGCTCCGGGAGTGAAGTGAGTCAAGAAGGCTGTCCCCTCAGCACCTGCCACCCCTGCCGGGCCGTGCGAGGCTGTGACTCAGGAACCCACTCCCCCTCCACACCAAATCCATCACAGGTGGCTGACTCATGCCAGCACATGCTGGGCTGAAGAAAGAAACAGCAACGCTTTTAGAGCCTGTGACTTAGGAACCTACGTCAGTGTCTCTGATGGATTTTAAAAACATATAGCTGGAGCCAGGCCCCATACCCCTCACCCCATCCTGTCCTCCTCCTGCGGGGCTGGCTGATGAAACGAGGTCACCGTGGGGTCTCTGGTGAGGCTGCCGCTGCTGCTCAAAACACGCAAACTCTGACATCTGGCTGCTGGTCAACTTCCTGGGGGTCGGATAAGGAGGCCATGGGACAAGTCTCAGCCTGATGCTGGGAGAGAGGTGCGGGGGCTGGCTGCTGACCTTGCCATCACAGCACATGGACCCTGGTGGCTTCTTTGAGCACCTCTTGATGGGCGGTTCCTCAAAGGGAAAGTGGCTGGGCTGGGGTGGGGGACGGTCTCTACTCCCTCCAGGAGTATGGGGCAGAGGGTGCCCTAGGCTGTGACCTGGGGCACACAGACACAGCTGGTCATGACATGTGTAACCAAGATGTTGGGAGAAGCAGCCACAGGCAGTGAGCTCAGAGGGCCAGGGCCCTGGTGCTAGGCTGCCTGTGTTAAAATCCTGGCTGCGTGACCTTGACCAGGTCACTTAACCTCCTGTGCCTCAGTTTCCTCCAGGCTACTGTGAGGACTAAAGGAGCTAATATGTGGAAAGGGCTGGGTAAGAACCTAGTACGTGGCAGCCATAACGCGGGTCTAAGAAAGGCTGGTGTGAGCCTTTCAAAGACTCCCTGGCACTCCCCTGACCAGAGAAGGCCCATTTCTTGGACGCCCTCCATGTGCCTTCCACAGGCGCACTTGTAAGGTGGGTGCCAGCTGATGAGGTCATGGAAACTTTGCACTGACGGGAGATGAGGCAGGCCAGGATGCTTGTCCAGTCTCTACTGCAGAGTTTGTTCATGTTTCACAGCCTGTGAGGTATTATTATCCCCATTCTACAGATGAGGAACCTGAGGCTCAGAGAAGCTAAACTGCCCAGAGTCATTCAACCAGTGACCATGGTAGCCGGGATCCTTGACCACAGGTCTGTCTGACCCCAAAGGACAAGTTCACCCAGAGCTGGCTGGGGGCTCCAGCACAGCCCATTCTAAGGGGAGCAGACTGCAGTCTTGGGCGTGTTTGCCAAGAGGTGGGAGGGCTTGGTGGCAGGGCTGTCTCGTGGGTTGTCACTCCAGGTGCTTGAATAAGCACGATCCCTTCTTGGTCACCATCTGGGGTACATATATTTTTTCAGCCCAGGTGGTTGCATCTCCCCGGGGGCGGGGGGCCCACAGTGAGGAGGTGTGCGTGTACGTCTGTTCATCTGTGCATCTTCATCTTCAGTCTTCAGACAGGGCTTCCTTTGTAACCTCAGGGGTCTCCTCCTTCATTCTCCACCACAGCACCCCGTCATTCTCTTCACGGCTGCTTTATCAAAATCACATATTTCCTGTTTACCTGAGCACTGGCTGTCCCCCCGTTATAGAACATGGGCCACCAACGGCGGGGAGCATGGCTGTTTCTCTCCCATTGCAGCCCAGCGCCAAGCACAGAGCCAGGCGTGAGGTGGATGCTCAATAGCACGAAAGCCTGAGTGGAGTGGTCAAAGGGAGAGGCCAAGTCAAGGAGGAGGCACAGGCAGCAGCCGCAGCGTGATGAGGGGCGTGGTGGGGAGTGAATGTGGGTGGGCAGGGAAGGGGAGGGAGGACTTCCCCTGAGGGACCCACATCAGCTGAGGCCTGTGGGTGAGTAGTGGTTCCCCAAGAGGATGAGGTGGGGACAGAGGGAGGGTATGGAGGCCCAGCAGAGGTCCCCCACCAACCCCCCACCTGCCTGCCGGCACTGTGAACCTCTCCAAGGCCTTAAACCCCCAACTGTGGCCTGCGTCTGGCTCCCATTGCTTCGTAAGGACGTGGCTCCTGCAGCGGCCCCTTCTCTCCTCATCATCAGCGTTTTCTGGAGCACTCTCTGCAGCACTTAGATCACTGTCCATTCCAAGCCTGCCTTCCTGAGCCTGGTAGCGCCAGCCCTGCTCTTTGATATCTATACATATGTTCTTTTCCAGGCTGCAGGTTCCGCCCAGCCTTTGCTTCCTCCTTCCTGTTCGACTGCCCCTTCTTGCACCTTTTGTTACCCCCGCATCTCCCCACCTCGAAGTGACTGGGCGGGGCGCCAGAACTCAGTCCTCAAACTGCAATTCTCTCCAGACCTTAGGTTCTTAAGGCTTTTGGTGCCACGGATGATCCTTTGCCAGTCTAATGATACCTACGTTTTAAATGCTTAAAATGTTTTAATGCGTAAAATGCATAGGATTACAAAGTAAAGAGATATTTAAATAGTAATTAAAATATTTAAAAATCCACATTTGAATATGCTGCTTTACTGATGCATCAAATAAGATGACCTAGTGGTGGGTCTAATAATTACTGTAATTTTTATTGACTGATTGATTAAGGGTTTCACTCTGTCACCCAGGCTGGAGTGTGGTGGTGCGATCTCAGCTCACTGAAGCCTCTACCTCCCTGGGCTCAGAAGACCCTCCCACCTCGGCCTCCCGAGTAGCTGTGACTACAAGCATAGGCTTGGTTAACTTTTGTATTTTTTTGTAGGTACAGGGTTTTGACATGTTGACCAGGCTGGTCTTGAACTCCTCAAGTGATCCACCCACTTTGGCCTCCCAAAGTGCTGGGATTACAGGTGTGAGCCACTGCACCTGGCCAATCACCGTAATTTTAAAACAGTGGTGCATATAAACAGTCTCTGGAAATTATCTGCAACAACTGTAACGTGCTATAAATACCGGCAATTTCTGTTGTTGAGGAGGTCCCAGGCACTGCTAATACTACTGTGGTTTGTGGCCTACATTCATCGCAGATGGAAATGCTAAACTTTAGATCGAGTTTAGCAAAAATAAAGATGTCAATTTTTCCCCCATCCAACTTCATAGATCTCTTGCATTCAATCCGCTCTTCTTGGGGGTGTCTGTGGACCCCAGGTTTAGAACACGGATCTACAGCCTCTCCGTAGGTAATCTTGCTTAAACCAATGCTCCTCAAACTTCAGTGGCATCAGAATCTCTGAGGGGCGCTTGTTCTAGCACAGAGTCGGTGGGTCTTAGGGGGGCCTGAGAATCTGCATTCCTAACAATCTCCCAGGTGATGCTGATGCTGCTGGCCTGGAGGCTTAAGGAGCCCCCACTCTGAGGACCCATGACTTCCAACATCATCTATTCACTAATGACTCCCACCTCAACATCTGTGGTCCAGAACCCTCTCCTGAACTCTCCACACCTCCAACTTCCAATTTCACCTCTCCCTGTAGACACCTAATGGGAACCCCAAAGGAAACCAGAGTGGAATGACCAGTGCCCAGCCCTACCTACTTCCCACAGACTCCAGGCTTTTCTAAGCTTCCATGTCTAGAAACAGGACCACCCGGTTGTCAAGACAAAGACGTCAAAGGTTTCTTTGCTTCCACATGTGCCCTTACCCCCACATCCGATTCTTCACTGAGTCTTATTGATTCTACCTCCCTAATCCGACCACATCTCCCCAGCTCCACTGCCACAACCACTGCCTGCCACCCTCTCCAGCCCAGCCCCATCCTTTTTTTGTTTGTTTTGAGATGGAGTCTCACTCTGTCGCCCAGACTGGAGTGCAGTGGTACGATCTTGGCTCACTGCAAGCTCCACCTCCCGGGTTCATGCCATTCTCCCGCCTCAGCCTCCTGAGTAGCTGGGACTACAGGTGCCCGCAACCACGCCCGGCTAATTTTGTTTTTTTTTGTATTTTTAGTAGAGGCAGGGTTTCACCATGTTAGCCGGGATGGTCTCGATCTCCTGACCTCGTGATCCACCCACCTCGGCCTCCCAAAGTGCTGGGATTACAGGTTTGAGCCACCGCGCCCGGCCACCAGAGCCATCCTTCTAAGGGTGTGCGGTCCAGCAGAACTTTCCTCAGCGATGGAAGTGCTTTCTCTCTGCACTGTCTAACGCTGTGGCCCCTAGCCAGCACGTGGCTTTGAGCACTTGAAATGTGGTTGATGAGAATGAGTGACTGAATTGTACATTTAATTTGAATTAATTTAAATAGCCTTATGTGGCTGGTGGCAACCTATTGGATAGTCCAGTTCTAAGGCATAAATCTGATTACATTGCCTCCCTGTTCAAAACCCTCAAATGGCTTTCCATCACAACCACCATAAAATCCAAATTACGGGGCATGGCAAAGGTGCTGTGTGGCAGCTCATGGGCAGAGAGAGCCCCCAGTGAACCACGACCCCCAGCATCCCTGCCTCCTGGTATCTCCTCCTCCTGAGGGCCTGGGCTGGTGAGAGACTCCCTTTAACCCACAACATGCAGCAGATTTCTCCCAGCAACACTCGAAACCTTAAGAAAGCCTTGCAGCTTCTGCTTTAGCACTTAAGGGAGCCCTGAACTGTCACGTAAGAAGTCCACCCTGCTTGACAGATGACCAGGCCTGGCCTTCCAGCCGCCTGCCAGGGACTGTGGGAAGGGACAGCACACACCCTCTCTAAAGGGGAACACTGCCCATTGGTGCCAGGTCATTGTCATAGCGGGAACACGGACCCAGTGTAGTGAGAGCCTCTGACTTTTAAAAGCCAGAAATCTGGATTCCTGGTCTTTTCATACTGGTTCTGATGCAGTTAAATGCTATACTGGACAAACAAAATTTATCTTTGGGCTGGATGTGGCCAGTGACTTTGCAACCCCAGCTCAGGTGTCAGGGTCTGGAGGAAGGGCGTTCTGAGCAGAGGCTGCAGGAGGGACAAGGAGAAGCCAGGAGTGGCCAGTGGCTCAGTTTGGCTGGGGCTGGGAAGGGGAGTTGTGGGACATGCAGATAGCTGTGTGACCTCGGGCAAGACACTTAACCTCTCTGGGCCCCAGCATCCTAACCTGTCAAATGGTGCTGCCTCACAGCGTTGTTGAGAGGCTCCACTGTGACAGTACCGAGCTTCGAGGAAGGCCGGCACGTGCTGAGCAAAACCCTGCCAGCTGCCACCGGGTGCCTCGGCCCTCCCAAGGGCACTGCGTTCACCCACTTGACTTAGGATCTGAAGCTCCTGGTTCTGAGGACAAAACAACAGTGAACCTTGAATGGTCCTTCTGAGCGGACAAGGTACTTTCAAGCCCACCTCATCTCACTCCCCTTGGCTTTATTCCTCATCACTGCACTTAGCATCCCTGATGCTTTCTGGTTTGTAGACTGTCTCCCTCTACCAGAATGGGAGCCCCACCAGCCCAGGAACGCTGCCCCAGAGCCTATCACCGACCCTGGAACACAGAACGTGCCATTCAAAAATTTTTCTGAATGAATGAATCTGCATTAGCTCATTTAATCCCCACACAAACTTTGTGAAGTGGGTGGTATCGTGATACTATTATCGCCATCACACCCTCAGCCTAAGATGGGTCAAGTGACTTGTAGGGGCCAAGAAGGGGTAGAGCTGGGACTTGAACCCAGGGCTGGGGGCTGCAAATCCTCAGGTCTTCTCATCATTGTCCCCCTCACTGGAGAGAAGAGTAGCTCCTTCCTGAACCAGCCATCAGGGGCTTAAAACCCCAGGGAGCCTGGACCCCCATCCAGATTCTCAGCAGGAACGGCCAGGCAGCTGGACACGAACCCTCGCTTGCTGGGGGCTGTGTCAGGGTCAGGTCGAGTGAGTGCCTCCACAACCAGTTTCCAGGGAGCGGGGAGACAGCAGGAAAGGGGAGCAGGTAGAAAGGGCTGAGGCAGGGCTTCCATACCTTGTTGATGCTGAACTGCCCCTCGAAGCGGCAGCCTGCCCCATTGTTCAGCGGGATCTTCATGGAGTTGTCGATGTGGCCCACTTCGTGCCTGCCCATCTCATCCTGAATGTCAAGCCCAACCACTGCAGGAGCCAAAGGGAGACAACAGTCACAAACCCAGAGACGCGGGAGGATGGGGGCCAGCCTGTTCTCTCTGGGAGCCTTCATTCATCCATTGCAGGGGCAGGCCGGGCTGGGGACCTCCAGGAGCTCATGGTCTGGGGTCCAAAGACTACAGGGGACAGGACAATGACTCCGCTAAACGTGAGGCGAGGGGGGCAGTGCATAGTAGGGGTCCCGGGGCCACCCTGGGGTCTGCCATACTGGTCCTCTGAATCTGGGTCCTGCCTCAGGTACTTAACCTCTGGATGCCTCAGTTTCTTTCTCTGTAAGATGGGGGGCTGACCATAATTGAACCCTCCTTGAAAGATTATGGGGATCAAATAGTTCATAGATGTAGAAAATGCTTAGGGTCTGATGAACGCTAGGTGGAAAGTGCTTAATAAATGTTAGCTCTTGTATCTCAGATAGTCTTTGTATTTTTTTTTTTTTTTTTTTTTTTGAGACAGAGTCTTGCTCTCTTGCCCAGGCTGGTGTGCAATGGCATGCTCTCGACTCACTGCAACCTCCGCCTCCTGCATTCAAGCAATTCTCCTGCCTCAGCCTCCCAAGTAGCTGGGATTATAGGTGCCCGCCTATACAAAAAAATTTTTTTTGTATTTTTAGTAGAGACGGGGTTTCACCATGTTGGCCAGGCTGGTCTTGAACTTCTGACCTCAGGTGATCCACCTGCCTCAGCCTCCCAAAGTGCTGGGATTACAAGTGTAGGCCACCGTTCCTGGCCTTCAGAGAGTTTTTGGGTTTATGGGGTGAATAGGCTCAGGCCCCCCATCCATTCATCCATCATTCACTTATTCATTCATTCACACCTTCCTTTACCCATCGCCTATGCTACCAGCCCTATGATAAGCACCAGGAATGCACAAAGGGAAAAGATAGGCCCTGCCCTCTGTCACCTCACTGGGACTCAGATGGCTTCCCCATCTGTAAAATGGGCAGGCCAATGCCAACTGCATCCCCAGAGATGGTCCAAGTAGCCAGTGGTGAGATGATCCCTGTGAACTATGGAAATGTAGGAATTTCCCTGGCAGGAGCGCTAGAAAGGAGGTGCCATACAGAGGAAGAACAGCTGGAAGCAATTTTAAAGAGGGACAACCTTAAAAGGGAAAATTGGGAACAACTCTGTGTTCCTCGATGAGGACAGAGAAGTAAGTGAGGATCCAGCCATAGAAGGGAACGTGCTGGAGCCATTCGAAATGACCCTCACGGGTCCACAGGACATGGGAAATGCCAATGGTATAATGTGAAGTTTAGAGAAAACACAAGCAGGTCCGCTTTTCACTCAGCAGTTCCAATGTTGGCAGCCTGTCCTCTAGATCCACAATGTGTGTCCAGATGTGTGTGCAAAGCTGCTCAGGCAACCTTATCTGAAATAGTGGCAACTGGAAGCAATTCAACTGCTTATCACTGGAGCCAGTGGAACAGCCCTCTTCCCAGTGCCGTGCGGCAGGTACAAAGAATGGGCTAAATGCAGGTGCGTGGAGGAGGCTCAGAGCAGATCAGTGGCTGAGTTACTAGCGCTGAGACCTCGAGCAGGTTACCTAATCTCTGTGCCTCAGTTTCCTCTTCTATCACAGGCTTGTTGTGAGGGTTAAAGAAAAGTAAAACGACTGGGCACAGTGGCTCACGCCGGTAATCGCAGCACTTTGGGAGGCCAAGGTGGGCGGATAACTTGAGGCCAGCAGTTCGAGACCAGCCTGGCCAATATGGCGAACCCCATCTCTACTAAAACCACAAAACATTAGCTGGGCATGGTGGCAGGTGCCTGTAATCCCAGCTACTTGGGAGGCTGAGGCAGGACAATCGCTTGAACCTGGGAGGTGGAGGTTGCAGTGAGCTGAGATCATGCCACTGTACTCCAGCCTGGGCAACAGAGAAAAACTCTATCTCAAAAAAAAAAAGAAAGAAAGAAAGAAAAGAAAAGTAAAATAGCACTTACTACGTGCTAGACTCTCTTCTAAGTGCCTTTTATATAAGAACACACCTTCTTGGCTGGGCGCGGTGGCTCACGCCTGTAATCCCAGAACTTTGGGAGGCTGAGGCGGGTGGATCACAAGGTCAGGAGTTTGAGACCAACCTGGCCAAAGTAGTGAAACCCCATCTCTACTAAGAATACAAAAAATTAGCCGGGCACGGTGGCGGGCACCTGTAATCCCAGCTACTCAGGAGGCTGAGGCAGGAGAATGGCTTGAACCCGGGAGGCGGAGGTTGCAGTGAGCTAAGATCGCGCCATCGCACTCCAGCCTGGGTGACAGTGTGAGACTCTGTCTCAAAACAAAACAAAACACCATTTAAACACCCCTGTGGGGAAGATAATATTATCAGTCCCATTCTACATCTAGGGCAACTGAGGCACAGAGACCTCACCACTAGGAAACAGCAGAGCCTGGAATGAAATCCAGGTGGATTTGCTTCTGAGCCCCCACCCTTCAGCCATTCTGCTAAGATACCTCAAATCCCAGTGGATTTAATATAGCCAAAGGACGCAGGACAGGGCCTGGCCTGGAAGAATGGAATAAATGGCAGCTGTTATTATTTTACTCATATTATGAGTAATATGAGAACAGCTCCAAGACACTAGCTAGAAAAAAAAAAAAAAAGAAACTCCAGAAGGTTCCCATATGGTAGGGTCCCAATTAATTATGTAAAAAGAAAAAACAACAATAACAACAAAAACAACCCCAAACCCAATATATGTTCACAGACACGCACACACATGTAGGGGTAGGGAACGGGGGCCCCACCTGCTAGCAGAGGTGTCCTTTGGGGAAGATGGCATGCTGGGACAAGAAGGGGGACAGGGGAGGGGTACTTTTGCTTTTTAAAAAACATATTATTTTTGTATTTTTGAATGTATGTCTTAAGATTGAAATATAGTCTATTAGTTGTATAATGAAGAATATTATTTTTAAAAGCAGGATATGAGATCATACATGCAGTACGATCTCAGCTATGTTCAGAAACACAGAAAGGAAGGCCAGCTGGACAGAATGATGTCAAAATGTCACCAACACTGCTGTCGGGTGGCAGAGTTATGGGTGATCTCTTTTGCTTCCCTGTGTTTTCCAGAAGTACAATGATGAGCATGCGTTTTTTCCTATAATAAAAATGTGAAGTTCTTTTAAAGAAAAGCCAGAATGCTGGGCTCTAACAGGGGTGAGGGGGTTGGGGGTTCAGGTTATAGCCCCACAGATCCAGCAGGGCATGGCAGGGAATGGGGTGGAGGTTGCCTGGCCCCTCCTGGAACCACATCTCTTCCCTTTCCTACCACACTAGTCCCAGTCCTCTGGTCTGACTAAGAATTTCCTTGTTCCAGAGATACAGTCACTCCTGAATGAGAATCTGCCAGATGAATTATTTTTCTAAGTGAAAGAAAAAAAATAACAAAAAATAAGACCGACCTATTTCAACAGGTTCCCTGGCTTGGGGCCCAGCGAGGATTCAAAATTGTGACGTAAATCTCACCAAAAGCAATGACAGGGCTGAGACTCTTCCTATCTCTGGCCGGAGATGCACCCAGTGTTCTCTCAGCTGTGTCCTTTAACAGGAAGAGGGGGTGGGGAGAGAAGGGCCTGCAGCAGGCTCTGTGCCAGGCTGGGCAGAGGGACGGCTGGAACCCCAGTCCAGGAGAGGGCGCCCAGTCCACTCGCTGACAAGTCTAGGGACCATGGCATTAGATTCTCCCAAGAACCTCAGACAACAGACATTACTAAGCCCATTTTGCAGATGAGGAATCTGAGGCTCGGAGAGGTCACCCTAGCCAAGGTCACAGTTTTAGCCAGCAAAGGAGCCAGGATCTGACTCCAAATCAGACTTCAAATGAGTTTTGTTTTGTAGAAGTAATTCATTCTGGGCCAGGCACGGTGGCTCATGCCTGTAATCTCAGCACTTTGGGAGGCTGAGGTGGGTGGATCACCTGAGGTCAGGAGTTCGAGACCAGCCTGGCCAACATGGTGAAACCCCGTCTCTACTAAAAATACAAAAATTAGCTTGGCATGGTGGTGCGCACCTGTAATCCCAGCTACTCGGGAGGCTGAGGCAGAAGAATCGCTTGAACCCAGGAGGCAGAGGTTGCAGTGAGCCAAGATCGTGCCATTGCACTCCGGCCTGGGTGACAGGAGTGAAACTCCGTCTCAAAAAAAAAAAAAAAAAAAAAGAAGTAATTCATTCTTTTGGTTAAAACAAAATAGGTGTGAAGTCAAAAAGGGAATCTCCCAGCCCTTCACTGTTGCAGATGCTCTTGAGCCCTGTCCTGCACTCTCTCATGGATGGTGGACCGCTCCAGCTTCTCTAGGTGTCAGCTGCCAATGACTCAGAGCTGCGCCCTTCTCCAGATGAATGCTCTTGGCTGACCGGAGGTCTTCTCGCTTGAGATGCTTGGGAGGTGATATGACCCCTGCCACGCACACCACTCTGCAGCCATTACCCAATGACATGGATAATAACAGCCTGGTCCCATTGCTATTGGGTGTGACAAATGCTATGGTGTCATTCACACCCCACAGCATCCTGTGAGATCAGGCTGAGTTTGGACTTCAGCTGAACACACATCTTTGCTTATCCTGTCGTACTGCCCTATCCTGCGTTTCTCCCTTACAGCTTCCTCCCCTCAACAAGTCACTTGCATGAGACTCTCAGGCTCTGCTGCGAAGCTGTAACATGACCCTAAGAGACATCCCACCTCCCTGCACCAAATCAGCTGCTCTCCAGGGTTAACCCCTATGAGTAGTGTCTTGTGTTTATTATGCCAGAAAACCTCCAAGTGCATGCATACGCAATTATATTCTCCTCCAAAAAAGAGTGGGGAGAACCATATGTTGGCTTGGCTTGTCCTGGAGATCTTGCCATTTCTGCACACACACATTTGCCCTAAGGAGGTGTCCTGCTGGAGGGAGGGGCTGCGTGGAGTACTCACACTCGCAGTGCAGATTGGGTAAACTGATGTTCAGACTGACGTCGATCTTGCCACCGCTGTCCTTGTCTGGGTCATCGACATAGAGCTCGTTCACACTAGGGGAAAGACAAGTATAGGAACCTTTGTTGAGATGGCGGCAAAGATCTCAGCTGCGGGGGACAGCCGGGGATCACTTCACTTGGTGACCACAACTTAGATAACCCAGACTCCACCTGGGCAGAGCCTGCACCTCCTGTGCCCTCAGGCACGGGTCTAGGCTGCACTCTTCAAGTGCAGCCTTACCTCTCAGGACGGGAGGGCTGGGCTGGGCGCAGAGGCTCATGCCTGTTATCCCAGCACTTTGGGAGGTCAAGGTGGGTGGGTCACCTGAGGTCAGGAGTTCAAGACTAGCCTGACCAACATGGTGAAACCTCATCTCTACTAAAAATACAAAATTAGCTGGGCGTGGTGGCGCATGCCTGAAATCCCAGCTACTTGGGAGGCTGAAAATCACGAACCCAGGAGGCTGAGGTTGCAGTGAGCCGAGATTGCGCCACTGCACTCCAGCCTGGGCAACAAGAGTGAAACTCCGTCTCAAAAAAAAAAAAAAAAAAGAGGGGAGGGCTGGGGCTCAGGAAAGAGAAGGGGTGGGGTCAGATAGCACGGTGGTAAGAGCATATCTTTCAGACAGATTCAAGTTCAAATTCTGGTTCTGGCACTTCCTATGCTCACCTCTGTGAACACACCTGTTAAGTGGGGATAACACCACCCACTACGAATAAGGTGGTTTGAACACTAAAATGAGAAATAGGGGTCTTATAAGGGATCAGGGCCTGGCGCCAGCAGGCACAGAGGACCTTACAGCCTCCTCTCTTGAGGTCCCCTTCCCCCAGCCGGGAAGCCAGGAATTCCCTGATGCCCATCCGTAGGGGCAGAACCGGTTCTGAGAAACGACTTGACGGCTGTATTAATTTCCTGTGGCTGCTGTAACAAATTATCACAACGGGAATGGCTTAAACCAACACACATTTATTGTCTTATGCTTTTGGAGGTCAGAAGTCTAAAACGGGCTGTGTTCTTGGGAGAATGCATTTTCTTGCCTTTTTCAGCTTCTAGGCGCTGCCTAGGCTTGTGGCCCCTTCTCCCAGTTCCAAAGCCAGCAGCTTCCCCCTTCTCTGACCTCCACCTCTCTCTTTTTTTATTTTTTGAGACAGAGTCTCACTCTGTTACCCAGGCTGGAGTGCAGTGGCGCGATCTCGGCTCACTCCAACCTCCATCTCCCAGGTCCAAGCAATTATTCTGCCTCAGCCTCCCGAGTAGCTGTGACTACAGGTGCGTGCCACCACTCCAGCTAATTTTTGTATTTTTAGTAGAGATGGGGTTTCACCATATTGGCAAGGCTGGTCCCGAACTCCTGACCTCATGATCCACCCCCCCCCTCCCCCCTCCCCCCCTCCCCTCTCTCCCCCCCCCCCCGCCCCCGCCTCAGCCTCCCAAAGTGCTGGGATTACAGGCGTGAGCCACTGTGCCTGGCCTCCACCTCTCTCTTACAGGAACTCTTGTGATTTCATCCAGTCCACCTGGCTAACCCAGGATCCTCTCCCCATCTCGAGATCCTTAATGTAATCACATTTGCAAAGTTCCTTTTGAATGCAAGGTAACACGGCCACACACATCAGGGACAGGGACCTAGACATCACAGGGGGCAGGGGGTCATTATTCTGTCGACCGCATCGGCCATATTTAGGGGCAGGTGGCTCCACAGACAGCCATGTCACCTTGCTGTCAGCAGCACAGTGTTGGCATCTGTTAGCAATCCAAATTTGCTCAACAAATACTTTTTTGAGTACCTACTACCTGTCAGGAGCCAGAAGCAGCAATGAATCAGACAGATGCTGTCTCTACCTTCTTCAAGCTTATAGACACAAGAACCAGACATCACTCAGCCCCTAAATATGCTGCCACCCCCAACGCTGATTAGTACTTGACAGAAAGCTGCAGGGGGCCATGACAGGGACTACAGGGCCACTGACCTTTGGGGAGAAGGGGCTGGGAAGACCTCTCTGAGGTGTGATTGAGGTCTGGGGGATGCGTAGGCATCATCCTGGCAGCATGTGCAAAGGCCTGGAGGTTGGGGAGGGCATGGCTGCTTTGGGGAACTGAATGAAGGTCACCGTGGTTGCAGTGTAAGGAGGCTGCACGAGGCCTTTATACTTTTTTTTTTTTTGACAGAGTCTTGCTCTGTCCCTCAGGCTGGAGTGCAGTGGCGCGATCTCGGCTCACTGCAACCTCCGCCTCCCGGGTTCAAGCGATTCTCCTCCCTCAGCCTCCCAAGTAGCTGGGACTACTGGCATGCGCCACCATGCCTGGCTAATTTTTGTATTTTTAGTAGAGGTGGGGTTTCACCAGGTTGGCCAGGCTGGTCTTGAACTCCTGACCTCAGGTGATCTGCCTGCCTCGGCCTCCCAAAGTGCTGGGATTACAGGCATGAGCCACCGTGCCTGGCCGAGGCCTTTAGGCTTGATATGAGCACAGCCACGGGGTCAGGCTCGCACTCACACGGGCTCCCTCTGGCTGCTGCAAGGAAGACCCACTGGAGGGGCTGCTGTGCAAGAGGGAGACCAGGCAGGGGATGGCGGCGCCTTGGATGGGGTGGGATGGGAATGGAGAGGAGGAGGGCTGTAGGAACCCACGTAGAGCAGGCGGGACTTGCTGATGGATGGGACTGGGCGGAGGAGGGTGAGGTGAGGGGGGAATGCAGACACACTGCTGTGTTTCTTCCTGGACCCATTCTTTGGGCTGAGAGCCCTTGGAAGAGGAACAGGACCAGCAGGAGGGAGAGGTGCTGAGTGCCAGAAGCTGTGCTGAGCCCAGGTGTCTTGAGGCATCCCCAAGTAGCTGCTGGATGTCTGATGGCCGCATCTGATTCCCCGATAATGCCCCCCACCCAGAGGGAACCAAATCTAAAGGCCTGGCCTAGGGGGCGGCTGAAGGGGCAGTGCTTCAGGTGGCTGGGCTGTGGTTATTTTAAACATTTATTAGGCCCCTTGGGTCCAGTCCCTAGGCTATAAATAAAAGAGAACTGCCCTATCTAAGCAATGAAGACTCCAAGAGAGCTTTGTAAATGGCCACATCTTAGGGAAAGAATGAGTCAGACCAAGGCAAAGGAATTTCGTTTTTACTAAGACCACATCTTTGCGCCCCTAGCACCCGGTGTGATGCTGTTCACAAGGAACGGTGGGCTCTGAAAAGACACCTGGGGCTTCTCTGTGGGGCCCACAAGGATATTCCCAGAGACAAGAGTGCAACAGATGGGCCTCCACTCGTTAAGCTGGGGGAGGCCTACTACGTGCATTCATGCTGTCCCATGTGCGCCTGTGAAATGCCCTGAGCCCCATCTTAAAACCAGGGAACAGGCTCGGAGAGGGTGTGTCCCATCCCCGGAGTCACATGCTAGGAAATGGCCGAGCTAGAATCTCAACCCAGCCTTTCCACAGCTCAGGCTGCCTCCCAGCCCTCTCCTCAGCATCAGGGTCAAGGAAGAAAATGAAGGAGGGCCCTGGTCCTGGGAAGCCTTAGGATGGGAGAGGGGAGACACGGACCTGCGCTTGACCTTGCTTGTAGTGTTGGCCCCAATCAGAGGCCACCAAGAGCAAAGGAGCTGGAGGGAGAGAGGCAAACAGGAGCCCAGGAGGTTATGACAGACAGGACTAGCTGGATTTCCTAGGCCAAATAAGAATTCCTAACCCTAGCTGGGGAAGGTGACCACTCCCACCTTTAAACACCGGGCTTCTAACTCAGCTCACACCTGACCAATCAGGTAGTAAAGGGAGCTCACTGAAATACCAATTAGGCTAAAAGCAGGAGGTAAAGAAACAGTCAAATCAGCTATCGCCTGAGAGCACAGGGGGAGGGACAATGATGGGGATATAAACCCAGGCATTCGAGCTGGATTGGGCAACCCCCTTTTGGTCCCTCCTTTGTATGGGAGTTCTGTTTTCACTCTATTAAGTCTTGCAACTACACACTCTTCTGGTCTGTGTTCCGGCTCGAGCTGAGCTTTAGCTCGTGGTGCTGATCGCAGTCGTCACAGACCCACCGCTGACTTCCACCCCTCTGGATCCGGCAGGGTGTCCGCTGTGCTTATTCAGCGAGGCTCCCATTGCCGCTCCTGATCGGACTAGAGGCTGGCCATTGTTCCTGCGTGGCTAAGTGCCCGGGTTTGTCCTAAATGAGCTGCACACTAGTCGCTGGGTTCCACAGTTCTCTTCCGTGACCCACGGCTTCCAATAGAGCTGTAACACTCACCGCATGGCCCAACGTTCCATTCCTTGGAATCCGTGAGGCCAAGAACCCCAGGTCTAAGAACAAAGACCCGCCGGTAACAGGCCCGAGGAGGATCGGCCTCCCTACAGCCAAATGCTCTGCCTGGCCTTCAGCACCCAATTTCTACCCCAGCTGTAATGTGCAACTCTGGAGAGCTGTTGAGTAATGAAATTGCTGGGTGATTAACACACAGTCAACTAAGGAGAGCCTGGGCTTCCCTTCCCAGCCAGGAAGCTGCCTGAGACTCTTCCTTGAAGCAACTCACCTTTCCCACCTGGCGAGGCTGGGCCTCCGCACAGCACTGAGGGATTGTGGGATGATGTCATCCACTGGCAACCCTCTGGAGGTGACCTCAGCCAAGAGCAAAGTGAATCCCAGGTGTGGCGCCAAGGTGAGCTCACCCACAAGGCCCCAAGAAGCCTCTCCCAGGCGTGGGTCCCTGTCTTCCTAACCAGAATAAGCAGAGAACAGGCTCCGCAGGGCTAGAGGGCCACCCAGAACAAGGGGGCTGCGGTGCTGGGCAGGGACGGCCTGAGGCGCTCTGGCCAGGCTGGTTATGTAAGGCCAGAACTGGCTGCTCCCAGGCTCCTTCCTGGAGGGCCCCAGGCTGTGAGATAAACACAATTCAATCACCTGGGCTGCCTGATGAGGTCAATAAAGCCGCCTTCGCCTTCGTGTCCAAGGCAAATGTTCCAGGGCTGCTGGCTTCCTGCCACCCCAGCCAGCGCCACGAGCTCACCCACAACCACCCCATGGCAGGGGCCTGCCAAGGCTAACTAACTTCATTGGCTAGGGCTGAACTGATTTTAAAAGGCCAACGGGCTGCCAGAAATCAACCCACCTGGAAGAAAAGGAAATGTTTTTTGTGGATTCATTGTGGTTTGAGGACTTCCATGGGCCTGACTCCCCTGTCACCAGTGTGGGCAGTGGGAAGGCCTATGGGGGCAGTGGCAGACCGGTGTGGGCTCACCTCCTGGCTCTGCCACTTAGGAGCTGGGAGACCTAGGACACACTGCTTCACCTCTCTGAGCCTCAGTTTCCTCATCTGTAAAACTGGAAAAGCTTTCAATCGGTTCGAAAATCAGCAAAATTAATCTATGGCAATGGAAGTCAGAATAATAGTGGTGGGGGCTACTGACTGGGAGGGGCTCAAGGGACCCTTCTTTGGTGACAGAATGTATTATGTCTTCATCAGAGTGATGGTTACGTGTGTAAACACAGGTGAAAATTCATCAGGCCTCTACCTTAATATTTGTATGCTTTGCTGTATGTAAGTTACACATACCTCACTAAAATAAGAAAATAAGAAAGGAAAGGAAGGAGGGAGAGAGGAAAGGAGAGAAAAAGAGGAAAATAAGGATAAAGATTCCGTCTACTTCACAGGGCTGCTGGATGACTGCCAGGTCAAGCTGTTGGCTGCCCCAGGGCAGGAGAGTGAGTGAGTGTGTGTATGTTAGTGTGAGTCAATGTGTGTGTGTGTGTGTGTGTATGTGTGAGACTCATCTCTCTCTTGAGGGCCGATTCCACACCCTTCTTGGTAAAGAAAATACAGCAGTGCAGGGGAAGCCTAGGCTACCAGGGTTCGAAGCCTAGGCTACCAGGGTTCAAAGCCTAGGCTACCAGGGTTCGAATCCTGGCTCTGCCACCTCTTGGCTGATTGACTTGGGCAAGGGGCTTCCCATCCATCAGTTTCCCCAGATGTAAAATGGGGACAATCATAGGGGTTGCTATGGGGTTGCTGAGAAGATCAAATGAGAACAAGAGCAATGCTAAGTGTGGTCTTAGTAAACAGTAAGTGCTCAATAAATGTCCATGGTTTTTATCATTATTATTAATATCGATGCTCAAGGAGTTGATCCAGTGTTTAATAAGGGTACTATTCTCCCTTCACGTCGATGAAACCAGGCTCAGAGGAGCACAGCTGGCTGGCCAAGATCATAGGACCAAGAGGAGGCAGAGGCAGGATCTGAGCCCAGGGACAGGGGGCCCAGAGCCCATGCTCTTTCCAAGGCATTGCACTGCCTGGATGGGATGGGAATCGGTGAAAAGCTGAGGGGCCGGTGGCCCTCAGTGGACATGTGATGCAGGCATCCTAGTCCTTTTTCATAATCTTCAGGTGTGTCCCCTCCCACCAGGGCCCAGGTGCCTGCAGGGTACAGGGGTGCTTAGGGGTCCAGTTGCGTCTGTCCCACAAGCCTCTCCCACTCCCGTCAACACCCCCAGGACGAGGGCTCCCTGAGCCTCAGCACAGAGCGTGTGCTCACAAACTTCAGTGGAATGAGCCTGAGTGGAGGAGGGAGTCCTCAGCAGAACTCCCAGGATGCAGGGAAGGCACGCGCTGGTGGAGCAGTCGGGAGCACATTCCAGGTGGGGGACGCCAGATGGCGTCAGGGAGTCAGGCGAGTGCGTGGGAGGGTGGGGGTGTGGGTGGACAGTGGCCTTGTAGGGAGAGGTACGCAAGGGCCTGGGGAGGTGTGGGTGGGGGGAGTGTAAATGGAATGTGGTGGAGGGCCTTGAAATTCTAGTCTGAGGCATGAGTTCGATGACATCTATACAAAACAATTTTATTTGCTTTTTGAAGAGCACTTAAATAGTTCAGATTCCTGCCTGAAGTCTCTGACCTCTATGCTTCAAAATTTGATCGAATGGAAACTTAGGCGGCGGTGAGGCCTGCCGCAAGGGCTTGGGGTGGGGTGGAGGGAGGGATGGAGATTCTGCAAGCACGTGCTCCGGAGCCTTGAGTTTCAAATCCTGAGTCGTCCAGGTAAAAGTATGTGCATCTATTACCAACCAGGTGGATGTCTAAAATACATCCCTCGACAGCCAGTCACCGGGTTCTGCCCACCCCTGCTCCAAAGCCAAAGTCCCAGCACCCTCGGCCCCTCTGACTTGGGTCATCCCCCAGCTCCCACCAGGGCTTTGGCCTCTGGGTGGCCCCACACCAAACCCATCTTCACAAGGGGTGAGCTGTCTGAGACATAAACCCGTCACTCCACACTCAGACGCCCTCAGGCCTCCTATTGCTAAGAGCAATGTCCTTCATGCTCCTTAATGGGATGCCTGGGGCCCTCTACCCAGCCTGGCTCACAACCCAGGCTCAAGGCAGGCAACCTGGAGACTTCCAGCTCCTCCTCCTGGTTAAGCCACTGCTCCCCACTCCGGGCCTCCTACGGGGAGCCTGTGAGAACACCGTGACCTCCAGGTGACCTCCAAGCTCCCACCTCCCAGGCTTCCATCTGCCTGTTTGGCCACCTCACCCTAGAAGGGTGCATCCAAGTCCTCCAGTCAACTATTCTGATCAAAAAGCAGTGGCTCCCATGAGCCTGGGGCCCTGAAATGCTGGGGCCAGGGAAGTGGGGTACAACAGAGGGGAGGTGCTGAGCCTGGGCTTCAGCATCACAGACCCGTGTTTGACTCCAGTTACACCACTTAGTGCTTCATGTGGTTTTGGCCGCCTGGTGCCTCAGTTTCCCCAGCTGTAACATGGGGTGAACAGTAGTAGTTGCCTCAAGGGGTTCTGCGATGACCAATGAGATGACCATCATGAAGTGCTGACCTGCCGGGGGCAGCCTGCATGCCTATAATCCCAGCACTTTGGGAGGCCAAGGTGGGAGAATTGCTTGAGCCCAGAAGTTTGAGACCAGCCTGGGTAACATACAGGGAGACCCCTGTCTCTACAAAGAATTAAAAAATTAGCCAGGCATGGTGGCTCATGCCTGTAGTCCCAGCCACTCGGGAGGCTGAGGCAGAAGGATCGCCCTGGAGGTCGAGGCTACATTAAGCCATAATTGAGCCACTGCCCTCCAGCCCGGGCAACAGAATGAGGCCCTGTTTCAAAAAACAAACAAACAAAAAATAAAAATAAAAATAAAGTGCTGACCTAGGTGTTGGCATGCACACTATAAATCCATGAGTTATAGTATGGAAGGTACCATGAGTTATATTACATTATAAACTATCAGTGGAGAGTTCCAGTTACTATATTTTATTAGTATAAATCCTCATGAGGTTAATAATTATTCAGAGCAGTCAGAGACTGGGCAGTCAGAGGCTGGAACATTCTGTGGCCAGGTTGCCTGAGGAGGGGCCTGCTCCCTGAAAACACGGAGTTTCAGAACACTCTGTGGGGCCTCTTTCCCAAGGATAATTAACGGCCTGTCCAAAGCCAGGTTGGAGCCCAACCACCCAAACAAATGTGCCTCCCCCTCACCCCCCACCAGGCCCAGGCCAGAATAAGCGTCTTATGTCACTGATAACCACAGGCTGGGGCTGGAGCCATGTTGATCCAACCAACGGTGACCTCATTTCCTTAAGTTACAATCTCATGGTGGCGGGAGGGGGCACTGACCCCACTGTGGCCACAAACCTGCCACAGAGGGCCAGCCACCCAGAAGACGAGAACTGTGACCTTCAGTTGTTCCCAAACCTGTAGGGCTTCCTGGGGGCCACAAGCTTCTGACAACTGGAAGACCCCAAAGATGTGATGCTTTCTCCTCTCGATTGCTCTGTAAGTCTTAGGGCTCATCCTGCGGAGGCCCTTCGGGCAACTCCTATACCTTAGTAAGGAGGGAAGGGGACATTAGGGTCACTGCATCTTCATAGCTGGAGCATCTGGCCTCAGCTCCGGACAGATCTCTCTATTCATCTCTGCCTCCCTCCCTCTCTCCAGCCGCTGACTTAGCACAGGGTTGGACTCAAGGCAAATGCTCAAAAAATGTCCTCATGTTTTTTTTTGTTTTTTTTTTTTGAGATAGGGTCTCGCTCTGTCTCCCAGGCTGGAGTGCCGTGGTGCAATCATGGCTCACTGCAGCCTGGATCTCTTGAGCTCAAGTGATCCTCCCACCTCAGCCTCCCAAGTAGCTGGGACTACAGGTGTGTGTGTCCACGGCTAACTAATGTTTTTAAAATTTTTTTGCAGAGACAGGATCTCACTGTGTTGTCCAGGCTGGTCTCGAACTCCTGGGCTAAGTGATCCTCTGGCCTTGGCTTTTCAAAGTGCTGGGATTACAGGTGTGAGCCACTGCACCTGGCCCCCTTCCTCCCCTCATCCCTAAGCTTTGTACCTCTCCAGGGACTCGGTGGGATCAGAGCGTCCGGGATGCCGCTGGGAGAGAGGGAGAGGAAGTCCTGGCACGGGGGAATGGGGAGCAGTGGGAACACACTGTGCTCTTCAGAAAGAAGCAGCCCTGCCCTTGGGAAGCTGCATGAGTTGTCTGGGCTTGCTGGAAGGGCCCTTCCCCAATGCTCCCGGGCATTCTGCGGGTGGGGCCCCACCTGCTCGAGCCTCAAGCTGTGACGTCAAAACTCACTTGTTGGCAGCCCATTGCCTCAGTGCCCCACCTCATGTGGGATGAGCTGGGAATGCCACCCCACACGCTGTCAGCAGCAGGCAAGAGAGGCATCTTCTTAACTCAAAGCGGAAGAGGGGACAAGGAATTCACATTCCCTGAGTACTTATATGCCTGGTGCGGAGCGGCCTTAAAACCTTTTTAGAGTTAGATGCAGACTATGTAGGAAATGAATAAATGCACGAAGAGATATGGACCTTATGATATTAAAGTATAGCCGCACTATATTAAGTTAGCTTTCAGCTAAATAATCTTGTTTGATCCTCATAAAATATCATGTACCTGCAGCCATCTCATTTTCTACCTCCTGCCCTGCTTTAGTTCTTGTCTTTGGAGTACTTGCCCCTGATCGATACAGTCTAGTTTTGTTTGCTTGTTGACTGTGTCTACCACTGGCGTTTTCAGCTCCTCCATGTGTGGAGCCACAGAGCAGTGAGTGTGCAGGTCCAGCCCTGGGCTCCACGAGCTCATCATCAAGAAGTGAGTCCCAGGCTAGGCGCAGTGGCTCACGCCTGTAATCCCAGCCTGGGATTACAGGCTGAGGCGGGTGGATCATTTGAGGTCAGGAGTTCGAGACCAGCCTCACCAAAATGGTGAAAGGCTGTCTCTACTAAAAATACAAAAATTAGCTGGACATGGTGGTGCTTGCCTGTAATTCCAGTTACTCAGGAGGCAAAGCACAAGAATCTCTTGAACTCGGGAGGCGGAGCTTGCAGTGAGCCGAGATCACGCCACTGCACTACAGCCTGGACGACAGAGCGAGACTCCGTCTCCAAAAAAAAAAAAAAAAAAAAAAAGAAGTAACTCCCAATTCTACCTGGCAGCTCAGAAGGCCTGGCCCCTCTCCGTCCTGCCTGCTCTACCTCCTACCCTCTCCGCTTGCTCACTTTGACCTGGCTGATTGGCCTTCTTCCTGCCTTCACATACACCAGGTCATCCCTGCCTGAGGCCCTTTGCACCTGCTGGTGTCCTGCCCACAGCACATAAAGCCACCTGCCTGGTGCCTGGTCTCAGCAGATGACACATGTGTGCCTCTGTCACCTTGCTCAGAACATGACAGGCCTGCCAAGCCAAGCAGGTCCCCTCCTAGAGGGTGGGGTACAGCCTGCAGAGGCCAGTGGGTGCCTGGCATACAACAGGTACCTCATAACATTAGCAAGTCTCAACCTCTTGCCGCTCTCCCTGCTTCGAGCTCTGATTCATGATAGGGTGATCCTAAGATGTCCAGTGACTGAGTTGTACAGAGGGGAAGATGCTTGACTTGGACATGGCCATCTCCCATTAGAGGCCTGGGGGGAATAAAACCCCTTCTTCGAACCCTGCATGGCCACAGGGTCATGTCTTGGGAAGCAGACCAACCTCTCCCAGAGCTGGAAGGGAGCTCTGACTCTGGTCTACTCTCCTTCATTTGGCTACCAATACTGAGACCCAGAGGGGTTCGGCAACTTGCATAGGGTCACACAGCAAAGTAGTAATTAAGCAGAGACCTGGCCCTGGGTCTCCCAATGCCTTATCTTGTACTCTTCCCACCACTGTAAAAGGTCCCCTGGGCTTTGGCGCCATCAGGGTTAAAACAGGATCAGAGTGACCAGGAAAGGCAAACTCTCCCATGCCAGGGGAGGGCTGAAAGGTATACCCAGAAACAAGGTGAGACCAGCCCTCCTGTCTCATAGGCCTTTCAGTGTGCTGGTCAAACACATGTGGGCTAGGGAGATAGGCAGGGCTGGGAGCCAGCTCCTAACTGTATGGCTGTGGGCAGGTCCCTCCACCTCCCTGGGCCTCAATTTCCTCTTTGTAAAGAGGGGGCAGCTCCCTCCTGAGGCTGTTTGAGAACTAAAGGTGGTAATGCTTGTATAATGAGAGTCTTCTTGGGCTAAGCAGCTATGTATTTAGTTTCCTATTGTCTTGTGGCTGAGTGGAGGCAAAGGAAACCAAGAAATCCCATTAGTGAAAAAGAAAATTCCAGTGTTGAGCAGGAGAGTGGGTGGCCAGGGCCGAGCTCCGTGATGACTTTCCGGGCTGTAAACACAGAAATGAAGAGGCTTTGAAGCCTCAAGCCAGTGCCAAAGGCAGGAAGCTCCTGGGTCTAATTCCATCACAGAGGGGCGTCCGATGAGGTCGTGACTGCATAATCCTAATGGCATTCTGTTACACACACCCCAGAGCGTTTACTAGGTTATCCAGACAACAGATAATTCTAGGAATCAGGAATGGTTTAACTCTGCGTCAGCCACTGCCAGGAAGCCTGCACCGATTCCTCACCAAGTGTGGGCCTGAGAAATGGGAAGGGGGTTAGTCCAGGGGGCCGGGCGCTGATGTCAGCAACCTCGCCCCCTCCGGTAGGAAGCTGTACCCATTAGTTTCACTGAACTCTTCGGCTCTCACATCAAATGACCCTGTGATGATTCAGAGGGAAAAAAAGCCCACTGGCCAAACAAAGGGATGGCAGAGATGTGCAAATTATTTCTGTTCATCTTTGAGCCCAGGAGAACCCCCACGGAATGGAACCAAAATGTTCCCTTCAGCTTTAACAAGGCAATATTCACTTTTGCTCTCACTTTAAAGTCCTTTTAAGAAACAGAAGAGCAACCGATGCCACAGGCCTGGAGACAGAAGTTGGAAGGTTTGGAACTTGCTCTCCTTTTTAAGACTCCTCTCTCTCTCTTTTTTTTTTTTTTTTGAAACAGGGTCTTGCTTTGTCATTCAGGCTGGAGTGCAGTGGCGCACTCTTGGTTCACTGCAACCTCTGCCTCCCAGGGTCAAGCAATTCTCCTGCCTCAGCCTCCCCAGTAGCTGGGATTATAGGTGCCCGCCACCACGCCCAGCTAATTTTTGTATTTTTAGTGTAGACAGGGTATCAGCATGTTGGCCAGGCTGGTCTCCAACTCCTGACCTCAGGTGATCCGCCCGCCTCGGCCTCCCAAAGTGTTGGGATTACAGGTGTTAGCCACCAAACCTGGCCAAAGACCCCTCCCTCTTCTTGTCTGGGGTCCCAGAACATCCTGGAATGCCCCATCGGGAAAGTATGACTTACACTTCTGTCGTTATAAATCCGGTGAGCTCCGAGAGGAAGAGGAAGAGGATGAAGAGGCAGCAGCAGATGGAGACTGGAAGAAACAACAGAAATGCAAACTGTTAAGGGTGGTGGGCACTGACGAAGGGAGACCAGCCTAGAGGGAAGAGGAAAGAGGCCCCAGGACAAGGGTGTGGGGCTGTGCCCACAGACCCTCCAGAGCCCCTTCTGACTCGAGCCTCAATATGAAGCAGCCCCACCCCCTGCCTTTGGGGTACTGGTCTGGCCTCCAGGTGTGGATCAACCTGCCGACATGAGCAATCCTCCTGGGGCTGGCCCCGCTTCCTTCCAGGAGAGCTCTTTAATGCAAAGGCCAGCCAAAAGTAGAGGCTGCAAACCGGTGGCCCACAAATGTGTTCTGTTTGGCTCGAGTGACAACATATTTCACAATCTGGAGTCCACCTTGAACAGTCAGCAGATTTCACATAAAAGGCCAGCATTCTGGCTTCTCCAGAACATCTCACCCTTGTTCCCACGGAGGGTCGGAGCCCATGAGTTTGCCACAGGCCCCACCACTCCCTTCTGCCTCTCTGGTTCTGAGGCTGAGGCAGAGTCTGTGGCTGTTTCTCACCACCCTCTGTGGTGCCATCCACACGGTGCCCCTGTCCTTAGAAGGGGCTATAGACAGCGGTGCTTCAAGAGAAGAAATAATTCTTTATGGAAGTGAAGAATGGTCCAATATGCTTATTATTTCTTTACTTTTGAGACTCTGTTGCCCAGGCTGGAGTGCAGTGGCGCAATCTCGGCTCACTGCAACTTCCACCTCCTGGGTTCAAACGATTCTTCTGCCTCAGCCTCCCAAGTAGCTGGGATTACAGGTGCCTGCTACGACACCCAGCTAATTTTTTTATTTTTAGTAGAGACGGGGTTTCACCATGTTGGCCGGGCTGGTCTTGAACTCCTGATCTCAAGTGAACCGCCCGCCTCAGCCTCCCAAAGTGCTGGGATTACAGGTGTGAGCCACTACACCCGGCCGGTCCAATATGTTTAAAATGCAGAGTGTAGAACAGAGTTCTGGGGTCGGCCATGTCTGTTGTCTTTCTCTCATCTGCCTGGCACCTAAAGACACTGGGGTTTGTGGACCTTGGAGTCACTCCTTGGGGGCAGGACATAACAAGTGCCCCAGAGTCCGGCCCTCAACTCCACTCACCAGCCCCATCTCCTGACACTCCCCACAATGTCTAACCACCCACCCACAGAGAGCTGCATGCTATTCCCTAAATATGCCTTTCATTTCTGTTCCTTTGCCTGGACTCATCATCCCTCCTCCTCCATGGTTATCCTCTCTGCTTGCTGAACTCCTACTCATCCTCCCAGGCCCGACTCACATGTCCCTTTTGATGGGAAGCTTCCCCTACTCCCAGAGGTGGAGCTGGTCACTCTTTTGTCTGTGTTCCCAGCCTCTGCTTGAACATGTCCCACATTTTATCGGTTATCTGTGGCCGTTTCTCCCACTAGACTGATATCCAGAAAGACAAATACTCTGGAGTTCCAGTGCCTGGCCTGGGGCTGGGGCCTAACAGGTATTGTGTACGGCAGAGAGTCAGCTCCCAGGATACAAAATGAGGGCTGAATACGCCACACCTGAGTTTATCCCAGAGGCACTTAGTGGGCAAGAGCTCACTAAGGACTGCGCTGGGGCCCCACTGCTCACCTGCTGCATGGCCCTAAGTGAGTTACTTAACCTCTTTGTGCCTCCACTTCCTCACCTGTAAATGGCAGCAATGGTAGTACCTGCCTTATAGGGCTTCTCTGAGGATCTCAGCAACACAAGGATTGAGCTTGAAACAGAGCCCGGCAGGTAATAATTACCTGAGCATCAGCTCATGAGTAGGACTTACATCAGAGAGATGTGGGAAGGGTTTGGTGATCTGGGGAAAGTGATTCAACACATTGATTGACCCTTAGTTTCCTGCAAAGAAGACTTCCCAATCCCTCTTGCTGATTCTGCTGCATTCTCCGCAGCCTGCACCTGGACTGGCAGAGCCAGCGTCACGGATGTGACAGCCAGTTATCTCTATTATTTTTCTTAGTCTGTATCTATTTACATATATCGATCTGCCTATCTACCTATCTAAAACAAACAGCCAAACATTGATCGATTGATTGATCTATCTTCAAAGCAAATAGCCATCTATCTGTCTTCAAAACAAACAGCCAAAGATGCATTCCGAGGGAAGGGAGAAGAAAGAGAGTGTTTGCTGGGCACTTACTATGTGCCCTGTTGTGACTGCATTAACAGATGTCCTGTCACTTCACACTCCCACCACCTTGAGGGGGGCGGTGCCCATGTTAAGGGTGTGGAAATGGAGGCACAGTGAGACAAGGAGGCTGGCCCATGGCTTCACTGTGTGGTGGCAGGAGAGGCAGGACTGGAAGCCATATGTTTTAGAGGCAAAGCCCTGAGAAAAGGAACCTCAAGAACTTAGGCTCCGAGTGAAGGGCAGGATGTCCCCAGACTGCTCACTGAGTCTCTCCAACCACCCTGAGACATGGGGGATACTAGAATTACTCCCAATTTCTCCCAAACTTTGAAAAAGTTGGCCAGGCGCGGTGGCTCATGCCTGTAACCCCAGCACTTTGGGAGGCCGAGGCGGGCGGATCACGAAGTCAAGAGTTCGAGACCAGCCTGACCAACACGGTGAAACCCCGTCCCTACTAAAAATACAAAAATTAGCCAGGTGTTGTGGCAGGCGCCTGTAGTCCCAGCTACTCCAGAGGCTGAGGCAGGAGAATCACTTGAACCCAGGAGGCAGAGGTTGCAGTGAGCCGAGATCGTGCCACTGCACTCCAGCCTGGGTAAAAGAGCAAGACTCCGTCTCAAAAAAAAAAAAAAAAAAGAAAAAGTTGTACCGGGGAAGCATTCAAAGGTTTTACTTAAAAAAAAAAAAAAAAAAAAAAAAGTATCATCAGCACCATAAGACAGTGAGAAAAAAAAATTTTTTAAAGAAAAAAATAGTTAACAATGCGTATTATAAAAAAAAAAAAATCCAGCTGTATAAAAAAAGTGAGTCTGTCTCTCCTGATCTGCAGCCCCCGATTCCCTGTTACAGTTTCATGTGTCCATCCATGGACATTTAAATATATATATATATATATACACACACACACACACACACACACACACACATATATATATATATATATATATATATATATATATATATCCCCCTAAGTGAACAGCAGCGTAATGGGCACACTCTTTTCCACCGTGCTTTGCTCACTCAGCAATCTATGTCGAAACAGGTTCCACATCAGTTTACTGAGTGGCCGTGTTTTCCTTCATTTTCGAACGGCAGAGAGATAAATTTCAAATTGTTTTCTCCAGCTGCTGAACAAATCCACTGGAAGAGATCAGCTATCAATCCAAATTTCCTGGCTCCTGTTCTTCCCTTTCTCACCCGCAAACTGAGGCTATTAAACCTCTTGGAAAACTGAGCAGGCAAAACATCCTTGCTTTGGAAGCTTGCAACTTTCTGACCAGGATCATATAGGACCCACATTTCAGAATCTTTTACACCCTCCTCCCCCAAGCCCCGACAACCCATTGGATGCTGTAATGATGAACAGGCACAAAATAGGGAGTGTTGCCGGGCATGGTGGCTCATGCCTATAATCCCAGCACTTTGGGAGGCCGAGGCAGACGGATCACTTGAGGTCAGGAGTTTGAGAACAGCCTGGCCAACACGGTGAAAACCCATCTCTACTAAAAATACAAAAATTAGCCAGGTGCGGTGGCAGGCGCCTGTAATCCCAACCACTTGGGAGGCTGAGACAGGAGAACCACTTGAATCCGAGAGGCGGAGGTTGTAGTGAGCCGAGATCACACCATTGCACTTCAGGCTGGGCAACAAGAGTGAAATTCTGTCTCAAAAAAAACGAAACAAAACAGGATGTGTTCATGAAGGTCAGTGCTAACTTGGATGGGTTCAGGTCTCCTAGCTACTTTCCGTGTTCATGCTTGTAGACGTGTGTCCCAGGGTTCTAATTCTATCCACACCAGAGCACCAGAGCTGGGGGGATGGGATGGAAAGGCCTCCTGAAATCTGTGTGCTTTTTCAAGGCTCGGACTAAGCCTGGTCAGCCCAGCAGGTGGACACAATAAGTGCCAAGTCTACTCGGCAGAGACTCAAGTGGTCCAAAGGTCCCGATCACACGCATTCATGGCGTGTGTTACCCTTACCCCAGATAGAGGAGGAGGACAGAGACCAGGTCACAATGCCACTGTGGCCTCAGAGACTAGCACAGTGCCTGGCTCAGAGAAGGTATAAAATAAATATTTATTGAATGAATGAATAAAAAACACAACAGGAGGTAAAAACTATTTCAACCAGAAAGGCCTTCTGATACTGAAGGCTTGATGAAGGTTTTTCAGTCCATGTTTGGGCAAGACTCTAAGGCTCTCTAACTCCAGACTTCTTCTGAAACTGACTCAGGCATCGGACAGTAGGAATGTGACCCCAGGAGAAGGCTTGATGGTAGGAAACCTGGTACGGCCAGCCAAAGGGGGCACTGGACCTGAGACCCAAGGCTCCGAGAGGTCAAGGAATTTGTCCAAGGTCACACAGTCACGTAAGTGGAGGAGGCAACATTTAAACCCTGAGCTGTAAGTCTCCAATGCCCTGATCTTTCCTTCAGTTATTAATAGCACCCATCACAAAGTAATGAAATGGTGTGTGTCCAAGTCAGCCCGCCCTGCCCAGTCGTGTGCTCCTCAAGGACAAAGATGGAAGCCCCGTTCATCAGCACAGTCCCAGGGCTTGGCATGGCGCCTGGCCCAAGGACCTGGTTAATAAATATTTATTCACTAAATGGTAGCTAAGGGCTGGCTTCCTATGCCTCACGCCTTTCCTCTTGTGTAAGGAAATTTGCTGTCTCCTGTGCTGTGGCTGAAACTGTCTATCAGACCATGTCCCTGGAGGGCCCTTTGGCAGGACCTTGTAAGTTTCAAAAAAAAAAAAAAAAAAAAAAAACATACTCTTTAACCCAGTAATTCCTCTTCTAGGGAAGTTACCTTACAGAAATAACTGTACAAGGATACAAAAAGATATGGACAAGGATCTCCAACAAACCAGAATGGGGAATGTCTACCCTCAGGGGCTGGCCACAGGCCCCGTAGGTCAGCCAGATAACAGAATGTGACACAGCTGGAAAGAAGAATGTGGTGGCTGTTTATCCGCTGGCAGGAAAGGTGCCCAGGATGTATCAGCAGAAGAAAGGCAGGGGAAGAACAGTGTGCAGAGTATGCTCCCTTTTGTGTTTCAAACAGTGATATAGGTATATCAAAGCCTAAATAGGCCAGGTGCAGTGGCTCATGCCTGGAATCCCAGCACTTTGGGAGGCCGAGGCAGGCGGATCACTTGAGGTCAGGAGTTCGAGACCAGCCTGGCCAACATGGTGAAGCCTCGTCTCTACTAAAAATACAAAAATTAGCTTGGCATGGTGGTGGGCATCCGTAGTCCCAGCTACTCGGGGAGGCTGAGGCACAAGAATTGCTTGAACCCGGGAGGCAGAAGTTGCAGTGAACCGAGATCCCACCACTGTACTCCAGCCTGGGGGACAGAGCGAGACTCCATCTCAAAAAAAAAAAACAGCCTAAATATATTTTTTAAAACTCTAGAAAAATACACACCTGACTGTTAAACATACCAGACAAGGGAGAGACTGCAGAGATGGAGAAGAGGGAAGAGGATGGAGCCACTGGTGGACGGTAGGAATGGGGCAGGAAGCCTCATTTGATTTTTTTGGATCAGGTTCATAAACTACCAAGGCTCTTTCCTCTCATGGTCCCCTCCATATCCTTTCCTCGGGAGTCAAGGCACAAAGCTGCACAGCTTCTCAGGCCACAGGCCCTCATGTGTTGCAGGCTCCGGGAGGACAGTGAGAAGAAAAGGAGAGTCATCCATGCACTGAGGGGTTAGTACGTGCCCTGCACAAGACACATCCCGGGACACATTTAATCCCCAGATCAGGAAACTGAGGCTCAGAGAGGGGAGTGACTTGCTCAGTCACACTGCTGCTAAATGGGAGGATGAACCTTGCTCTGCCCGAACACAGAGCCTGTGTGACATGCATCCTGCCACGGGGCTGTGCTGTCCCTTCCTCAGGGCTCTCAAAGGCATCTTGCAGCTTCAACAAGCCCAGCCGGATCCCCAAGGTCCTCCCCCAACTGAGAATGGCCTGACCTGGGAGAAGTGGACTCCAATATGACCGACTGCCCGGCCCAGGACCCTGCTCAGGCAGCAGGGCTGGGACCATCAGGGGGGCAGTTCCCTCTCCCACACCAGGCACTAGGGGGGCTTGTGGGGTGCAAGGAGGCCCACCTGAGTATGAGTCGTGGCTCCATCTTCTGTGAGCTGTGAAATTTCAGCTCACCTCTCTCAGCTCATTTTCTCATTGGGAAAATGAGGCGAAAGCATCCCCTGTTTGCAAGGTGGCTTTGGTTTGTTTTTAAAACTTTTTACTGTAGAATAATCATAGATGCAAAGGTAGTACAGACAGTTCCCATACGCCCTTCACTGGGCTTCCCGTTATGTTAGCATCTTACATTTGTCAAAATGAAGAATTGAACATTAGTACAGTACCATGAACTTGGCTACGGACTTTATTTGGGCTTCACCAGTTTTCCCACAAACTCCAGATTTCTGTTCCAGGAACTGATCTGGGAGTCCACTTTGCATTTTCATCCTGGGTCCTTAGTCTCTTATCAGTGACAGTTCCTCGGTCTTTTGTGTTTTTCAAGGCCTTGCCATGTTTGAAGAGTACTGGCCAAGTATCCTATAGAATGTCCCCTGACCTGGGATTGTGAGTTTTCCTATGATTAGACTGAACTGTGGTTTTTTGGTACGATCCCATGGAGGCAAGATGCCTCCATGCATCCTATCAGGGGCTCACGATATGCACGTGGCTTATCACTGGTCATGCCAACCTTTCTCACTTGGTTCCTCACTGGCACTTGCCATATTTCCTCAGTAAAGGCCTTATTTTTCCTTCCCATTCTCTATTCTTTGAAATAGAGTTACTAAGTCCACACTCAAGAGAGGGGAATTAAACTCCACCACCTGGATGGGAGAATAGCTACATACACGTTGAGTATCCCAAATCTGAAAACCCAAAATCCTAAGTGCTCCAAAATTTGAAACGTTTTCAGTGCCAACATGTTGCTCAAAGGAAATGCTCACTGAAGCATTTTGGATTTCAGGTTTTTGGATGTGGGATGCTCAACTGATAAGTATAATGCAAATATTCTAAAATCTGATATCCAAAATCTGAGACACTTGTCCTAAGCATTTTGGATAAGAGATACTCAGCCTGTATATTATTTGGAATTCTTCTGAATGGATTTGTCTCTTCTCCCCCATTTATTGATATCAATTAGGACCCACAGAACTCTTTCTTAATTCTCTGGCTTCTAAGCCAATAATGTCATTATTTATTTTATTACTCAAACTGCTGCAGGCTGACTTTCAAGTTGGCTCCTAGGTCCTGCTGACACCAGGCACTCCAGGCTCCTCTATCTTTACCCTGCCTAGCCCTGAAATCAGCCATTTCTCCAAGGAGCCATGGTTCCTTTTATTGAAGAATGGTCTTTAGAACCCAAAGTCTGGATGAGATTGTGATTTTTTTTTTTAATGGATAAAAACATGCTTTGGTGGAAAACTCAAATCATTTTTAAGGTATAAAGAGAAAAGTAAATCTCCTTCCTACCCCTGGGCCCAATTCCTCTCCCAGGGGCAGCTACTGTTTTTTTTTAGATGGAGTCTCGCTCTTGTTGCCCAGGCTGAAGTGCAATGGTGTGATCTCGGCTCACTGCAACCTCCACCTCCCTGTTTCAAGCGATTCTCCTGCCTCAGCCTCCCGAGTAGATGGGACTACAGGCATGTACCACCATGCCTGGCTAATTTTGTATTTTTAATAGAGACGGGGTTTCAGCATGTTGGTCAGCCTGGTCTCGAACTCCTGATGTCAATTGATCCACCCGCCTTGGCCTCCCAAAGTGTTGGGATTACAGGCGTGAGCCACCGCGCCCAGCCTGGCAGCTACTCTTGACAATTTCTTTCATGTCCTTCCAGATGGTGCCTGTGCCTTGAGGGGTTACAGTGAGGATAGAGAGTAAGTGAGGAAATGCTTGAAGGGCCCCCGCAAGATGCTCAGCATTTCTTTCCTCCCTCCTGTCTTTCCTTCTTTCCTCCCTGGCCCAGATGATCTGCACAGAGAGAGCAGGCACAGGCAGTGGAGATGGGGCAGAGGGCATGGCCAGAGGTTGGCTACTCACTAATGGCCCCGGTGTACGTTGGCTGCGTAAGGTCCTTGGGCACCTTCCTGTAGATGTCAAACCTGTGGAGAGCAAATGGAACAGGAGTGAGGTGGGCACAAAGGGTGGGTCTCAAGGCAGCAGGCAGTGGTGCTGGCTTGTGTGACACATGGTTCAACAAACCATGGTTCTTCCCACAGTTTTTCTGCTCTTTCAGGACACTTTCTCCAAGATGCTTCTCTGATGGAACCCCTGCTCCCCACAACACCCTTAGATCACATCCCCTTGTCATCTCTTCTTCATAACATTTCTTTTTTTTTTTTAAACAGGGTCTCGCTCTGTCACCCAGGCTGGAGTGCAGTTGTGCAATCTTGGCTCACTGCAACCTCTGCCTCCCAGGTTCAAGTGAGTCTCGTGTCTCAGCCTCCCAAGTAGCTGGGACTACGGGCATGTGCCACCATGCCTGGCTAATTTTTGTATTTTTGGTAGAGACGGGGTTTTGCCATGTTGCCCAGGCTGGTCTCGAACTCCTAAGCTCAACCGATCTGCCCACCTTGGCCTCCCAAAGTGCTGGGATTACAGGCGTGAACCACCAGATGACCCTCCCACTCATCGGTGGGTCTTCCATCAGAGTGTAACTTCTGCGAGAGCAGGGGCCTAGTTAGGTTTTGTTCCCTGCCACGTTCCCAAACCCTAGCATGGGCCTGGTGCAGAGTAGGCACTGGATAATTATGGAATGTATGGAACCCCTGAATCGGGGGTGACTCTGACGCTAGAGGAAGCAAGGAAACGCACAGCCCTGCTCGAGTTATGTGACGATGCTGCATTCTTGCTCCACGTCACCTCTCCTCCCCCTCTTCCCTTTCCTGCCTCCTCCTGTTTCCACTCCGGCTGCACCCCCCAGCTCCTGCTGTCTGCCTCATGGAGACTCTTCTTAAGAATGCTAAGGCATGAGGTTAACAGAAAGTCCTGCCAGGAGCCCACGGTCTTAGCATCAGCTGGTGATGGCTCTGGTTCCTGTCTTGTGTGATTTCTTTCCCTCACAGAAGCAGACAGATGTCTTTCTTTCCTATGGATCCCACCAGAGCACAGGGAAATCGTGTGGTGTAGTGGGAGAATTCAGGGTTTTGGAAATCAGACAGACACAGGTTTAATTCTGGCTCTGCTTCAGCTATTTAAGAGTTAAGACCCTGGAATCAGACTACCCTGGTTCAAATCTCGGCTGGTCCTCTCGTTCACCATGTGACCTTCAGCAAACGACTTCACCTCTCGGAGCCTGTTTCCTCCTTTGTAAAAATGGGACCATTAGTACTAGACCCTGTGAGGCCACGGAAAGGAGTGAGGGAAAGAAGTGTCTGTAAAGGATGTGACGCAGAGAGCTCGCAGGGGAGGCTCCCCACACACTTGGCTTCGTTTCCTTCACTTGAACCTGCGTAGCAGACAGTTCTCCCACAGCAGAGTTTGATCGACAGAACCCTCCTTAGTCCACACGGCATCCCAGCTCTCAGACAGAACTTGACTTGCTGGAGAGGCCGGCGGCTCCAGCCCTTGGGGGTGACAGGCTGGTGTGCGGTTCCTCTTTGGTGATTGGGAAACAAGAGTATGCCCAGCTAAACCCGACGCAATGCCTTGGAAACCTTGCGTAAGGGCCGATGCTTGAATCAGTGTGCTCACCCTAATTACACGTGAAACATGCTCAGTTTCCTAAGACCTCAGGGGAGAAAAATTCCTGCGGGCTGCCAAGTTCAAAGGTACCACTTTCTCTGCCGCCTGCTTAGCTCCCAGTCACCTGTGCTTGTGCCCCTGAGGGTACTAGAAGCTGGGGCTGGGGTGTGGTCGGGAGGTTGGGGGTCTCTGCAACTCACCTGTCCATATTTACTCATATCCCTTAGTCAGAAAGTGGGGGCCGCTTTAACACTGAGAGGTGTGTGAGAGGTAAGAGCATGTGCTGTGGAATCAGATGCCTGGGCTCAACTATGACCACTACTGTACCACCCTGGGACCGTCACTTAACCTCTCTGTGCCTCAGTTTCTTTGTCTATAAAGTGGGGGCAACAACAGTAACTATCTCACAGCATGGTGGTGAGGCTCAAATGACTGAGCACATATAAAGTACTTAGGCAGAGCCTGGCACCCCAGAAATGCCACGTGGATATTTGTGGTTACTATTATTATTAACGCTTGTTTGACAAACATTTACGCAGTGCCTACTAACACACCCCCTCTTTTAGGCCCTTAGGCAAGGAGATAAAAATCAACCCTTGGCCCAGTGAGTTTGTAGTTTAGCGGTAGAGGCAAAGAAAGGGAAGGAGAAGGTAGTGGCATCCTCATCACGAGGTGCTGGATTAACTCAGGAGGGGGTACCTGACTTGGCCTGGGGTCCTCGGTGAAGCTTCCTACAGGGGGTGATGTGTGCACAGAGCAGGAGGGGGAGAAGATGGATGGGTGGAGGGAAAGAGCAGCCCAGGCAAGGAGAGGAGCAGAAGCAAAGACAGAGTAGGACCGAATCTGGGAAGCTGGGCGCTGTCCTCTCTCCGGCACAGGGTACAGCCCGATGTGCAGGGAGAGGAGGACGGAAAACTGGGGCGGGGCTGGAGGAGAGGGTCCTGAGGGCCAGGCTGTGGCTAGGGAGTCTCACACCAAGTGTCGATGGGGGCCGGCGGGCGGTCTACTGTGGGAGACTGTGAGAGGTCAGCAAATTTGGGAGGTAGGGGTGGGGAGAGGGAATGGAGAGAAAACAAACCAGCAGGCGGCCATCACCGAGCCCCAGCTGACACCTGCCAGGTAGAGATGCGGGCTCAGGAGGCCAGACCTTCTGAGTGTCCAAGAGAAGCCAAAAATGTGGAATTTTACATGGAAGTTCACCATTCTCAAATGCTGGGCCAACACTCTACAGGACAAATGAGACGCGTCTGCAGATGACATGAGGCCTGGGGCCTAGGCGGTGACCATTTGAGCGGAGAGGCCTTGCGGAGCTGGAAGAGGATGTGGTCCGCCTCGTGTCATAGGAAGGCCAGCCTGGGCCAGTGGGGAGGGCATGTGGGTTCTCCTAAGACTGGAGAAATGAGCAGCAGGAAAGGGCTGCAGCGGGAGGGGTCTCGTCCTCACTCCACCCCAACTTCGTGTTAGACCTTCAGAAAATCCCTGGCCCTTGCTGGGCCTCAGCTTCTCTGAGTATGAAATGAGGGGGTGCACAGGGGATCTAAAAGTTCCCATGCAGATTAAAGCATGACAGCCGTGTCCTGGGGCTCGATACCCCAGGTGGCTAACAGCCCAGCTTTTGTCCAGGTCACCATCAGGGACCGACAAGCAGAAACTGGGCCTCGCAGTTTAAAAAAATACAGAAACTGCTGTACACGATGGCTCTTGCCTGTAATCCCAGCACTTTGGGAGGCTGAGGTGGGAGGACTGCTTGAGAATAGGAGTTTGCGACCAGCCTGGGCAGCATAGAGAGACCTCATCTCCACAAAAAAAAATGAACAAAATTAGCTGGGCATGGTGGTGTGCGCCTGTAGTCCCAGCTAGTCAGGAGGCTGAGGTGGGAGGATCACTTGAGCCTGGGAGGTTGAGGCTGCAGTGAGCTAAGATGGTGCCAATGTACTCCAGCCTGGGTCACACAGTGAGACCCTATCTCAAAAATATACATAAAATAAAAATTAAAAAATAAAAAATATAAGAACCATTGTTTCAAAACTGGAAGTCAGAGGCTGCTCTGGGTGAGGAGGCAGCAGTGGCTCGGGGCAGAGTGTCTAAGTTCAGTCAGGGTGAGGAAGAGAGAGATAGGAGATTGTTACATACAGAGAGACTGGTCAAACATGTACATGTACAAGGATAGTGGGGCCAGGTGCCTCACTGTCAGGGAAGGGAGGTGAAAACATGGTATTATAGTGGTAATGGAAATATCAGTATGAATTAATCATTTTCAATATACCCAAACACTGAAATATGCACATGTATATATACGTATCATATATACATACATTTCCTAGCTCTTTCCATAGAGAAGATCCAGCAACAGCAACAGCCCAATAGCAGTGAGTGTAACGAGCACCCAAACCTTGGCTTCTAATCACTATTCTCTACTTAAAGCAGTCAGAGCTCCTTGGAATGGCTGATTCTAGGCTGGGCAGGAAAAATACAAGATGGGCCTGGAGCACCTTCTTATGTCAGAAACCAAGAAAGTGTTCAAAGAATGAAAAGGACATGTCAAAAGGACAAGAAGAGGCCAGACACAGTCAGTGGCTCATGCTTGTAATTCCAGCAGTTTGGGAGGCCCAGGTGGGGGGATCGCTTGAGGCCAGGAGTTCAAGAAAAGCCTGGGCAACATAACAAGACCTCATCTCTACAAACAACAACAACAAAAAACAACAACAAAAGTTGGGCGTGGTGGTGTGTGCCTATAGTCCTAGCTACTCAAGAGGCTGAGGTGGGAGGATCATTTGAATCCAGGAGTTTAATGCTATGGTGAGCCTTGCACTCCAGCCTGGGCTACAGGGTGAGGCCCTGTCTTTAAAAAAAAAAAAAAAAAAAAAAAAAACTTGGGGTTCCCACTGGCCGAAGAATAGACAATGTGAGCATCAAAATAAATAACAATCATCACAGATTATAAGCCATTGGATAAAACAGAAAGGATAAAACATACATAGAAATAAAGAAATGAACAAATCAAAACTTTGATAAAGACAGGATATTGACATACCTTCAAAGCACTTCCCCCAGAAAACGCTTATTAATTACAAAATGGAAAGAGTAACTGTGCAGTGGAGAAATTTGGCAGACATCGTCTTTTTGATGGGGGCTGGAGGGACAGGGTCTCACTGTGACCCAGGCTGGAGTGCAGTGATGTGATGACTCACTGCAGCCTCAACCTCCCAAGGCTCAGGCGATCCTCCCACCTCAGCCTCCCGAGTAGCTGGGACTACAGGGATGCACCATCATGCCTGGCTAATTTTTTAATTTTTTTGTAGGGATGGGGTTTTGCCATGTTGCCCAGGCTGGTCTTCAACTACAGGGCTCAAGCGATCTGCCCGCCTCGGCCTCCCAAAGTATTGGGATTACAGGCATGAGCCACTGTGCCTGGCCCAGGCATCATCTTAACCAGGTGAAGACAGTGGGCACCGGAAGCATGGAGACACATCGGCACCCTGTGCCTCCTGATATGCCGCACTGAGGAGGGCACAGCACCACTTCTGGGGGATCCTGCCTAAAAGGTACAGCTTCAATCTAACAATGAGAGAACATCAAACAAATCCAAAGTGAGGGGCAGTCTACAAAAAAACAAAACAAAACAAAACAAAAACTGGCTGGCATTTGTCAAGAGCACTCAGGTCATAAAGCACAAGAAAAGATGGGGAAACTGTCACAGATTGAAGGAGACTAAAGAGACATGACAACTAAATCCAATGAGATCCTGGATCAGAAAAAGGCCATCAGGGGACACCTGAAGAAAGTTGAGTACGATCTGCAGATTGGCCGGCAGCACTGTCTAATGGATTTTCCTGCTCTTAATCATGGTATTGTGATTATGTAAGATGTTAACATCTGGGGATGCTTGGGTAAAGGGCATACAGGAACTCTGTACTATTTTTGCAGTTTGGCGGAAAAGTCTGAAATTATTTCAAAACAAAAAGTTAAAAAAGTATTTCAAATGGAAATTTAAAAAAACATGAAAGACAGAGATGCCACTTAATCACACTTAGAGCATGCCTATAATCCCAGTTACTCAGGAGGCTGAGGTGGGAGAATCACTTGAGACCAGAAGATTGAGGCTACAGTGAGCTATGACGACTCCACTGTACTCCAGCCTGAGCAAAAGAGTGAGACCACCATCTCTAATAGTAATCATCATCATCATCATCACCACCACCCCACTTAGCCTGTTGTCTTCACATATGGCTGGTCCTTGTAGGCACCTGAATTTGAGGTGCTGAATTTTAGGTGCTGGTTTAACCCTGACTCCTGGGTGTCAGGCAGAGTAAGTCTTTGCTGGGCATGGGGACAGGGGTAGGGAGGCAGGCTGGGCGATGATGACGCTCTAAGAGGGAGGTGAGATTTGGACCAAAGCTACAGAAGGCAATCAAAGGAAAGAGTAAATGATGCTTAACCATAATCACTTCCATTCTATGCTGGGCACTTTGACATACATATTTGCATGTATTTCTCACAAAACCCTGGAAAATACTGATATCTCATTTTTCCAGGGAGAAAATGGAAGCTCAGAGTCACCAAGCCAGTGAGTGGCAGAGCTAGGATTCAAACCCAAGTCTGAGTCCACAGGGCATGGTCCTTCCACTGCCCGTACTCTGGGAATCACCAGTTTAGAGCTCATTTTTTGGTAAATCAGATGAAGGTCTCATGGTTTTGCTCATCTGCTTTTCCAAGGATGCTGCCCCAGAGCAGATGAGAGTCACCTGGAAGACAGGGACCAGTTCAAAATTCATTAATTCATTCAACAGCCATTTGCTAAGCACCTAATATACCAGGCAGTGTTCTAGACAGTGGGGAAATGAAAGTGATCAAGGCAGACACCACCCCATGAAGCTGCCAATCTAGCAAAGCTTCTGGCTCCTTGGGAGTGGCCACCTCAACACTACGTACTGTAATACTGACTCCATTCCCACGCCACAGAGCCACGCTGGGCAGCAGTGGTGGGGTAAAGGGAGAGCTCAAAAAGACCCTAGTTTCAGAACTGACCACAAGCCAAGTGAGTCAGCATGAATGTCACTAAGAAAATGGGTTATCAGGAGGCTGGTGAGAACCCCAGGCATGTGACAGACCAGGAAGTGAGCCGTCCTCCCTGGCTGACATTAGTCAGTCCCTTGCTGCGGTGATGTGACCAGTTGTGACCAGCTCTCCGTCAAGAGAATGTGGAGGAAAGGGTGAAGAGAATGGAGGAGGGAAAGGGGTGCTTACAGCAAACCTGCTATATACTAGGGCCACAGAGGCCTTCGACCAGCATGTTCACATCTAATTGTCTTGACTGACTTGCAAATTAGGGATTATTGTTCCATTTTACAGATGAGGCTCAGAGAGGCTGGAGACTTGGCTAGGCTCACACACCTATGAAGTGCCACGGCAGAGATCTGAATCCAGATCTAATTTATGGTCCTGTTGCTTTTCCCCCACAGTGTGGGGACAAATCAGGCCCATTTGGGTGGAAAATATTTGGAAGAAAAGTTAAAGATTTGGACTGCTTAGCCTCAAACACAGAAAGCTAAAGGACGGATTATAATAAATATTTATTATTTAAGAAACACTCCCTCCTAGCCCTCCCCGGCCACTGGAGTATGAGTTCTCAAGGGCAGGTCCCAGACCTTTCCTCTACTGCCCTCCTCGCTACCCAGTCTAGGCCCTTGGGGAACTGAGTCCATGAATGGATCTGCACAAGCATAAGGCCCACTGGATAGCCTTAAACATGAGACTAAGATAAGATGGGCAGTGGTGAAGCTGGGCGGTGAGTACACCGTGGTCCCTGTACCGTTTTCTCTACTTTTGTGGATACTTAGACAGTTTCACTTTTTTTTTTTCTTTTTTTGAGATGGAGTTTCGCTCTTGTTTTCCAGGCTGGAGTGCAATGGCGTGATCTCAGCTCATCGCAACCTCCGCCTCCGAGGTTCAAGCCATTCTCCCGCCTCAGCCTCCCGAGTAGCTGGGATTACAGGCATGTGCCACCATGCCCAGCTAATTTTGTATTTTTATAGAGATGAGGTTTCTCCATGTTGGTCAGGCTGGTCTCGAACTCCCAACCTCAGGTGATCTGCCTGCCTCAGCCTCCCAAAGTGCTGGGATTACAGGCGTGAGCCACCGCGTCCAGCCACATTTTCACTTTTTAAAAAGGAAAATGGGCCAAAATTAAAGCAAGAGAGGAACCAACTGGACTTAAGAAAAACTAACCTGGATGCCAGGGGTCAAGGGAATGGGAGTGGGGACTGGGGCTAGCTGGGCACGCGGTTTATCCCCTGCTGGGGCAGAACCCAAACAGAGACCCCATAGGGCCCCCTGCCCTCAACGCTCCTCACGGTCAGCTCTCTCAGGGATTCTGAGATCACTGTGTCCAACCCGTTCGCTTTACAGAAGAGAAAGCCAAAGCCTCAAGAAGAGGTGTGCCTTGCTCACTTGAAGGTGCAATTAAACTCAGAGTATTGAAAACAAAAACAAAGCCAGGTGTGGTGCCCACGCCTGTCATCCCAGCACTCTGGGAGGCTGAAGTGGGTGGGTCACTTGAGGTCAGGAGTTTGAGATCAGCCTGGCAACATGGTGAAACCCTGTCTCTACAAAAAAATACAAAAATTGGTTGGGTGTGGTGGTGGTCGCCTGTAGTCCCAGCTACTTGGGAGGCTGAGGTGGGAGGATTGCTTGAGCCCAGGGAGGTCCAGGCTGCAGTGAGCTGAGATCATGCCTCTGCACTCCAGCCTGGGAGACAGAGTAAGACCCTGTCTCAAGAATAAGTAAATAAAATAATAATAATAATTTTTAAAAATAAAAACAAGCCCCAGAGCGGGCAGATCACCTGAGATCAGGAGTTCGAGACCATCCTAGCCAACATGGCAAAACCCTGTCTCTACTAAAAATACAAAAATTAGCCAAGCATGGTGGCAGGTGCCTGTAATCCCAGCTACTGGGGAGGCTGAGGCAGGAAAATTGCTTGAATCTGGGAGGTGGAGGTTGCAGTGAGCCAAGATCACGGCTCTGCAGTACTCCAGCCTGGGAGATAGAGCAAGACTTTGCCTCCAAAAAATAAATAAATAATAAAGTAAATAAATAAACACAAGCCACTAAAAAGCTTTCCAATCAATCCTTGTTAGTGCTCATGTAAGGAGAGGTTTTGCCTCTCAGTGGACATTTGTCTTTTGGGCCGTCGCTGGGTGTGGGGTGCTACTGACATCTCATAGGTAGAGGCCAGGGGTACTGCTAAACATTCCATGGCACACAAGAAGGTCCCCCCACGACAAAGAATGACCAGCCCCAAGTGTCAATAGGGTTGAGGCTGGGAAGCTCTGTTGTGTGCGGAATAAAACCTCCCACATAGAAGGTTTCCCATTGATCCCATGCTCTCTCTGAGGGGCCTCCAGCTGCTCCTGCCCCCGATGGGTGATGTCACAGCCACCGCCTTGATGGCCTCCATGGAGACCAAGAATCTGGAGTTAGGCAGTGTTTCCCTCCCTTTTTGCTCTGTGCCTGAGAAGGCAGCGCTCACTTGGAAAAAAAACAAAGCAAAGGAACCCATAGGGAAAAGATGAAGTCCGTCTGAATTTACTTTGTGACTTACTGTAAGGGCGTGGTAAGTACAAGTGTCACTATGTTAATCAAAAAGGTGCCAAATCCACGTCTCTAGCTTCCTCACGCCTTAGGATACAGCAAATTCCATGAGAATGTACAGGAAGGTCGGTGCTAAAAGTCAATGAGAACATAGGATTTCCTTAACAGAAACCCACTTTCCGGGCCACATCTTGCCTACAGAGTGAGGAATGGCTGCAGAGCCCAACCCCGAATAAACACGTCTTCCCCTGCTCCCAAGCAAGGAAACTGCCGCTGGAAATGTCTGACTAATGGATTTCATCTGTAATTTCTTTTCATAGCAGAATGCCTCAGCTTTGCTATTTTAACTTTTGCTGCTTGGGACCTTAGTTCTCCCCTGTTCTTGCAGACGAATCTCGGATCACTCTGTGGTTCGCCATATGTGGGCGGCTACCGGGCAGGCACTTGTGATGTCACTGTTTCCAAGGCTTAATGAAATTAGATGCCATTTCGGAGCAAGTCATTGGAAGTGGTGGGTCATTTGTCCCAAAAATAGCCATCGAGGCTTTTAGATGAAACTCTGGCTGGTCAGCCCTGGCCACCAGCCTGTCGGAGCCCTCGGTGCCGAGTGCCAGGGAGTGAGGCGAAAAACTCACTCGTTTGTTCACCTACTCATTCCCTCCACCTTACTGAGAACCACTGGCCCGGGGGCTGTGCTAGTGTATGTGTGTGCATGCGTGTATGTGTGTTGGGGGGCACGAAGGCAAATGAACACACCAGAGCCAAGTGGAGGCAGGCGGGAGGGAGCCCTAGAATCATTCTCATCGCCCCCCTCAAATCCTGACCTTGACATTCATACTACTAAGATGAGTTCATACCACTCTCTCCCTCTGTCCAAAGGAAAAAAGGTCCATCTCTGTCTCCAGCCCAGATGGAGCAACTTTGAGGGAGGAATAATAATAATAATATAATAGTAACAATCACAGCTATGACTGCTGCTACCCCCCTTGCGAGGGCTTACTGCGCACGAAGCCTCGGCTTACACTTTGCGTTCAGTATCTCGGATCACTTTCATAACCCTGTATGGTAGACAGTAGCATTCTTTCTGTTTTACTTGCCCAAGATGCAGGGCCAGGACTTGAACTGGCACAGTCTGGCAGTAGAACAATTCTTCTCACCCCTGGGCCACATGCCTGCCTGGAAGAGGGAAACAGGCTGGCAGGTGAAGGAGTGAAGGCCTGGATTTATGAGAAATCTGGGTGACGACTCCTGGTCTACATAGCACATAATGCTGATGTCACCAACGCATATAAGGTTTTCTCCCTGCAGCTCTCTCCCTAGACCTTGGTGCCCATGGCATGGCCTCCCAGCTCCAGCAGCCTCCACTTCTACCCCAATCATCCCCACATGTGACCTCTCCCATCCGTGATAACCCTTTCTGACCACAAAATCTTGGCCTTTCCCCTCCCCTCCTTCCCACAAAGACCAAGTCTGGACAAAGAGGAAGAAGAGTAAATCTGACTGCTTGACTTCCGGAAGGCCAGACAAACCACACTCCCCATCCCAAGGCAGCTCCCCAGTCTCCACAGGCTCTGGGGACTATACCCGGCCCAGCCCCAGGCTGGCTGCAGGGTCTTCCACTCTTGCTGGGCTGGGTCAGATTTGTCCTTGAATCTCCTGTGGGTCACGCAGGGCCTGGCCCATTAATAGCACTCAGTGAACTCCAGGTGAAAATATAAATTGACATCTACACAAGGCTATGTACCACAGCACCAGCTGTAATAGCAAATGACGGGAGGTCATCCAAACATCCAGCCAAAGGGGACACTACAGATCACCCATAACGCAGAGGGTGATACAGCTAGATGGGAAAATGACACTGTCACAGGGGAATCTCCAGGATACAGTAAGAGGAAAAGGCCAAGGCAGAACGCTGCATTCTGTTACATTTTATGTGTGTGTCCCTGTGTCAGGGGGGTGGTGCTTGAACCTAGGAGGTGGAGGTTGCAGTGAGCCAAGATCGTGCCATTGTACTCCAGCCTGGGCAACAAGAGCAAAACTCCATCTCAAAAAAAAAAAAAAAAAATATATATATATATATATACACACACACACACACACACACACACACACATATATATAATATTTAGAGATAAATTTGAGAAAAAAGTACAAGACCCATATACTGAAAATACTGCTGAGGGAAATTAAAGAAGACATGAAAGCAAAAGTAAATGTGGAAATATAGACATGTTAGTGGGTCAGAAGATTCAACATTGTAAGGATGGCATTTCTTCCCAAATTTATCCATAGATTCAACTCAATTCCAATCAAAATCCCAGCAAGTATTTTTGTAGAAATTGACAAGCTGGTTCTAAGATTCATATGGAAATACAAAGGACTTAGAACAGCCAAAGCAACTGTGAAAAAGAACAAATTTGGATCTGATGTCCAGACTTACTATAAACCTTCTAGAGGAAAACATAAGGGAATATCTTTGTAAGTTTAGGTTAGGCAAAGATTATCTTTTTAGATGAGACACCAAAAAGCTCAAGTAATAAAAGAAAAATGATAAATTAGGCTTCATTAAATTTTTTTTTTTGAGACGGAGTTTCACTCTTGTCGCCCAGGCTGGAGTGCAATGGCGCGATTTCGGCTCACTGCAACAACATGGATGATTCTCAAGATAATTATGCTGAATGGCAGGCAAACTAGGGTCCATATGGTATGGTTCTGTCTATATAAAATGCTAGAACATGCCAACTAATCTAGAGTGACAGCAGATCATCAGCTGCCCAGGGAGAGCGGAAAGGACAGGGAGGAGCAAGCTTTGGGGTGTGGTGTAGATATCCATGATCTTGGCTGTGATGATGGTTTCATGGACGTATACATATGTCAAATTTTTCACATTGTACACTTTAGACATGTGACATTTATTGTAAGTCGATTATACCTCAATAAAGCTGTCTGAATAAAACATTTTAATAACAGCCGTGATTGAAATACATCCCATACATTAAGTGATCCATGAGTTCATAAGGATACTTCCTAAAAACAAGTAACAAGCCTTGTTGGACACCTTTAAGATCCTACACCACCAACTCATTATTCTGAAAATTGGTAAATAAAGAGAATGCACTTACTCTGACTTTTTTTCTTGGTATAAAATGTATTTCTAGCTAGCCAAATAGTTGATGAGGGCAACGTTCTGTTTTATAGAATAACTTCAAAGAATGTATGCAGAAAGACTAAGAGAATTAGAAAAATCCTCTTTGTGCATCCACTGATGAAATCCTGGCTCTAGACAATAATCAGCAACGACAGGAAACTTCCTAACAGATAGACCAGGCTGCCCCTGCCTGAATGCAGTGATCCATCTGCCTGCCTGAACGCAGTGATCCATCTGCCTGCCTGAACGCAGTGATCCATCTGAGCATCTCAAAGAGAAGAAAGCCAGTTGTTCTGTACCTCTCAATGTGACACAATACAAAGCACACAGCAGTACCCAGGAATGCTTCTTGCCCAGAGAACTGACCCTGAGCCTAATCAAGGCTCCAGATCTAACCACCAGTTTACAGAAAATACCAGGAACAGGTTACATGATTCAATAAGCCCAATCCATAATGCGGGCATTCTACAGAATAAATGACCTAGTTTCTTCAATAAATAAAGGACGTGGCCAGGCATGGTGGCTCATGCCTGTTATCCCAAGGCAGGAAAATCTCTTGAGCTCAGGAGTTCCCTGGGCAACATAGTGAGATCCCGTCTCCACAAAATATTAAAAAATTAGTCAGGTGTGGTAGCTCATGACTGTAATCTGTTACTTAGGAGGCTGAGGTGGGAGGATCACTTGAGCACAGGAGTTTGAGCTTTAGTGAGCCGTGACTGCACCACTGCACTCCAGCCTGGGCAACAGGATGAGATCCTGTCTCAAGAAAGCCCACAGGCAATAGGTAGACCTTGTTGGATTCTGATTCCCTTTAACCCTAACCACTTACTTTCACTTTCCCAGCCTCCTTTGTGGCATGGGGTGGCCATATACCATTGCTCTGACTGATGATAATAAGCAGAAGCCTGCTGGGGGGGTAGGGGGCTTTTGGTTTTATAATCAAAGGGTCACACATCACCGGCACTAACATTTCTACCCCAACCCCATCTTCCTGTCCTGGGTGCAGACATAACATCTGGAGCTGGGGGAACTCCTCTGAGACCATAAGGGAAAAGTGCAGTTGAGAGCAGAGATAAAAACTCTGGCATCCTTGAGATGCTGAGCCAACACCAGAAGCAAGCTACCTCCAGTCTTCTTGTTACATGAGAAAAAAAATGAAAACAAAAAAACTCTTATTTAAACCTCTTCTAGTCCACTTTTCTGCTACTTCAGCTAAAAAAGCACCCTTATAGATAGCATGTAAAAGAAAAAGCAGAGGAGGTATGGAAAGCCCTTGACTTTCTGCCACTCAACAGCTGGAGAACTTGAATGAATTACCGTTCTACCTGGAAGGTTCTGCCTTTGCATCTCTGTATGGCTTGCTCCCTTACTTAAGTCTATTTTCAAATGTCATCTCCTCGGGGGAGCCTGTGCTTACTCTGCCCTCTTCTTTTAATTTTTTTTTTTTTTTTTTTAGACAGGGTCTCACTCTTGCCCAGGCTGGAGTGCAGTGGCGCGATCATGGCTCACTGCTGCCCCAACCTCCCTAGGCTCAGGTGATCCTCCCACCTTGGCCTTTCAAGGAGCTAGGACAAGCGCACACCACTGCACCTGGCTAATTTTTGTATTTTTTTGTAGAGACGGGGTTTTGCCATGTTGCCCTGGCTGTCTCAAACTCCTGGGCTCAAGCAATCTGCCTGCCTCAGCCTCCCAGTGTTGGGATTACAGGTGTGAGCCACCACGCCCAGCCTCTGCCCTCTTCTTTCTTCTCAGCACTTAAAATCACTCCCTGATGTTGAGTTATGTGTATCTGCTCACTGCCTGACTCCATCAGAATATGTCACCAGAGAGCTGGAACCCCATCTGTCTACATCACCAGGGCCTAGAAAAGTGTCCGGCATAGAGTAGGTTCAGGAGAAGCACTTGTGCAATGGATGAAGAAGGCAGCATTTCTCAAAATGTGGTCCAAGGACCACTGCCTCAGAATCTGTGGGAAGCTGGTTACACTTAGATTCCAGCCAGGCATGGTGGCTCATGCCTGTAATCCCAGCACTTTGGGAGGCCGAGGCGGGTGGATCATCTGACATCAGGAGTTCAAGACCAGCCTGGCCAACACGGTAAAACCCCGTCTCTACTAAAAATACAAAAAAAGTAGCCAGGCGTGGTGGCGTGTGCCTGTAATCCCAGCTACTTGGGAGGCTGAGGCAGGAGAATCGCTTGAACCCACGAGGCAGAGGTTGCAGTGAGCCAAGATCACGCCACTGCACTCCAGCCCGGGGGACAGAGCAAGGCTCCATCTCAAAAAAAAAAAATTTGCAGATTCCAGGGCCCCACTGTAGAATGAACTAAACTGGTGAGGGGTGAGGTGGGCAGGGCAGGAATCTGCTTTGCTGAAAAGCACAGTTCAGGAGATGCCCATGCGTGCTAGAATTCCTAAGGTGTAAGGCATGTGTTTATATCTAACTTCAAGCAGATTTCCTAAGACTTTTAGCCTGCACCCACCTGAGTTACCACAGGTCAACAGAGGGACGGGAAAGGGGACTGGCATTTCCTGGACTCCCACCCTATGGGCCAAGCACTGCTTAGACACTTGGCCTACTCTGTCCACAGAATCTTCCCTACTACTCCTGAGGTTCCTTCAACAAATGCAGAAACTGAGGCTCAGAGAGGCCAAGCCACTTGCCTAAGCTCACACAGCTAACAAGAAGCAGAGTCAGGACTGGAACCCTGGCCAGCCTCATCCTGGAGACTGAACACTGATCCTCCCTGGCCTCCCCAAAGCTCCCCACTGGGCCCTGGGAGCCTTGGCTCTCTGTACTCATCGCTGCTCTCCTGTGCCATGCAGGGCCCATGCTGACAGCAGGCCGTGGCACTGGGTGAGTGAGTGAAGGATGCAGGGTCCACGGAGCTAAGGAACTGTGGTGCTGTGTCACCTGGAGGCCCTGGCTGGGCAAGGCTGGAGAGGGGCCCCTCACCCCCACTTGCCTCCCCAACCTGCAACAGACAGATGAGCTCAGGCTTGCACAGGAAGAGGAAAGGCAGCCAGGGCTTGGCCGGGAGTCAGGCTTCCCGCTTGTCAAGGCCACAGGGAGTGCTGGGCTGGGGGGAGCAAGGGCCCCCCAAGTGTTTCCAACTCACTGGAAACAGGACACGGCCTCCTGGCCCCACACCGGGATAGAACAACATCCTGTGTGCAGATGCTATAAATGGAAATGTATTCTTAGAGGGGCAGAGCATGAGCGGGGTTTTTCAAAAGTGGCCCATCATCGGATAAAAATACAGACGGCATTTAAACGCTGAGCGGCAGGAGCTATTCCGGGGACTGGATTCTCATGCCCGTGGCTCCCCGCCAGGCACGGCCTTTCACAGAGATTTAAAAAGAATAAACTGTTGGTGTCAGTGTTTTTAAGTTTAGGAGGGGAGTATTTAGGGGAAGGAGCCATGCCAAGATGCCTGTGAAAGGTGCCCCTTTTGGGGACCCCAAGTGTCCCTTGACCTCCACCTGCCCAATTGATTCAGCTTTGCTTTGTGCTATGAGACCACCTTTTTTTTCTTTTCTTTTTTCTTTTTTTCTTTTTTTTGAGATAGAGTTTTGCTCTTGTTGCCTAGGCTGGAATGCAGTGGTGTGATCCTGGCTCACTGCAAGCTCCCCATCCCGGGCTCAAGCAATTCTCCTGCCTCAGCCTCCTGAGTAGCTGAGATTACAGGCATGTGCCACCACACCAGGCTAATTTTGGAATTTTTACTAGAGGCAGGGTTTCATCATGTTGGCCAGGCTGGTCTCGAACTCCTGGCCTCAAGTGATCCACCTGCCTCGGCCTCCCAAAGTGCTGGGATTACGGGTGTGAGCTACCAAGCCTGGCCTGAGACCACCTTTTGACAACACTCTCAGTGACCTTGAGAAATAAGTCAAGGCTGAGTTCTGGTGAGGCCTGGGGTAAAAGCACAGTGCAGGATTAAGATTTTAAGAGGGGAAGGAGAATGATATTTACTGAGCACCTCCCATGAACCCAAGTAGTAACTCATATTGTCTCATCTGATCCTCAAATCTGATCCTCAAAACCATTCAAGGTATAAACACTAGCTTCATCCCCATTTTTACAGAAAAATAAAACTGAGGTTCAGGAAAGACTGTGTAGAGACAGTGACTCAGACTGAGGCCTTGAGTACAGGCAGACACATGGGGACGAGGCTGGAGGAGAAAGGGTGGAGGTTCCTGCAAAGCTTCATGGCCCCCTGAGGCCCGAGGTTACTCTATCTCGTGGCCAAGCTGGGGTACATGTCCTCGCCCATCTGAACACAAGGTTACTGCACTGGGCTGGGAGCACAGCGAAGAGACCTGAAGGGGCAGGCAGCTAGCTGTGCACTTTAGAAAGCAAGATCTGGCTCACAAATGAAAAGGTGAAACTCTCCACACAATCCCAGGCAAAAGGGCTTTAGGAAAGGGGTCAGAATGTTTTCCTTGTGGGCCTGGCTGAGAGGCTAGTTGGTGATCACTTCCACTTCGGCACATCTCAGTGTTGTCACTTTTTCTATAATAAGCAGGTTATAAATGAAAAGAAAGACACAGTCAGGGCCTGTCTTAGCAGATCTGTCTTTGGCTGTGTGTTATCTGCCCCTCCTTCTCACCCCACTGCCCGCCAACATTCTTTGTTCCCCAAAGACCACTGCTATTCCAGCTTGGTGCCATCTGTCTGCATCACCCCCTCTCTCTCCTTCATCAGCTCACAGTACTTTGCATCCTCTAGTGCTTACTGTGGACCACACACTGATCTAGGTGCTGGGAGCACATCGGAGGTCAGACACAAATCTCCCAGTCTTCACCTAGATTATCTCCTAGTGGGAGAGACCAACAGTGAATGAACTCATATATGTCAGTGCTGATAAGCGTTATGAAGAAAAATAAAACAGGTTAAGGAAATAGTGTAATGCCAGGGCCCTTCGGATGGGGCTCATCAGACAAGGAGATCATGACATGCAAATGGAGATCGGAATTAAGTGAGACAACAGCCACAGGGATAGCCAGGGAAGAGCATTCCAGGCAGAAGGGACAGCAAGTGCAAAGGCCTCGAGGCAGGGAGCGTATCTGGCAGGTTCCTGGAACAGCAGCGAGGCTGATACAGCTGGAGTGGCCAGTGAGGTCAGAGGTCTCGGGCAATTGAAAACTCAGCTCACGCATCCCTTTCTCTGAGAAGCCATCTCCAATCAGCCTCAGGCCGGATGAAGTGCCCCCACGGGGACCTCTGCAGCCCCTGAGGTCTCCCTGTTACTACCGGGCACATGCGATGATTGATGTCACTGAGCATGCGTGGACTGCATTCACAAACAACAGCACGGCCCACACTGCCTCATTAATACTATTGGTGTCTTCCCCTCAAAGCTGTGAATTCCTCAAGGGCAGGAGGTTGTCTTACGCATCTTGGGGTTCCCCAGGGGCTGGCACTGTGATCTGAAGTGGCGAGCATCATCTTTAAGCAGCAAAAGGCCCGCTGAGCCAGGGAAGACTGTGAGTCTTTCCTGAGCCAAGAGCTCACCTGAGCTGTGCAGGCAAGTACCCTCGGGGAGCCACTTGGCTTCCTCACCACCCACCAGCAATGAGGCTTTGCAGAGGAGATCCAGGCAGGCAGGCGGGGAGGAAGGGAGTGGCTGCGAGAGGGAGGGAAGGGCTCTGCTCCCCGCTCCCCCTGCTAAATTTCCCATATCTGCCTCAACTTGTGCTTTCTTCAACAGTTCATGGCATAACTGAGCCCCTGCTTTGAGGAAAGCCCACATGAGAAAATAAAAATGTAAAACTAATTCATCAGGCAGTTATGATTCATAGAGAGGAAACACCTTTCCCTCTGAAAGAGATTCCAGGAAACGTCAGCATCCCAAGTGAGTTAACAGACCGGAGCGTTGGTCATCTAGCAGCTCACATCAGCAAATGAGAGACAGCCAGGCCTTACATGTGGGACAGAAGTATACTTGTCTGGAGTAGAAAAATGCCTACTGAGAATAGGCAGGAACTGGAAATTAGAGAAGTGGGCTGGGTGTGGCCTGTGGCAAACTGTGGAGTCCATAGAAAGCCTCCCAGCTTGGCACATGGCTGGAACCAAGGGGTCCGAGGGCAGCCCGTTAAGTGAAACCAGAAATCTGGGGAATTAGGTAAAATCACCAATTAAAAAATGATGGCAAGTGTTTCAAAAATAAAATAATACGCAAAGCAAAGGAAACACTTCTGTGGGTCAGATTTGGCCTGAGTATTATCAGTTTGTGAACTTGGCCTTAAATCTTGAACGTGAAGTATTTTTGTATCAGAATAGTCAGTAGAATGAAAGATACAGCAAGAAGAGAGAGAGAGACATAAAAGTTATAGAGCCAGAAGGGAGCTTCAAGATCATGGAGTTCCTGTGTGGTCAAGAGGTTTCATCTCAGGGATCAAGTCTAGTGGCTGCCAGGCTGGTAAGGCTGAGACCCAACTCTGTTGGAGCCCTGAGATAGATTAGCAATGTCTGCCAAGGACATGGGAATAGGAATATTTGCTCTACACTTTCTGGGTTTGATGAGTCCAGATGCATCTTAAAGGCAAAAACTGATCCAGAAAGCTGTACCAAATTCCCTAATGTCACAAGGAAGAACGGGTGTCCCATCTGGGGCTCTTCTCATGACACCCCCAGATGCCCCTAAACATTTTGATCTGCAGTCTACCAAAAACTTATCTTGGAGAGAAGCCATCTCTAAACCAATAATGCAAGTGGATAAGAAAATTTGATTTTTACAGTGATTCATTTTCTCCATGACTTCTTAGAGACAACATCTTTTCTAAATAGCAAGGAGAGTCTGAACCCTGACAAAGCCATCTGAGGCTGCTACCTCTGGCACACGAAATATCCCAGCTGAGGGACCTGAGCCCAGCCGAGGGGTCTGGCGCCAGAGGGAGCCTGGACCCACCAGAGAGCCATGGCTTGCCTCCCAGCTTGGCCCTCCCCATCCCACTCGGTGTGAGTCATGGCTAGCGACTTCAGTGTGCTGGCTGCAGAGTCCTCAGTTTTACTTGGCTCCTGAGCAAAATGTACTTTTCCAAAGGACACTCATTCAACTGAAGCTGAATTTTGCAATTCCCTGGCAGGGGTGAGGCCAGCCTCCCCTGAGCACACGCTGTCCTGGGGAATGGGGACCAAAGAATGTTGTTGTCACCCCCCTCACCTCCTCCTTCCTCCTCCCCAGGGGGGAAGATCTGTCTATACACTGGCAGAGCCCTGGCATGCCTGCCATTCCCTCAGCCTCTGCTAGTCACCCAACAGCAACCATTGCCTCCCTCCAGCTCCCCACGCAAGGTGCACTCCTGAACTGGATTTCAAACTGCACCTGACAGCAGGCCTGGAAGAACCACTGGAGAAGATGATCCCACAGCTAAGCCAGCCCGGGAAGCCCCCGCAGAGTGCAGAGCCACGCCCTGCTGCACATCACTGCTGGGGGTTGTGGTGGCTCAAGCACCAAGTGCATCGTGAACCTGTTTTTCTTTTTTCCCTCTTTTAAAACATAGGCTATATTTTTAGAGCAGTTTTAGGTTTACAGCAAAATTGAGCAGAAGATAGCGATTTCCCATATCCTGCCTGTCCCCACACATGCACAGCCTCCCTCACTATCAACATCCTGTACCACAGGGTTCATTTGTTATGATTGATGAATGAACACTGACTCATCATTGTCTCCCAAAGTCCATACTTGACATCAGGGGTCACTCTTGGTGTTGTACATTCCTTCGGTTTAGACAAATGTCTAATGACACGTATCAATCACTGCAGCATCACACACAGTTTCACTGCCCTAAAAATCCTCCGTGCTCCGCCTATTCATCCCTCCCTCCCGCAACCCCTGGCAACCGCTGATCTTTTACCGTCTCCATAGTTTTGCCTTTTCCAGAATGTCACAGAGTGAAAATCATATGGTATAGAACCTTTTCAGATTGGCTTCTTTCATTTAGTAAGAGGCATGTAAGGTTCCTCCATGTCTTTTCACATTTTTCTAGCTCATTACCTTTCAATCCTGAACAATATCCCACTGTCTGGATGAACCAGTGTGCTTGGTATTTCAATCCCCACGGATTTTCAGAGCCAGGGGCTCTGCTGTCTCATGCATTAGCTGCATGACTTTGGACAGATTTTTCTCTGAACCGCCAGTGTTTTACATCTGTAAAATGGGGTTAAAATACTGCTTACCTCACAGGAGTAAGGATTAAATGCAGAAACGCATGTAAGGCTTGAATGGCAGCTCCCAGCACGTAGCAAGCGCATGGTGGATGTGAGCTGTGATTATCATCATCGCTAGCGCTGCGACTGTCACTACATTCCTGAGCTTTCTATGGCTTCTCTCTTCTGCAGAGCAGCATGGAGGGGAGTAGAGACAACCCAGCTTTCGGCTCAAATCCTGACTCTGCTAAGCAACTGGCTGAATCTCTTGGAGCCTCAGTTTACTCATCAGTAAAATGGGGAGGGGCATTACGTCTCCCTCCTAGGGAGATTTTGAGAAACAAATGAGATCACAAATTGAAATGTAGAAAAAACCCTTGGCATTCAGTAGGTGCTCAAAAAAGGTCAACTGCTCACTGTGAAGGAGAGGTCCTCTGTGCTTCCTGTGAATAGCCCTGCTGAGCGCAGAATGCAGGGAAGGGAAATGGTGGGTATATTTGCAGATGGAAAGGGAAATCTAGACCCACTGCCCAGCACCAGGATTGAGAGCCCCTCTGCTGGTTCATGCTAGGGCAGAGAGAGAAGGGAGAGGTGAGTGCCCTCCTGCCCAGCCCAGCCAGGACCCAGAGGACAGGGGGCGGCTAGGACTCGGGGGTGGAGTAACACCTCTGCAGTGAGCCAAGGCCTGCCTGGCTGTCTTCTTGGTGTCAAATGACGGCAGAGGCTGGAACACTGAGGCAGTGGCCAAGGCCAGCCAGCAGTTGTTCTTGCGGCCTCCAAGGAGTGGAAATAGGGACAGGGAAAAGTTACGGGCAGCAGCCAGCAGTTCACAGCAGGTTCTGTGGAATTGCTGGGGCTAAGCAAGGACTCCTGTGCTCTCCTATGAATCGTCCTTGGCCTTTCATCCAAACTGGACCTGCCCACCTGGGAGGTCCACCACCCCCGCCTGTACCCAAAGGGATCACACCCTGACCATGCAGTGTCAGTGATGCCAGGAGGGAGGGGCTGCCAGCATCCCCACTTTCCAGGTAGCACGATAAAGGTCACCCAAGGTGGCATTGCTGGCAAGCACTGGAGGTGGAACTCAAACCCTTGGCTTGCAGAGCCCCCACAGCCTGAAGCCAAGCCAAGGTCTGCAAAGACTCTGCATGGCCACTGCTCTCCATCTGCATCATCTCCATCTGCATCATCTCCATCTGCATCATCATCTCCATCTGCATCATCTCCATCTGCATCCCCTTTCATTTCCACATTCATGCATTTTTTCATGCATTCATTCAGCACCTGTTCTGCAAATATCACTAGCACCTGCTCTGCTAATGATAAAAATGGGAGCCAAACAAAGGCAGTCTCTGCCTGCCTGGAGCTAGAGTCAAGAAAACCTCCACTGAGAATGCAGAGTTACAGAATGAGATAAGCATCGGGGAAGGCCCCTGGGCCGCCCGTGCCTCCACTAGACAATAGACTGGAGAGTATACAGGTGGTGAGCCTGGAGCTGCCCTTTCTGGGTTCAAGTCCCAGCTCTGCCACTTGCTAGCTGTGGCCTCGGGGAATTCACTTCACTGCCCTGTGCTTCAGTTTCTCAGGCTGTCAAATAGTGCTCACTTCGCTGGCTTGCTCAGAGGGGGTTCACATGTTAGTACAGGGAAAAGGCTTAGCACAGCGCCTGGCCCCCATGGGGGAGTGCTTCCCCTGTGACGCAGCTGCAGGGTGTAGGGTACATGGAGGACCACAAGCATTTTCTTCCCAAAGGAGAAGCTCCTTCTCCCCCACAAATCCCTCTGAAGGCTGCCTCTGCAAAGAGGTGGCACCAGTGGACACAGGAAATTAGGCCAGAAAGAGGGGCACGGTGCATTCCCCATAGGTCCAAGATGAGAGAAAAACCAGGGCAGCGGCAGGGGCCCCCACCAGATCATGGCTGCTGAGGGCTGTGAGCATCTCCCTCCCACACCCACCTCCCTCCGCTTCTCTCCCCACTCTGCTCTCCTCCTGCCTCTCCCCAGTTGGCCTTTCCTTCTGGACTTTGCTCCAACTGTCTTGACCTCTAGAGCATGGAGCTGAGGTTCTGAATCCCAGAAACACTTGGAACATTTAAATTAAAATTTAATTGGACTCGGCAATACCAAATAAGAAAAAGAGAGTTTATACTCACTCAAAGGATCTGTTAAGAAATTGTACATAGGTAGTACAAATTTACCAACTTGCATGGGAAGGATAAATACCACATTTAGGAGAGTATTTCTCCTGGGATGGGATGGAGATGGGTCAAAATGGAAAGTGCAGACAGAAGAGGAATATAGGGGCTTAAGGTTTGCTTCTCAGGATGGGAGGTGGGTGTGATTCTATATGATTCTATATGTCCAAAATAGTCTATGAAATAAAAAATAAGCTCAAAAGTACCCCAATCAGGTACTATAACAATAAAAAAGAATGAAGCACTGATCCGACCACATGAATGAATCCCACAGATGGGACATGGGATGAAAGAAGTCCAACACACACAGATCAGATCATATGATTCCACGTGTGTGACCTGAAGAACAGGCAAGACTAAAGCAAGGGGAGGGAAGTCAGGAGATAGGTCACCCCGTGGTGGGGGTGCTGGCTGGGAAGAGGCATATGCAGGAGCTTTCTGGGGTACTGAAAGTGGTGTGCACCTTGATCTGGGGGTGGCCACATGGGGGTATCAGGTAAAAAAGCCATTGAGCTGTATACTTAAGATAAGAACACTTTACAATCTGCAATACCTCAATTTAAAAATTCCTTAAACATTTAGAAAGAAAGAAAACCAAGTCATCAGCCACATTTGGGAACCCTTTGCACTGGCTTATGTTAATATTAAAGAGACTGTTTTAGAATTTCTTTCTATAGGCCAGGTGCGGTGGCTCACGCCTATAATCCCAGCACTTTGGGAGGCCAAGGCGGGTGGATCACCTGAGGTCAAGAGTTCGAGACCAGCCTGGCCAACATGGTGAAACCCAGTCTCTACTAAAAATACAAAATATTAGCCAGGCATAGTGGCGGGCGCCTGTAATCCCAGCTACTTGGGAAACTGAGGCAAGAGAATTGCTTGAACCCAGAAAGTAGAGGGTGCCGTGAGCCGAGATCGTGCCATTGCACTCCAGCCTGGGTGACAGAGTGAGACTGTCTCAAAAAAAAAAAAAAAAAAAAAAAGAATTTCTTTCTATAGCAATTTGATATTTGATTCCTTCATTTGATCACTTCCTCTGGGAAGAGCGTTGAGCAAGGCTTTGCAGCAGATACACAAGGGAACTGCTCCAAGGCCTCAAGGACATGAAAATAAGTCAGGCTGACCCAGGCTGGAATCTTAATTTGCTCTTACTTGCTGTGTGAGCCGGGCTTAAGTGATGTCCCTCTCTGAGACTCAGTGGCCTGATACGCAAAACGTGGTTAGGACAAAATGAGACAGTGTTCAGCACTGTGCCCAGCATATAATAGGTGCTCAAAAAAAAAGGGGGGGGGACATGTTAATATGGTTCATGCTTTAACCCTCTACAACAATGTTTTTACCAACTGCAGATGACGATGACTAGTGAGTTAAAAAATCAAAGTAGTAGATTGCAACCAGCATTTAAAAAAAAAAAGACAGCCCCTATATTCCTCTTCTGTCTGCACTTTCCATTTTGACCCATCTCCATCCCATCCCAGGAGAAATACTCTCCTAAATGTGGTATTTATCCTTCTCTTGCCTGTAATCACTTGAGGCCAAGAGTTTGAGACCCAGCCTGGCCAACAGGGTGAAACCCCGTCTCTACTGAAAATACAAAAATCAGCCAGGTGTGGTGGTACGTGCCTGTAATCCCAGCTACTGAGTCTGAGGCATGAGAATCGTTTGAACCCTGGAGGCAGGTGGAGGTTGCAGTGAGCTGAGATCATGCCATTGCACTCTGGGCTGGGTGACAGAGCAAGACTCCAAAAAAAAAAAAAAAAAAAAAAGACTACAAAATATTTATTGTCATTGTGTGTAGTAAGAGAAGAACCGTTGAGGTGTTTGTTTGTTTGTGTTTTGAGATGGAGTTTCCCTCTGTGGCCCAAGCTAGAGTGCAGTGGCGTGATCTCAGCTCACTACAACCTCCACCTCCCGGGTTCAAGCGATTCTCCTGCCTCAGCCTCTCGAGTAGCTAGGACTACAAGTATGCACCACCATGCCCAGCTAATTTTTTTGTATTTCTAGTAGAGAGAAGTTTCAGCATGTTGGTCACGCTAGTCTCAACCTCCTGACCGCAAGTGATCCGCCCGCCTCTGCCTCCCAAAGTGCTGGGATTACAGGCGTGAGCCACCGCGCCCGGCCATGTTGAGTTTTCATGTATTGTACACTGGGTTGTGATATAAATGTATTTCTTCAGAGAGTAGATGTCAAAAGCGATTAAAAGCCCTGGCCTGTTGAGCCACATGCAGTGCTGTGACACAGTAGGTACCAGCTCCGTGTGACAAAGCCCTGCTCTCGGAATTAAGTCAGAATAACAACATACCAGGAGGATAATTCTAACACCTCAAAGAAAGTCACACGTTTGGTTTTTTTCTTTCTTTTTTTTTAAAGAGCCAAAATGCTATGAAGTTGAGAGATCAGGGGCAGCTGCCTGGAAGAAGTGGCTTCAGATCCGGACCAACAAAAATGCTGACTTGAATTCCTGAAAGAGAGAGGTGGGCTGGGCCACGGGAGGACTCCTGGCCACTCAGCCTGAAGGTGCGGCTGATCGCGCCCAAGGGTCCTTTGTCTCCTGGCCGTCAGGAAGGAGGTGGGTGGTTCTGGGAGGCTGCGCAGTGGTGTACCTGAGACGGTTTTAGGTGGAACCCAGATTGGGCAGCAAATAACACAAATCACCCACAGAAGAAGTGATTATTTTTCCACTTTTCTTTCAATTCTCATAATCGAGTTTAGAAAAAAATCTCATTTGGTACTAGTAGGTCTTTTTACACTTAATAATCTCACTTTTTAGTAAAAAGAAGACTAGGCCAGGCACGATGGCTCACGCCTGTAATCCCAGCACTATGGGAGGCCGAGGTGGGCGGATCACTTGAGGTCAGGAGTTCGACAGCAGCCTGGCCAATATGACGAAACCCTGCCTCTACTAAAAATACAAAAATTAGCCAGGTGTGATGGTGTGCTACCTGTAGTCCCTGCTAATGGGGAGGCTGAGGTTGCAGTGAGCTGGGATTGCACCACTGCACTCCAGCCTGGGTGACAGAGGGAGAGTTCGTATGTATGTATATATGTGCGTATAAATAAATAGAAGGCTCGGCTTCAGGCACAGAACTGTCTACCAGCAATAGCTCTGTGCTAGAACTTTCATCTCACTGCTTTGACTTTCACAGGTACCTTGGACTCATGGCAGGTGATCCTGGTCTTCCATTTTAGAGAGAAGGTAAATTGTTTGCCTTTTAAAACTCATCTATGCAAGCTTTTTAAAAAGTGAGTCCATTTAAATAAAATACAAAGCATATAACAGTAGGAGTAGATGTAGGTGTGGCACAAACTGTGACAGTAGCCCTAGAGTGATTGAAATTTGAGAAACACTGGTAAGGACGTCCCAAATTTGAGGTTGGGGAAGTTTTTCATATCCTGACATCAATAAGTAGCACTAAAGGACACATTCCCTGCTGAGTCAGTAGAGAACCAGGCTCCCTTCAGGAAGAGAAAAGTCAAGGCTGGCCAGCCAGCTTGCTGTGGAGAATTCTTCAAGGAAAAGGGATCTTACAGCTGAAGGGCATCCACCTTTGTGCTCGGGAGTGCTCACCACCATTGCCATCCTCACCACTGGGCCTTTCTATAAACACATGCCCATTTGTGTGGTCTCGATGGTGTAAGGAAGTCTCCACCTACATTTTCCTCTACTGCACTTCCTTATCTCCCCCCTTATCTTGTGCCATCTTTTTTTTTTTTTTTTTTTTTTTTTGAGATGTAGTCTCACTCAGTTGCCCAGGCAAGGTGGCTCACGCCTGTAATCCAGCACTTTGGAAGGCTGCGGTGGGCAGATCATTTGAGGTCAGGAGGTCACCAGCCTGGCCAACATGGTGAAACCCTGTCTCTACTAAAAATATAAAAATGAGCAGGTGCAGTGGCATGCACCTGTAATCCCAGCTACTCGGGAGGCTGAGGCAGGAGAATCGCTTGAACCCGGGAGGCGGAGGTTGCAGCGAGCCGAGATCATGCCATTGCACTCTAGCCTGGGTGACAAGAGCAAAACTTCATCTAAAAATAATAATAATAAAATTAAAAAATAAATAAATAAATAAAAGTTCTTGGCAGGAATTTCTAAACTTTCCAGTGGACAAAGCGAGGCCTTGAGGTAAACTATGTCTTTCTACGTTTCTACTGAAAAGTAGTCCACACTGCAAAGGGCTTCTTCCTTTTCACTTCCTCCTCTTTTCTTTTCTGCCCTTACCTTATTCTGCCCCACCAATCACCCTGAGTTTTAGAGCTGGGGAGCACCAGGCTATCCTGGCAATGTCAAAAAATAGAGCTATGCCGTGTACACTTTGTCTAAACAAGGCCAGTAATTCACACTTGGGCTGACACACGCATTATTTACCACTTCCTAAGTACCTACTATGTGTCAGGCACAGTGCTGGGTGTCTTGACCCAAATAACATGCCTTTCGTCTTTACAGCAACGTTAGTAGATCAGTGTGATGCTTCCCATTTTACAAATAAGGCAACTGAGGTTCATTCATTCAGCCAACGAGTAGTCAGCATCCACAAGTGCCAGGCTCCATTGATGGCACTGGGGCAACAGGCATGAACAAGACAGGCAAAGCCTGCGCCTCTGAGGAACCGAGGTTCCCATGGAGGGGACAGATAATAAACAAGCCAAAGGGAGATGGGACTGTTCCAGAGGGTGGGAGGAGCTATGAAAGAGAACACGTGGGTCTGACAGAGCCGGACAGAGGGCACTGCAGGCTGGGTGAGGTCAGGGCAGAGACCCGAGGGAAGGGAGGGAGCCACTACGCCAAGTGCCTGGGAAGAGCATTCTGAGCAGAGGGAATGGCCAGTGCTTGGCCAAGACTCTGAGGTGGGTGTGTGGCTGGCCTGTGTCAGCAGCAGCGGTGGCCACTGCGGCTGGCACGCAGGGAGGGGCAGGTGGCATGGGACGAGGTCAGCGAGGCGGATGGAGGACACATCCCACAGGCCCTGCAGGCTGGGGCAGGACTCAGCTTGTTTTCGGCGGTGGATTTGAAGCAGAGCGCAGAGTGCCCAGGAGGGTGGATGAGTTTCACCCAGAGTGACCCCAGGCAGTCAGTGCCAGGGCCGGTCTCCAGCCGAGGCTGGCTCAGCCTACATCCGCTCTCGCCGGCCCTTCCTCCCCACACAGTCCCAGCCTAGGTTCTCAGGCAGAGCTCCAAACACTGTGGAACTCTGGCTATGGAATATGTTTTTGTGCTCACAAAGAAACACAGGCGTGGCTAACACCCTGGACTCCTTCCTCACACAAGATCATTCAGAAGCCCCACCATGGATCTGCAGCTCCAAAAGGACTCAAGCACCAGTCCCTCTCCTTGTCCTGACCCCAGGACCCATGCTTGGCCCCAGCCCAAGGGTGGCTTCCTCCCAGACACCTGCTGGCCCAGATTCTGCAGCAAAGCCTCAGAGAAGTCTGTTTCTTTCACGGTCACAGCTCTGAGGCTTGCACACACCGCTCCCATCCCTGCATCCAAAGAGCTCCCGTGCATGCAGTGAGGTGCAGTGGTGAGGGGGGCAGATGCAGGAGCCAGGAGGCCTGGGTTCAAACCCCAGCTCTGCCCTGGCTCAGGCAACGCTGGGCAGGTTAAATAACTTCTCTGTGCCTTGGCTTCCCAATGTGTAAGTTGTTCCTAATGACTGGTTGTGGGGATGAAGCATGTTAACAGATGTGAGGGGGCAGAATGGTGCAGGCATAAAGAGAACCCTATTCAGGGCTGGCTATGATCATCACCATCACCAAAGTCCTTCAAGGTTGCCATACCTCTCCACGCCCTCCTGCCCTCCTCTGCTAGTTCCCCGTCAGGGAACTGATGAGCCCACTTGAGCGCACTGCCTCACACACCTGAGCTACCTGAGGCTGGAGACATGTCTTGTTCACCTCTGTCCCTGCCCCTCCCTGGCACTGAATCAATGCTGTTCGGTGAAAGAATGAATAAGAAATGAACAAACATATAGGAGCATGGGATGGTTAAATATTTCTTCAAAGGTAAGATTAAAAGCTTGAAATTACTCAGGACAAGTACTTTCTACAGAAGCACCTCTGGCAGAGCTGAATAATTAAGAAAAGGCCTGTAGGCAAAGCACAGCTTAAAGGCAAGAAACAGTTGGAAAAATAGAACAGAGCTAACCCAGCCGACAAACAATCCAGAACCCCAAAGTACTGACTGTGGAGTTTGGAGTTAGAGAAACCGGGCTTCCAAATCCTGAAGCCACCACCTATGGGCCATGCTGTGGTCTTGCCAAGGCCACTGTGTACAGCTGGGCAGGCTGTCCCCTGTCCAAGGGCACCTGCGGAGGATAGCAGCAAGGGCTGCAATCCAGCCCAGGCCCAGCACATGAGGTGTGAGGGCTACGGAGGGCTCCAGGGGCCCCTTTAAGGTGATTCCCTCAGAGGTGGCAAAGAAGTGACCAGCAGCACCAGGCACCTGCGGCAGCTCTCTGAGCCCCAGTTTCATCCTGCTAAGTGGAGCCAATGAGAGCAGCCACACTTCAAAGGCTTGGGACGGCACTGTGACCTTCAGGACATTTTTTTTTCCCACCCTTCAGTCTGGAAGCAAACAGAAATGGGGGAAAGCTAATTCCAGGATGGAATATGGCCTTTTCCGTCAGCTGGGAAGGGTGATAAGGAGGCGGCCATGGGAGTTGGGGGTGGGTGGGACATGCCCCATTCACACGGAGCTCAAAGGTTCTGGCCCTAGTGGAATGTGGCTGGGTGTGGGGCTGGGCCTAGAAGCAAAGTTCCTGAATGACCAGCTGGCCAGGCCGGGGCCTGGTCCCCTCTTGGGAACCAGCACGGCCAAGAGCAGTGTCTCATCAAAACAGGAAAAATCATAGAGGAAAAATGTGCACGTAAGGGGACTGGCATGCACAGGGAACGACATGACCCAAGCACCAGGAGGAGGGAAGGGGCTGGGGCAGGTGCACAGGGGCATTTAGGGGAGCAGAGCCCTCCCCGGTAAGGGCGCCGATGACGACCCAGACCTGGGAGATCCCAGGAAGCTATGAAGGTAAGTCTGGGCTAAGAAAGCCTCAAAATCACGTCCTCAGCACAGCTCCCCCAGCCACAGGCCTTGTAGCTTTTGACCACACAGACCTTTTGACCTGGTGTGACTGTCCAAAGTACTTCAAACAGTAATCTCCCCCGTGTTACCCACAGGGCAGGGAAGCATGGACTTTGGCCCCAAACATCTGGCTGGCAGGGGCCTTGGAATCTTGGGCAGGGCCCTCACAAGCTCCCAGCCCTGTTTTCTTTCTGTGGACAACAGCGGACCCCCACCCATGCCAGCGGGGGGCTGGTAAGGTCAGCCGAGATGATGAACTTGGGTCTGCCAGGTACGCAGTAGGGCCTATGCTAACAGCCTTTTCCTCGTGTCCTCAGAAGCGGCCTGGATTAGAATCAATCATCAGGGCTGGATGCCGGCAGAGGACTCAGTGAGGGCCCCTCTGCCCCACCCCGAGTGTCTATGACTTTCTTCTGTGTCACCGCCCGGATTCAGGACTAAGTGCAAATTGTGAGTTGTTCCTCTAGCGTGTGACTGACGAGGAAGGGCCTAGTGTGCAGATGCGCAGACCACCGGCCCCTTGCTCAGACACTGCCCGAGACCCGGAATGGGTCCGCTCTTCCCTTCGCATCAAGAGTTCGTGAGGATCTGCTCACCACCCTGTAAGGGCTGAAGCTTCTTAGGATAAACTCCTTACGGTGTTTTATGCAGCTTTCATGGTCTGGCCAGCTGAGTCCTCCAGCCCTGGCACTCCCCAGCTCTCTGTCCAGCAGCCGCTTCAGCCGGCCGACCTGTGACCTCCCACCTCAGGGCCTTTGCCCATGCTCTCCCTCCACCTGGGCCTCCCTGCCTCTCAGTGGCCCAGTGAACCCTAAGCACCTTTCAGACAGCCGTCAAATACCACTGCAGTCAGGTTCCCCCGATCCCCTAGAAGACGCAGGCCTCACAGCCCCCTGCTTTTCTCCTTTATAGTCACATGTCAACTGAGAATTATACATTTAATTGGATGTTTAATTGCTGAAGCCCAAGACTCCATGAGGGCAGGGGCTATATCCCTGCCGTTCACCACCGAGTCTCGCAGTGCCTGGCACAGTGACCAGTATAAATATTTGTAAATGTGTCAGTGAGTGAATGTATGAATGAATGAGCGAATGAACAGCCTGGGGAGATGAAAAGTGAAAAGGAAGGCAAAGCAGAGAGCAGATGGGGAGACCGATTTTACTCCTCTCACTCCAGGAACCATAACGTAAGCTGTAAGACAAGAACCCGGGGAAGAAGCCAAGTTCCATGGAAGAGGGGTGCCTGGGGTCCTGGGGCCACGTGAGACCCCAGGAGGAGGGGTTCCATGACCACGTGGCCATGGCTGAGCCCTTATTGGCAGGTGCACTATTCTCATTTTGGCCTCACACAATGCTTAAGGGTGGGTGGGGGGGGCACCATTATTAGCCCATTGTTACAGGTGAGGAAACTGAGTCCCAGGGCGGTGAAGGACCTGCCCAAGGTCCCAAAGCCAGCAAAGGGTGGGGCCAGAGCTGTGACTGTTCATTGCTGCACACAAGGCAGTGAGTCCCAGGCTCAAGAGAAGTCTCCTCCCGCAGGCATGTCTGCAAGGAAGGAACGCATATTTATAAGCATCTCCTTGAAACTACTGGAGCAGAAATGTGTACTCCTCTACTGAGGAAGGATGGTGCATGGCAATGAATCGAACCATTCCAGGGATATCACCTGAGACCCTACCTCAGCTACGTCCAATGCCAAGCGTCTCAGCCCCATTCATTTCATCCTCACAACAGCCCTGTGAAGCAGTCACTAGCCCCATTTTACAAATGAGGAAACTGAGGCTTCAAGAAGTTCCCCTTATTCCTAATTTAAGATACATAAAACATGGTGGCCAGTCTCTTTACCGTGTTATTTGAATGAACTTCAGCGTACATCATGTTCCTAAGGTCTACTGGTGGCCTTGGGGCCCCAACACTGTTTTTCAAAAAGCTCTTGAATTCCCCAGCTGTGAATTTCTTGTTGTGGGGTTTCCAGGGGCCCCAACCCTTGGCTACCCCAGTGCTGTCTACAGGCCTGCAGTATGCTTCAGGCATTTTGTATGCACGGCTTAATTACGTTTCACACAACCGTGAGGCAGATTACTGCTTCTCCCACCTCATAAATAGGGATACTGAGGTGCAAGGGTAGGAGGGCAAGGCTACAATCCATTCTCAGGTTGGTCTCCACAGTCTGTCTTCCGTCTCCATGAAGGTCTGATAAGGCGCAGTCATCTCAGCAGGGAGAACCCTCCCCTCACAGCCTTTGGGAACCATTCTAACCCATACCAAAAGACTTTCGGTGCTCCCTCCTCTAAGCTGTAGGGAGCTTTTACATTCACTTGATCTTATTTTTCTTCCTGAGCAACACGCATGCTCAAGAACCTGCTAGGGCTCCCCAGTGCCTGAGGCAGCACAGGCAGCCCCATCTCACCTGCCCATTGTATCCCCCGCTCTTTCCCACCTCCTAGCCTCTCATCAGGCCGCAGAGCCCTTGGCTAGAATCCCTTCACCTCTACTGACTTCACTCCAACTCATCTCTCAAGTGTCCCTCCTCCAGGAAGCACCCTGATTCACTCCCTGCCTGTACACATTTTGCCATTTGCTTCTCTTCCAGTCAAGCACTGTTCCATGCATGGCCTTGACTCCTCTCTGGCCTGACTGACCAAACCTCACCTTTCCAACAGGGCTCTTTGCTTCTTGTGAGTAAGTTTCAAGTCCACCTGCCTGGGCCTGGCGTTCCAGGCTGGTCACAGCTTCTCCAGCCTGGCTGCCAACCCAGTCTCTCTCTCCAGTCCAGCCTCTCACAGGAATGACGTGCTGCCCACCCCTAGGGATGCAGGGATCACTGACAAGGCGCATGTCTTCCTCTGGCCTCAAGTGCTTCAGGGTCTCTCCTGCCAAGAGACCATACACTGAGTCACCAGTCCATTGTCTTTTTTTAATTGAATGGGATGTGACTTATGATTTAATAAGTGACATTTGATGAACTAAAGGTCGACATTTTCAAAACATCAAGTCGATGTGGAAAATGTGAATTAAAGAGGCCTCTTGGCAAAAAGACTGGACGCCACAGGAGCTGACAGTCGCTGGCCTGGCCCCCGCCGGGCTGCACCCAGGCCAGCCTCTGAAGCACAGGCTGAGTGGGCCGCTCACAGCCCACATGGAACCTGGCTCCCCAACACAAGGCGTGGCCTCTCTATGCTGAGGACAGGGCACACTCCTCACCGTGCCCGAAGGCTCTGCCTGCCTGGTGCATTCCCTCATCAGTGTACCACGTGCTGGACGGGCCTGGCTCCCTGCCCCAGCACCAAACCAGCTCTGCTCCTCACTAAGGCCTTGAGTTGAACATCGTGGGGAGGACCTCCTCGCACCCCACGCAAGGCTGGATCAGAACATCCCCAGAGTTCCCTGGATATTCTCGCTGGGAAAACTCTTGATCCTCCAACTGTCCATCTTCCCTGTTTAAGTGTAAGCCCCATGACAGTGGGGACCATGTCTGTGGGGTCAGCCAGGTACTCCAGCCTCAGCACAGGGCGCAGCACATAGTAAACATGCAACAGACATCTCTTACATGACTGAGTGAGCAAATGGGCCAGCGAGGTCCTGGTTAGGCCCGAGACCATCTCAGCAGAAGGGCTGTGGGTGGAGCCCCCAGCAGAGAGGTATGGGGCGTGGAGCACCTCAGGGCCATGTTTGCTGGGTCCAGATCAGGTATGGAAGACAGGTAGGCATGCTTCCTCTCCCACCCCCACTGCTCTCCTGGAAACCAGCGTCATTGTTCCCACCCGGCAGTGTGTCCTGGTGTTCTGGGAAATGCCACTCCAGGGAGGTGGTAGGTGGTGCAGTGACCTGTGACATCCCAACCCACATCCACCACTGTCCGTTGGGGGAACACAGCCCAGGTAGGTGTCTGAAGGAGAGCTGAGTCCATTTCAGGAGCCCCAGAACCCTGGTAGCTAAAAACCTGTGTGAGTCCCAGGTGGCCCCTCAGTACAGCAAGGCCTCACTTAAGGTTGTTGGTAGGTTCTTGGAAACCATGACTTTGAGGGAAACAGCAGAAGATGAAAAACAATTTCCCCACAGGCTAATGGATATAAACAAGACTTAAGTTCCTAAGGCATATTTCTGGTCACAAAAACAACACCAAACTTCCAAATAAAGATCAAAACACTTCTACTATTAGACATTAAAATACATGTGAGCTGTACATACACTTAAGAAAGATTTGTCAAAACAAGTAAGATCACTGTTTACTCACTTATTCCAGTTCCAAGTCACGGGTGGCCAGAGCCCATCCCAGCTGCTCAGGGAACAAGGCGGGAACCGGCCCTGGCCAGCACGCCCTCCCATCGCAGGGCACACACGCCCACACACCCACACTCACCCACACCGGGACCATGCGGACGTGCTGATGAACCTGACAGGCACAGGTTTGGGATGTGGGTAGGTGGGTGGGGGTGCCTGCAGAAGAGCCACGCAGACGTGGGTAGAACGTGCAAACCCAACAGACAGTGGCCCCAGCCAGGAAATACTTTTTTTTCTCATCAATGTTTTATAACAAAACATTATTCAAGGGTCTGCTGTAGTTTCTTTTTTTGTTGTTTGAGACAGTCTCACTCTGTTGTCCAGGCTGAAGTGGAAGTGGCGTGAACACAGCTCACTGCAGCCTCAACCTCCCGGGCTCAAGTGATCCTCCCGCCTCAGCCTCCTGAGTAGCTGAGACCACAGGTGCAGGCCACCATGCCCAGCTAATTTTTTTTTTTTTTTGTAGAGATGGAGTCTCACTATGTTGCCCAGGCTGGTCTCGAACTCCTGGACTCAGGTGATCCTCCTGTCTTGGTCTCCCAAAGTGCTGGGATTATAGGCGTGAGCCACCTTGCCCTGCCTGCTGTAGTTTAATCTCTAAAATGGGGGTAGAGCAACCCTGATTCACCATCCTGTGAAACTCCCACTTCGAAGGAGATGAGCAGATACACTACTGTCAATTATGCACATGGATATCTTTTTGGATGTTTCTGAAATTGCTTTTGTAGTAAATCCCATGTGGAACAATAGCAACAAACCATTTTATTGAACTCTCCAGGAATTCCACTATCCCAAGTGAGATAAACGAACTGATCATGGAATTTTCACCAGGCCCCTTGGAGGTGGGCACCACTCTCTCCAGCTCACAGCTGAGAAAGCTGAAGGAAGCCCAGGAAGCTGATGCAATTGCCCCAACTGAGCAAACAGCAGGGCCAGAGCACACTCCCAGAACTGTAAGGCCCAAGGCTCCTGCTTCTGCTTCCCACTCTCCTGACAACGCAGCTCCTTGGAGAGGCTGCTTAGAACACCAAGGCCTGGACCCTGATTCCCACATCCCATCCTCCGGGGCGGGGGGAGATGGGAATCTGCATTTTAACCAGCACATTGCCCCCAGCCCCAGTTGCGCAGACTGACTCTGTAAGCCTCGAGTTTCTCATCTGTGAAATGGGCCACTCCTTCCCTACAGGGCTGCTGTGGGGATCGAGGCAGGGAAATGCTAAGTAGTCATTTGGAAAACAGCTGAGAGGTACCTGGCAGAAGGCTCCACTGAGGAAGATGCCTCTGGGTGGCCTGACCAGCTCCTCCACCTCCACCCCCACCACGGGAGCCGTTGCGGGTATGCAGGGATTTCCAAAAGCCAGCACCCAGCACGATGGGGGCCGCAATGGGGGCTGTGGCCAGGACTCCTGTGGCTGCTTCTACTGGAGGCAGGAGCAGACCTAGGAGCCGCTCACCAGTCACTGGGGCTGCTGGGGCCAGGGACATCATACCACATGGCATCCTGCGCAATACCTTTCCAGGCAACAACAGCACGTGGTAAACCACCTTGTGGGCCTGCAGCAAAGGCATGAACACACAGTTTCACACATTTGCACACTCATATCTACACATACACACAGGCGCTTCTTGGACAAACAGGGTGACTTTCCCCAGAGATCCCCTCCCTTGGCCAAACCCACATGCCCTCTCTCCCCTGGGCTATTACTGCCAGGGAGTTTAGGTGAGGTGAAGATTCCAAAAGGACAGCTGTGACACCGTCACCCATGGGGCCAGAGTCCTTTGTGGGAACCTGCGTCAAGGTCCACACATAGAAATGCCTGTGCAAACCAAACAGTCATCACAGCCACATGTGCTGAGCACGTCGCATGGCTGCGTGCCATGCTGAGTGATGTACACGTTATCTCACTGAAACTCTACTGTCCCCCAGGAGGAAGGTACCATTACCATCCCCGCTGATGACACGGTAAGTTGTTGGCAAGTCAAGAGAGGCTTCAAGTAGGAGAGCTGAGGTTCAGACCCAAGAGGAAGACCCTGCTCATTTACTATTCAACACTTTTTTTAAAAAGGGCTTTCAGTGTCCTTGGCCCTGGGGACCTGGTAGAGAACAAGGCTGAGCCGGTCTCTGCTCTCATGTCACTGACGGCCTATGAGGGGCTCTGGAGATCAAGCTCTTAATCACTGGTCTCTACTATTTCCCAAAGGCCAGTGGCCCCTTTCAAAAGGGAGACCTCCCTGCCTGGGTCCCTGGCATCCACTGTCAGCAGGAAGCCCACTAAGAAGACTGTATGAGGAAGTGTCTGAGTTAGAGCCAGGAGACCTCTTTGACTTAACATCAGCCAGCAGAAACCAGCTCCTGCAGGCTAACAAGCCCACAGAGGGCACCTGGGCAGACCCTGCCTGCGTTTTGGAAAACGAAAAGCTGCCTCTGGGCCTCACTCTTTTCAGCTCTATCCATTCCCAAGACCATCAGGGGATGGCCTTGATGGTGTCTTTAAGCACAGGGCTCAAAGTGGGGGTACAAAAAATGCAACACTGACACTCCCTCCCAATCAAATCATGGCAATGCCCCTGGCAATGCACCTGATGCTTTGGCGGTCTCCTTTTGGCTGGTTCACCCATTGACAGGTAGAGGCCTGATCACCGTCAGAGTCCCTGCCTGGGATTTCCAGACACAGGCCTGTCTCTCCAGGAACCTTTAGAAAGACATCTCTCAAAGACGATCTCGGGCAAATCTCCTACTTGGGATGGACTCATATGAGCTGCTGACATGAGTGGAGTGCTTACCATGGTGCTTACTAACAACGCATTACTCTTGTTTTGCAAATGAGAAAGTGGCACAGACAAGTCAGTGACTGGCCCAAGGAGCTGGTAAGTGGAGCCCTTTTACCCAGGGGCATCCAGACTCTAAAAGCCACCTCCTCACTAGATGGAATTAAGTCAGTCACACTGGAAGACTGTCCTCATGTCTCAGAGGGGTCCTCGGGCACCTGAAGCCCCTGAGGTGACCATACCCCCCCACCTCCCTGTCTAGGCCTGCAACCTGATCCTGGCTCTCACATCTCCCGCTTTAAGGTCCCAGAGGTCTGCCCAGCAACAGCCCTGGGCTGCCATGTGGCCACTGAGGTCCATTTTTCCAGATGCATTGGAAATCCAATTTTTTTATTTTTTATTGAAACGGAGTCTTGCTCTGTCACCCAGGCTGGAGTGCAGTGGCGCAATCTCAGCTCACTGCAACCTCTGCCTCCGGGGTTGAAGCGAATCTCCTGTCTCAGCCTCCTGAGTAGCTGGGACTACTGGTGCATGCCACCATGCCCGGCTAATTTTTGTATTTTTAGTAGAAACGGGAGCTCACCATATTGGTCAGGCTGGTCTTGAACTCCTGACCTCAGGTGATCCGGCTGCCTCGGCCTCCCAAAGTGCTGGCTTTACAGATGTGAGCCACTGTGCCTGAATTTTTAATTTTTTTTTTTTTTTTTTTTGAGACAGAGTCTTGCTCTGTTGCCCAGGCTGGAGTGCAGTTGTGCAATCTCGGCTCACTGCAAGCTCCACCTCCCGGGTTCAAGGGATTCTCCTGCCTAAGCCTCCTGAGTAGCTGGGATTACATGCACATGCCATCATGCCCGGCTAATTTTTTGTATTTTTAGTAGAGATGGAGTTTCACCATGTTGGCCAGGCTGGTCTCGAACTCCTGGCCTCAAGTGATCCGCTCACCTCAGCCTCCCAAAGTGCTGGGATTACAAGTGTGAGCCACCGTGCCCGGCTGGAAATCCAAATTTTTATGTGAAATATTTTCATTCAAAAATGCTGACATAAAATTCAATTTTTTAAAAATGTGAGGGCCAAATAATCACATTTGTGGGCAAAACTCAACCTCTGATGCCACCAGTTTGCAACCTCCGCTTTAGAAGACCAAATGTGTCAGGAAATTTCATAAATGCAGGAAGAAAAGAGGGGTTCGACACTGAAATAAGACCTAGGGCTATATGAGGCTCTTGTTAACTCTACACAGCAGCTGCTTGGGGTCAGGGTTGTATCCCCATTTGTAGCAGAAAACAGACTCAGAGAGGTGAAGTGAGCTGCCCAAGGACACACAGCGAGTGGGTGGGAGCACTAGGATCAGCACCCAGGTCCACCAGACTCCAAAGCCCTAGGCCTCTCCGCACTACACGGTGCCCACCTCCCTCTACTCCCCCGAGCCCTCAGCCCAGCTGTCCCAGGTCTGCCTGGCAGCATGGAACAGTGCCTCTAGAACAGCCAAATCCCGGGTGGCTGACTTGTCATGCTCTGGTGAGTGTGGGGCAGGCGGAGGCCCAAGCAGGATGACGTGCCTGTGTGGCTCCACTGTGAGGGGCCTGGCCCAGGGTGGGGTGGGGTGGGGCAGGGAGGGGGCGGGTAGGCGAACCTTCTCATGCCCTCCTTTGACTCAGGGTTAACTCAGCTCTGACCAATCACCTGGCTTCAAGTGTGACCCAGTTTTGCAGCTTGGCCAACGGAAGCCAAATTGGGGAAAGTCAGGCAGGCCCGAAAGGTGGAACCAGCTCCTGCCACCTGGCTTGTTGGGTACATCAGGGCGACACTGAACCCATCCTGGGACCCTTCCAGCTTCCGTGTTTACTAATTCTAATCAGCACACGACGTTGACACACCCAACACTAGATCAGATCACGCCACCTCGGTTCTCTCACCTGTAAAATGAGGCAAATAAAAGCCCCAACTTGATGGGTAAGAACAGAAGAAGATGATATTTATAGTTTGTAGCACTGCTCCTGATACCCCAGAGATGCTGAGTGAATGTTTTTACTTCTACTATCACCACCTACCCACCCCTGTTCCCCTGCAAATGTCTAGCACTGACAGCTTCCTTCCTCCCTGCCTTCCAGAAACAAGTTGAGTGCAGACAGCGTGGGTGAGGTCTTGTGCTATGCACCAGGACAGAGAGGAGACCCACAGCTGCTGTCATTGGGGGTATGTGAGGACCTAACATTCACCAAGACACATATGACTCCTGCCATCAACTGGAAAACGTAAGGGATTCAAATTCAGAAGAGCTGCATTCCTGCAGGTGTGACCCCCAACTCTCAACCCCCCAAAGCCTCAGCTTCCTCATCTGCAGAGAAAACAATGATCCCTAGAGCACACACATCTTCAAGGGCTTTCTGAAGTCTTAGTCCCATCACTCGCTTTTGTGATGGTCATTACTAGGTTAACAAAGATTTGTGGTACCCAGTTCCAGAGTTACGCTGGGAACATAATGGGGGAACCCTTATTCAGGGTCTCCCCAGCTTGCCTGACCCTAAGAATCACTGAAGACACTGGTGAAAATGCAGATTCCCAGGCCACCTGAATCTGACTCTCCCGGATCCGCACAGGGCCCCAGGTGATTAGGGAAACTGGCCAGTTTGCTAGAGAGAGCACAGTTGCTCAACTCAAAAACAAGCAACTAAGATTTCCAGGGTTAGGTGATCTAACTGAAAGCATTACTTTCTGGGGGTCGGAAAGTAGAGCTAGGGCTTGGGTTTGTTACTTTGCCAGAGGTATGACCCTGAGCCAGGTCTTCAACTTCTCTCGGTCTCCATTTCCTCAAAATGGGAATAATTACAATGAATCCTAATGCCCAGGCAGGAGTGAAGGTGGAATGTCAGGTGTCTTCTCCCGGCTGCCTTACTCCTGTTCTGGGGACTAACATGGCTTCAAGCAAGGGGAGCTGGCACGTGGTGGCCTCCCATCAGGATAGGTAGTGGGCCACCCACCCCTCCTTCAGGCAGGGCCTCAGTAATGTCTGACTTCCCAATTCCTCAGGACTCGGTCAAAATAAATTCTTTCAGATGCACTTAGGAGAAAACTAGAAACATTTTCCAAACACAAAGGGATATAGCAATGAAGTCCTCCATTCTTGCGGAGGTGAACCCCTCTGCCACATTGCAGGAGGGTCTCAGCTGGACCCTTCCTCCCTGTCTCTCTACTTCCTTCATTCAGTCAATATTTACTGACCACCCACAGTGTGCAGATGCTGGCTCAGCACCAGGATCCAGTGATGAACACATAGATATGGCCCCTGCTCTCGAGGACTCAGACTCCATAAGGAAGACAGACACAAGATGACAAACTGCACAAACAAATCACTGCAACTGTGCTAATTGTGCCAAGGGATCTGAAGGACCTGTCTAGGTGTCATAAAAAGGTGCGGCCAGAAAAGGGGTGGCAGATGACCCAAGTTAGGTTGAAGAGGCAGTCTGGGAAGATCTTTTTTGAGGAAGAGTACTAGTTAGCCAAGCTAATCCAGTGAGCTCCTTCTCTATAAACTCTCTATCGCCCCATCTACTTTGCCTTCCTTCTCAGCACTCATCACAATGGAAAATAACCACTTGTGCAATGATTTGTTCCCTGCTGTTCTGCCCATCTTCCCCAATAGCCTGGAACCATCATGAAGGTGGAAACAGTGTCTGTCTTGTTTTCCCCCAGAATCCCTCCAATAAATTTTTGATGGAGGGAAAAAAGGAATGAACCCTACTTCCCTGGTGGTTAAATGACATCAGACCCCACCATGAAAAAAGTTATTCCCTGTTCAGCTCTCTTTTGAGTATGCTCAGAATATCAACGAGAAAGCCTCAGGGTGGCACTACTATGTCTTCAACATCTCCTCTCTCTAGCACTTGCTAATATCTCTTTTTTAACAAACCCAGCAACTTCACCAGGCACCAGATGCTCGTGAGAACCAAACACATTGCAATTATTTGTATCAATTTACAGCAGGAGCTATTGCTTTTCCATTTCCAAAGATGTTATAAGGTCACCTTTCATCAGTAAAAGTGTTAAGTTCAAAACCTGATTAATTCAAAGAAAAAATATTAAGTAAATAACACATGTGGCCGGGCGTGGTGGCACATGCCTGTAATCCCAGCACTTTGGGAGGCCAAGGCGGGTGGACCACGAGGTCAACGGATCGAGACCATCCTGGTCAACACGGCGAAACCCCGTCTCTACTAAAAATACAAAAATTAGCTGGGTGTGGTGGCGCGCACCTGTAGTCCCAGCTAACTTGGGAGGCTGAGGCAGAAGAATCACTTGAACCCGGGAGGCAGAGGTTGCAGTGAGCCGAGATCATGCCACTGCACTCCAGCCTGGCGACAGAGCAAGACTCCCTCTCAACAACAACAACAACAAAAAATATATATATATATCACATGCTGTTTAGGAATCTGCCAAAAATTATGATGATAGTAGCAGAATAGTGGAAGGGTAAAAACCACTGATTTCAGTTGCCATGGTAGAGACATGCTTATTAACATGCTCATGAAAGCACTTTCTTTCCTCTTCCTCTGGGCACACTGCTAGACTGTATTTGCTGACCTCTCCTGCAGTTAGGTGTGACCAGGTCTCTGAGTTCTGGACAAAGGAGTGTGAGCAGAAGTGATGGCCCCACATCTTGACCTGCCACCCAATTGTCCCCATCCTCCTTTCTCTCCCCACCACTGCCAGGCCAAGGAGAGGATCCAGCACACCCCAGAGGAGGACAGAGCCAGAAGACGCAAGGAGTCAAGGCCTCTGAGTACCCAGGGGGAGCGGAGCACCCCATCTTCTGCTGGGACTTCATGAGCAGTCATCAAGTCCCAGCATAAGTTACACTGAGCAAAAAATAAACGTGTGTTGCATTACAGCACTGAGATCTGCAGGTTGTTTATAGGAATTAGCTGACTTAGGCTAACACAAAGGAGGCATCTCTAGTCCAATTTCCTGCCCATCCATAAATCTTCTCTGACAGCCTGGATATCCTGGTGCTTTTTTCTGTAACGAATAGATATCAAGCACCTAACAGATGCCAGGCACAGTTCTAAGGGCTTTACAGAGGCAAACTTATTTAGTCCTCACGGCAGTCAAGAGTCACATCCTGAATCCACAGCAATGAGCTCCAGACAGGCCCACCACTGTCTACTGTAAGGGACTTAAAAGACTCTGGGTCAAGTCTCATGCTCACCTCTTAAAACACTTTCCTGCGCCAGGAGAAACCTTCCTATTCCTTTGAAGGTTACTCTTATGACATGGTTCCTATAGCCCTTCTTATTGGCTCTTCTTACAAAGGGCACAGGGCATAATCCAAAGACTGTGGAGTGGGGACCCAGATCAGCTGCAATCCTAGCTCTGCTGTCTCCCAACTCAGAGCCAAGACAGTTCCTCCTACCATGCAGGTGTGTAATGATGGTGAAATGAGATCATGACTATAAACCACCTGACATCAGCCTGGCACAAGGGGCAGGCCAGGGAGGACAATGGGTTCTTACAAGCTCCTTCTCCTGCCCCATCTTACGCTGCTGGGCTCAGAAGTGACTCAAAGTGCCCAGTGCTGGGCGTCCTGCACAGACAGCGCAGAAAGAGGCGCTGTTAAGTCACGTAGCATCACACAAGGGATTCTAGATGCTGGGAGTCAGTCCACTTCCCTCCAGGAGGGTCACTTTACAGGAATGATGGGTGCAGGGGATTGGGGGAGGGGGAGAAAGACCACCAACCCAAATGAGGACTTAACCAGGTACTGAAGGCCGACATCGCCAGAGAGGTCAAATGGATGCCATGGACCCCCATGGGATGTGCTGAGAAGGGCGCTTCACCTCTGGGGATGCTTCCCCAAAACCATAACCCTGTCCACTTAGGAAGAAACATCAGACAAACCCAGGCTGGGGACATTCTACAGGATGCCTGGCCTGTCTTCCTCAAGGCTGCTGAGGTCATAGAAAACAGGGACCGACCGAGAAACTGCCCCCACCCAGAGGAGCCTGGGGACACACAGGTTCTGAATGCAAATGTGGGACCTTCGATGGGATCCTGGGGTGCCATGAGGACATCAGTGGAAAATGGGCAAAATCCAAATAGAGCCCAGAGTTTAGAGAATAGTCATGAGCAAAGGTCAGTTTCCTAGTGGTGAGAATGTGGTAATGGAAGGTGGGGACCCTCGCGGAATGGATGTAGGGTGTCTGTACTAGCTTTGCAGCTTTTCTGTAAATCTCAGCTATTCCAAAATAAAAAGTGTATTTAGTTAAAAGAGAGAGAGAAGCAAAATACCAGAATTAAAACATGAATTTTAAATCATGAGTTGCAGGGCAGGGGTTGTCTGTTTGGCTCAGCACTATGTCCCCAGCTTCTAGAATGATACCTGGCACACAGGCCCTCAATCAATGTGTTCAACCAACAGATGACTCTATGGCCCAGCTGCTCCTGGTCTGTGGACAGGGGCCCTGGGGACTGGCCAGAGCATCCTCCGGCAAGAGGACCAGCCCTGCCCGCTGCCCACAGGAAGTGCTGCACGCCTTCCTGGCTCCCCCGGCAGGGGCTCAGCATAATCTCTCGCCCACAGATGCACAGGCTGGTAGGAAATGGTCACCAGGCCCGGCCTCCTCTCCAGCAACCAGGGCCCCCCAAGGCTTCCACTTCTACAGTCTGTTGCCCCCAAGGCAACAGACTGTAAACACAGCTGAGTAGATGGAGGGTATCCACGGAGGGGTTGCAAGAAAATCAGGGTAACAACACTCCCCTCCTGGGGCGTGATACTGGCTAAGAAAGCCAGCTTTGGCACAGAGACAGGCACTTGGGACTTAGCGGCATCACCTGCTGTTTGTGTGACCTCGGCCAAGTCCTGTCCCCCCTATATACCCCTGCGTCCTCCTCAAGAAGATGGGAATGGGAAATGGCTCCTACCTGACTTGAGGATGCACTGAGGGAATCCAAGAAAAGCCTTTAGTCTAGCACTTGATAAGCAGTGACTATTGTGGGCACTACTGTTGTCACAGCATAGCCCTGGGAAGTCACCTGAAAGACACCCCGGGGACGAAGGTATTGAAGGATGTGCAGGAAGGGTGTGTCACTCCAAAAGGACCTGGGCCAGCCCTAGGATCACCAAAGAGGACAGCAGGTCCAATGGCAGGGGCCAGTGGTGCCATTCCCACACCATCAGAGGAGGGGAGCCCCAGCTGAAACCTGAAGGAATCAAGGTCCTAGGGCCAGGCCAGGCCCCGGGTGGGAGGGGGCTTAGCATGGGATGGGGCCCCGAGGCTGCCTGTGCCCAAAGAAATTGACTTGTGGGTCCCTCACTCCTCTGCCTCCAGCCTCAAGTCCATGCCCACCAGGCCACCTCCCACGAGCCCAAGGTCCTGCCCACCCCGAGCTTGTCCTGGTCACACTGCCATGTGCGACACAGAGGCGGCACCCTGCCTGTCATAGGCTATCGTCAGCCCTCAGAAGGATTTGTTTGGTGTTTAACAGAAATAAAATTGAGATCAGTGGCCAACCATTTTCACGCAATTTATCAGATTTTCATTGTCTCTTGAAAAATCAGGGCATCTGTAGGCAGTAAGCAACAGAGCTGCATGTCAGCTGTCCCTTCCCCACAGGGCCTCGCGCTCCAGGTGGCCATGGCCCACATCTTGCCCAATCACCGACTGAGGTACTTGCTGATAGGTAGGGGCGCCTGAGTGTGTGACCCTCTGGCCACTTTCTCCCTTACCACAGACTGGTGTTTGACGTCTATGGCTGTGTGGGTACCACAAAGGGAGAGGGGTCTAACTCTGGGTCTGACCATCTCAGGTGTTCCCATGTGATTGTATCTGTGCCCTGCAAACCCCGGAGGCCCTGGTTTTACCACGTCCACCTACCAGAAGACCCACTACTGCCATCTATCACGGCTCGGTGAGGTGCACAGGACTATGCCGCCAGGAAAGGCAGAGGAGAGGGAAATGTCCTCCCGCCTCCAAGTATACTTGTCTCACATTCCACATGAGCTCATCTCACCCTCACAAAATCCCCGCAAAGAAAGTATGAGCACCCCAATTTGCAGATGAGGAAAACTGAGGCTTGCAGAGGCAAAGTGTCTTGTCCTGGGCCCCACAGCTGGTAAACACTGAGGAAGGGATTTCAATCCAGAGAGTTCTGCCGAATGAGTGCAATGTGAGGGTCAGTTCCAAGGGCACTTCACAGCGTTCCGCAGGGGACCTGTGGTCAGTCCCCAGAGGGGTTTGCAAGGGCGAAGACCATTCAGAAAGGGTGGCCAGGGTTGGACCGCTACATACCACTTTCCCCTGAAGACTTGGAGACTCTTTCTGCACACCATGAACATACTCTTGGACCCAGCAAGACATCAAAACACGCCAAATATCACCAGGGTTTCCCAAAGTTCTTAAAGGATACTTTAGGTAATTCTATATGTTGGTGTGAAAGTGGGAGGGGAGAGAAGATCTAGTGAAGAATAATAAAAATCAGCAAGAAAAATCAGCAAAGCAGGATAGCACCATGTGAGGTGCCAGGCTCTGGGACCCCAGCTCTGCACCTCACCAGCTGTGTCCTGGGCCACTCCCATTCCAGCTCTGTGCCTTGGCTTACCATTTTAAAACTGAATAAAGAAAACATTAACGGAGTGAAAACGCAACTACAGAATGGAAGAAAACATTTGCAAACCATACACCTGATAAGGGGCTAATATCCAGAATATATAAGCAACTCCTTAAACTCAGTGGCAAAAATAAACTTCTATTTTATTTTATTTAATTTTTGAGACGGAGTTTCACTCTGTCACCCAGGCTGGAGTGCAGTGGCACAATCTCGGCTCACTGCAACCTCCGCCTCCCGGAGGTTCAAGCAATTCTCCTGCCTCAGCCTCCCAACTAGCTGGGACTACAGGCGCATACCACCATGCCCAGCTAATTTTTGTATTTTTAGTAGAGATGGGGTTTCTCCATGTTGGCCAGGTTGGTCTCGAACTCCTGACCTCAGGTGATCCACCCACCTTGGCCTCCCAAAGTGCTGGGATTACAGGTGTGAGTCACCATGCCTGGCCAAAAACCCTCCAATTTTAAAAAGCACAAAAAATGTGAATGGATATTTCTCCAAACAAGACATACAAATGGCCAAGATCTTGAAAAGATGCTCAAAATCTCTATTCATCAGGGAAATGCAAATAAAAATCACAATGAAATGGCACCTCATACCTGTTAGGATGGCTATTACCAGAAAAACAAAAGACATGTTGGCAAGATGTGGGGAGAGGGAATGCTTGTACACCGTTGGTGGGGAGGAAAGATAGTGCAGCCACTATGGAAAACAGGAGGAAGATTTCTCAACAAATTAAAAATAGAGCTACCATAGGATCCAGCGGTCCCACTTTGGGGTATTTATCCAAAAGAATTGAAATCAGGATCTCAGAGACATCTGCACTCCCATGCTCACTGCAGCATTATTCATAACTGCCAAGATGTGGAAACAACCTAAATGTCTATTAATGGGTAAATATTGGTATATATACACCTTGAAATATTACTCAGCCTTAAAAAAGGAAATTCTGTCATTTGTGACACCATTGATGAAACTGGTGGACATTACGTTATGTGAAATAAGGCAGACACAGAATGAAGACTGCATGATTCCACTTACATGAAGTATCTAAAATAGGCAAATATGGTGAAACCCCATCTCCACTAAAAATACAAAATTAGCTGGGCTTGATGGTGCATGCCTGTAATCCCAGCTACTTGGGAGGCTGAGGCAGAATTGCTTGAACCTGGGAAGTGGAGGTTGCAGTGAGCCGAGATTGCGCCATTGCACTCCAGCCTGAGCAACAAGAAGGAATCTCCGTCTCAAAAAAGAGGGTGCTCTGATGTTAGGTATTCTTACCACACAAAAAATAACCAAATTAATAGTATGACTATAAAGTGACAGCATGAGATGTGAGGGGTGATAGAGATGGAGCTGTCCTGTATCTGGATGGTGGTGATTACATGATAAACAAGCCTTAACTTTCATAGAAGAGTGCACAAACACACATTAATTTTATCATATGCTAACTTTAAAAATAAAACAAAGAAAATAAATCATGAATCATTGTATCTGTCTGTAAGGCCAGTGTGATTTTATAAGTCCAATGACATGCCTAGCCCAGTGCTCAAGACATTACAAGCTGAAGGGCCGTGAGGTATTGCTAATAAGATGAGCATTACTTCTCCTCCTCCAAAGATATTCAAGACCCAGACCAGAATCTGAGAAAGGAAAGCTAATGCATGGAGGGGCTATCACAACGCCAGTCCCCAGTACATCAGGGACATCCGGGTCCTCTGACTTTACTAACTGTAATTACAGCCAGGCCTCTCATCTCGAATAGGGTTTCCACCTTTTGGAGAAACAGAATGGTTTGTCCATTTCAAGCGGATCTGCCTTCCTGTGTAGCTGTGCTGCCTGGCAGGTGCCAGGAGGAAGGCTAATTGTCAAGGGCATGAGGATTACGCTGTCAGAGGCACCAGCTGTTTCCCAGCATTTCTGAGGGTCGGTTTCCCTGGACATAAAACAGGAAGGATCATGCCCACTCAGAGGGAGAAGAGGTATCTGTAAAGGACCCCACATGTCCCCTGGCTCTTGGCTGTATGGAGAACCCTGAGTTCACCCTGCCTCTCCCGTGGGTCAAGATTTTTTTTAAACAAAGACAGCCAGCGTTGGAGGTTTTTTTCCTGTCCTGTACTTTTCCCACATATACAATCAATGTAATTAAGTTAATAGACCTAAAAGTTAAAGCTGACAACAGACAATTAGGCTAATTGCCACTTCCTTAAAGGATCAATTAGGGCTGTGTTTCCCAAACTGTGTTTTGAGAAATGGCACTAGCTGCTCCATAAACAACAGGGCATCTGAGACTATACATGTGGCAAATGTTGGGCTGAACCAAATAACTCTGGTTCGCTCAGTGCCGGACTCTTCAGAGTCCTCAGTGAGGCAGCCAGTGCGGCATGGAGGGACACAGACTGGAGGACACTGAGTCAAATCAATCATACAGACCAGGGCTTTATACATTTTAATGAATACATGAATCACCTGGGGATCTTGTTAAAATACAAATTCAGATTCCAGGTGGGCACTGAGATTCTCCACTTCCAACAAGCTCCAAGGTGCTGCTGAAGCTGGCATCTGGGACTGCACTTTGAAGAGCAAGGTTATTAGTAGAAAGTTACGGCCCCTTACTGTCCACTTCACTGGTGGGGTAACAGAGTTGCCGAAGGTCATGCAGGAGTGATGGGTGGGACGGGAACTCCACGCCCCAGCCTCCCGAGGCAAGGCTCTCCACCGCCACCCGACCTGGCTCCCCTGCTGCTCTCAGCCCTGCTTGCTATTGCTTCTCCCAATTCAGAGCACTTCTCCTCCGTCTTGGCTGTGCATTAGAATCACATGAGAGACTTTAATATACAGCCAGGGTTGAGGCTCACTGATTTAGATGTACCGGGTAAGCCTCACCCCAAATACCCTCTTCACACCCTGCCTGTCTCTCCCACGCCTGACAAAAACTGGCTAGGAGTAACTCCAAATAAAATACGAAAGGATTACCAGATGGGGAATGTAACTTAACCAGGACACAGCTGGCTAAAGCCCTGTCTCCTGCTACTACAGCACCACAGTCAGGAATCCAAACGGCCTTGGGAGGAGAGGACATTCCATCTCATTCCATGTCCCCGCGAGCAGGTAAACATGATGCTCTAAGCTGGAAAACCCCCACTGGTCAGCGTGGGAAAACTGAGCCCCTCGAGGGTGATGCCATTAGCTGGTGTGAGGGTCTTTAAAGACCATTTCAGAATCAGGTATCACGCTACATGAGGCTAGGGGGAAAAAAGTTGATGGCTTTAAGCTTCTTAATGAGCACTGTTGGGTGAGGATTAGTGAAGAGAAACCCAATGAATCCAATTAGAAGAGTTCTCAGTTCTCTCTGAATTTAGTGAATGGAAAAGAGAAAGCTTTAGAGATGAGCCTACAGGACACAGTGGAGCTCTGGTGCCAAATGGCAGTGTTCCAATCCCAGCTCCAGGAACGGGAACGACCGTGTTTCCGAACTCTGTGGCACCTCCACTGGCTCACCTGTAAAGTGGGGTAACAACAGCACCTCCCTTGTAGGACTGTGGAGAATTAAAGGGGCTGATACAGTAAGATCCTTACAACAGTGCCTGGCACTAGCAAATGTTCAATAAACCCGAAATACTGGCCTTTTCACATAATTTTCTCTCTGGTCTAATTTTTATTTTCTTTTTGCCCTGATTTTTAAGGCTATATGTGTATGTGTATGTGTGTGTATGTGTGTGTGTGTGTATGTGTGTGTGTGTTTTGAGATAGGGTCTTGCTCTGTTACCCAGTGTGGAATGCAATGGCATGAACATGGCTCACTGAAGCCTCCACCTCCTGGGCTCAAGAGATCCTTCCACCTCAGCCTCCCAAGAAGCTGGGACCACAGACGCACATCACCACACCTGGCCATTTTTTTTTCCCCATAGAGATGGGGTCTGGGGTCTTGCTATGTTGACCAGCTTGGTCTTGAACTCCTGCAATCCTCAAGCAATCCTCCCACTTTGGCCTCCCAAAGTACTGGGATTACAGGTGTGAGCTACCACACCTGGCCCATATATATATACTTTTTTTTTTTTTTTTTTTTGAGACAGAGTCTCGCTCTGTTGGCCAGGCTGGAGTACAGTGGCAAGATCTCAGTTCACTGCAACCTCCGTCTCCCGGGCTCAAGCAATTCTCCTGCCTCAGCCTCCCGAGGAGCTGGGATTACAGGTATGTACCATCAAGCCCGGCTGATTTTTGTATTTTTATTAGAGACGGGGTTTCACCATGTTGGCCAGGCTGGTCTCAAACTCCTGACCTCAGGTAATCCGCCCACCTCAGCCTCCCAAAGTGCTGGGATTACAGGCATGAGCCACAGCGCTCATTTTATATTTTTTAAAACTTGCTGTAAAGTATATGTTCTTGTCAGCTTCCTTGGAATTCTTTCTGGAAGAAACAGCAGGGTAGAAATACAGGCATTCATGTTAGCTACTCTCTGCTGAATGTTAACTCTGTGCTCAGAGGTCCCTGTGGTGGCTGAGGCTTAGCTTGGTGTAGGAACTGATGGGGCTACCAGGGTCCCATTCCCTATTGGGGCCTAAGGAATTAAGACTGGGCCAGGTGCAGTGGCTCATGCCTGTGATCTTAGCACTTTGGGAGGCCAAGGAAGGAGGATGACTTGAGGCCAGGAGTTCAAGAACAACCTGGCCAACATAGCAAGACCCCATCTCTATATAATTTTTTTTTAAAAAGGAATTCACACTGGATCCTTAGAGCAATGAGACCCATTTGAAGGTTGAAATCAGGACATGAAAATATCAGATCAACTTTGGAAAGCTCACTAGGGAGTCCTGAGGAGGTCTGGGGTATCCTGGAGGGAGAAAGACCACTCAGAAGGCCAGAGTGAAAAATGGTAGAGGCCAAACCAAGGCCCTGCAGCAGGGCCAGCCCCATCAGGGCCGCATGACCTGTGCAGGCACACAGGGTCACACACTCAGAGGGGGGTCCATGCTTGGCTGAATGCGCTGCTGCTGCCGTCCTGAAATTCTTAATACTTTTTCAACAAGGGACTCCACATTTTCATTTTGCACTGGGCCCCACAAATTATGGGCCTCATCCTGCATTGCAAGTTGCATTGCACATTGATCCTGCAAGTGTGCATTGATCACACTTGCCCCTACATCTACTCTACCAGGTGAGGCAGCGAAGTTTACATCCCCTCCTTAAAATGAAGAAATGGAGGCTCCGAGAGGGGAAGTCAATGGTCCCAGAGCACATCTGGTCAGTGCCAGTGCAGCGGCACCCCCGAGGCCTTGGGTTTTCAACATGGGGGCTGTCACTGTGGGACAGCAGCCACCTGCACCTCCCGGAAGGCAGTGCTCAGGCACCACTGGGCCTGGGCACAGGGCTTCCGGATGCTGTTATCTTCCCTCCTCACCCACCCTGGGCTGGTGTGCAGAAGGCAGCAGGTGCTACTGGCCCCAGGCCAGCCGGAACTCGAAACAACACACACGGATGTGGGTCACAAGGCTAGTTCCACAACTGCAACAGCCAGCCATTAGTGAAACAATTTAACAAGAGCAAAGCAAACACAATAAATCATTGAAAGCTCAGCCTCCCTCCCCTGCGTTCTGCCTCCTTCCTTAACCCCAAAAACAACCTAGGAACGGCAGATTCAAGGGTGGAGAGGGGAGATTTCTCCACTAATGGCTGAAAATCTGCCCACTGAAGCTGGCATATCAAGTCACGTCATGTCTATGGCTTCCTTGACAGATTTCAAGAGGCATCTCCAAGGATCGAGTTTGGCTCAAGCACAGTTCTAGGTGCTGGAGATGCAACCTTGAAGAAGCCTGATAAAAACTTCTTGCCCTCAGGAGCTCATGTACTAATGGGAGGGAGAGAGAAGCAGCATGATAATTAAGTGAATTATATAATGTGTTAGGAGATGATGGGTGCTTAAATAAAATGACACAAATAAATATGGCGGCCAAAATGGATGAGGCGCTTACTCTGTGTCTAAATGCTTTCCGCACTGCCTCATCCCTCAACTGTTCTACTTCGGTGAGTACTCTCCTCATTCCCATTTCACAGACAGGAAAACACAGAACTCAGTTGCACCAGGCTCTACAGGCAGTAAGAAAATCAGAAGTATCCGTAGGGAAGGGCAAGAGTGCACTATTTTTCCTGCTTCTGATTTTAAGAAGGGGAACACGAGCAGGACGGCTGGTTTTCTCCCTGGCCTTGAACTGGGGGAGGAGGTCTAATCACGGTATACCCCTCTCCACTCCCCACAATTCTTAAAAGAGCTGACAGGATGGTGGGCCCCTCCAATCTCTCCCTTTTCTCCCAGATCTAAGGCTTTGGAGCTAACAGCCCCAAGTTCAAATCCCAGATCCACCAGCTCATGCACTGCATGGCCAGAGCAAAGGGCTTCTACTCAGTGGAGCTCCCCTCTCCTTTGATTTAAAATGAAGATTAAAACTCCCTCTCTCAGGTGACAAGGGAATCGATGTCTGCACCCCAAAGTGTGTATACAGTGGTAGATGCTCCTTGCGTGCCAGTTCACGCACACCCCCACTCCTGGGACCCCATAAGCCCTCCTCCCTTCTCTTGGAATGCAAAGAGAGCCGGACCACATGCCACCCACCTCCTCACGGTGGGGCCTGTGGCAGAGGGCTGAGCATGGACTGGACACTTGATGAATGCTTGATGAATGCACACTGAAGCGGAGGAAGGTGCATGGGGATGGTCGAACCCTCAGTAGAACCCAGGTCCTGGAGCCTTGAAGTTCACAGAGCTTAAAGAGTGCAGGTTTGCTGGGCACACATGGCTCATCCTCCAAGGTGCAAACGTGAAGCACTGAATCCATTCTCACCATTCCGCAGTGAGCCCAAGCCCTGAGAGTATTTCCTAGTTAAGCTGGGCCCCCTGACACCTGGGCACTCAGGGACCTGAAGTATGCCAAGGGAGCCCCAGACTAGCCAGCTTCTCAGAGCTGAGCATTTCTCTCTTTAAATATCAATGCCTGACACAGGGCCCTTCCAAGGCCAAAGGCTAGAGCTGGCCTTACCCATTTTCCTTACTTCCCTTACCTGCCCCCACAAGCCACCAATTCAAGGAGCACAAGGTTGGGAGCCATGTGTGACCTGAGACCTAAGTCTACCCTTCCCATTTAGCACCCATAAAGTCCAAGATAAGGCCCTCATCCCTGGAGCCTCATTTCCTCCTTGGTAAGACGGAAGGGTGAGGTGCAGGGAGAAAGGATTAAAAGATCAAAAACAGCAATTTCCCCAGCAAGCTCAAAATCACCGGAACCTACTGAATCACACAGGGGCAGGGGGCGGCGGTGGCACGAATCCCTATGGTTGGCCTGGGTAAGGGGAGGCTTTGTGGAACCAGAAATTGATGTGCCGACCACAGCTCTTATGGCCCAGACTTAACTGATGCTATTAGGACTGACCTTGAATTCCACCAGAGGGGCTGTCCTTGTTCAAAACTGCCTAGGTCTGCTAGCCTCAGGGCTGCCCGGCAGGGGCAAGAAGCCGGCAAACATTTGCTAGCTGGTATCAGGGACCCGGACAGGCTGGAAAACCATGTCAACCAATCAAGAGGTCCAAGACCAGTGTCCTCTTTGGGCCTAAACCCCAATATATCCCATGCTATGGGGGTCATGGCAGGCTAAGGGCCTTTCTCTCTGGGTAGACTGTCACTTTACACTGCCTTCACATGCAAGAAGAGGGGAAGAAATACCTCCTGTGGCACAGGCATCTGAATCACTATTTTGTGGATGTGGAAAACCCCTCCTGGAGAACACCCCCCATCCACTAATGCCCTATTTCTGAGCTCTAAATCATGCCAGACTCTGCTAAGGGTGTTTCACGCACTCAGTCGTCACAAGCGGAGACCTTATTTTTAGCCCCAATTTGCAGGTGGTGAAACTGAGGGCGCTCGGAGACTTGCTGAGGTCAGCCAGCCGAGCGGCGACAGGGAGTTCTGAACCCAGAGCCTTTGCCCCTAACTTCTAGAATATACCGAGCTGTTCAGTAGAAAGGGCAGAGCCAGGATTCTAATCCAGCTCCTCCCTGCATTAAAGCCCTGCTCTTTTCCCAGCCAGACACCAAGTGTGGCTGCCTCAGGCCAGGACATCCCCTGGGGCTCCACACCTCAAGGGAACCTCTGGTGGAGATCTCTTCCCCCGCAGGCTTCCAGAATGCCCCATGCAACCTAGACCATGAGGCAGCTGGACCCCACAAAGGACCCATTGTGGTGACTGCAGAAAGCCAAGGCCAGACCCCGGTGGCCCTTCTGCAGAGTCCTGCCCAAGGCGCCTCCTCCCCTTCCCATGGTGCCCCCATACCCAGCGGACAGGGCTGGGGCTGAGGGAGGGAGGGGCGGGGGCAGGCCTCCCGATCTGCCCGGCCTGGGGGAGCCTCAGGCTATAGAAACTTAAAACCCTCCAGCTGCCGGCAGGCTGCATGGGGCCCCAGGCCCCTCCGGACTCATTCCAGGTGCCCTGCCCCACCTGTCAGCTGAGGTGGGGTCCACCAAGGAGGCTCAGTAGAGGGAGGAGAGGGATGCTGGGGTGTTATGGGCTGTTCCCATCTGGGAGGAGGGAGGAAATGTTTCCTAGTGTGGGGGAGGGGAATGCAAGGTATCCGGGCAGGCTGGGGAGGGGGCTCGGCGGAGGGAAGGTGGGTGGATTTGTCTCCCGCTGCACGAGGGGGCCTCCGCGGCTCTGGCTGGCTTCGTGTGCGGCAGGGGGGGGGCTCGCCTGGGGTCCCTAGGGGCCTGCGGAGGCATGCACAGGGCGGGGAGCCGCTTTTGCATGCAGGGCGGGAGGGGTCCGCGGCGTGCCGGGGCGCTCCCTCTGCCCGCTGAGGGAACTCCCGACTGGCCGGGGTCGCCACACTCACCTCCTGAAGTCAAAGGGCATCGTGCCGCCGCCGGGGGTGGGAGCGCTGCAGGCCAGGCGGGCCGCGGCGCCGCGTGGGTCCGAGCCCGCTGCCAACGCCTCCTCCGGCCGCCCCGCCCCCGCCGGCCGCCCCCCTGACACTCGCCACTCGCCACTCGCCACTCGCCTCCCGCTGCCGGGAAGTGACGCTCCGCGCAGCCCATTGGGCGCCGCCCGCCCGGCCGCCCCTTCCGCCACCCGGTTAAAGGGGCCCGCGGGCAGGCAGGGAAGGGGCGGAGAGTCGAGGCTGTCGGAAGGGAAGGGAGTCCCCCAAAGACTCCAGTACTCATTCCTTCAAGCCTCCCACTTAGATTTCCTTCTCCATCTCTTTGGATGCCCTCGGACAAATTCTCTGCTTCTCCGAGCCCAGTTTTTTGCATTTGTAAACAGTTTCACTGAACTGTGATTGAGTTGGGGGCGGGGGGCGGGGTGATACAGACTTTGGCCGTGCACAGCGTCTAGCTCTGAGTGAGGGCCTAATACTGTGGGGGAAGGGAAGAGGTCGGCCATCCTAGGCTGTTAAGGTGGACTCACCTCTGCCCCTGCCGTGTCTCTCTGGGAAAGCCACTGGGCTTCTCAGAGCGCCCCCCCCCCGCCCCGCCCCTTTTGCATATCTGCACAAAGAGGACGATGACACCTACTTGAGGGGGTTTTCCTGGGGATCAGCTGAGAAACAGGAGACTGGCTTAGCACAGTGCCAGGCACCTGAAACTATTGAGGCTGGCAGTGGCTGTCCCTGCTTCCATCTGCCCCTGTCGTTCACTCCAGTGGGCATTCACAGAGCATCTGCTCTGAACCAGGTCCATCGAGAACATGCAGGGTTGTGGCAGAGGCAGATGGGACCTGCACTGTGACTTGGCCAACGTGGACTGTGCCGATTGTCTCCTTCTTAGAGCCTCAGTTTCCTCCTCAGGAATACAGAGCAGCTGCCTCCGTGACTGCTGGATTAGAGGAGATGGTAGTTGAGGTCACACAAGACCTGAGTAGGGGAAACTCACTCTGAACTTCCCCGAGGTTCTGTCACTGGCCCTTTCTCCAAGGTTGTGGTGGGACAGGGCTTCAAAAAACCCAGGGGAGAATGGTGAGGGCTCGGGTTCCAAAAGCAGAGTCAATGGACAGTTTCCCCCTGTGTAAATAGAGGGGAACAGCAGTGCTGGTTCCTCCGGGAGGATTCAGAAGGGACAACACTAGCACGGGGTCTGGGGTAGGGTGACGTGGTGAACCAAAGCCTTCCCCTAGAGCATATGCCGGGACCTGACCTCTGCGTTCCCTTTTCATTCATTCACTCATTCATTCATTCATTCATTCAGTGTCAGTGGTCTGACACTGTTGGGGGAGAAAAGGAAATCTCAGCCTGAACTGGAAACCTAGGGACAGCAGGGAGAGTTAAGGGATCTTGAGCAGCCACTGCTTCCAAACAGCCATTCGTTGGCCCTGTGTGGGAGGAAACATGCAATGATGGATCTTTGACCTCGAATCCTCCCTCCTCAAACTGTGGTCCACAGACCAGCCACATGGCCATCACAGGACAGACTCTTGTCCCCAGGCCAGACCTACTGAATCAAGTGTGCATTTGGGATGATATCCAAGGTCAGCAAATGCCTGGCACAGAGTAAATGCAAGACAGGGTTGACTATCATTGCTCTTTTCGAGTGGGGATAGAGCTCCCAACTTTTGGCTGGGCATGTGGGTGCTCACAGTGAAAGTTGCATTTCCCCAGCTTCCTTTGTAGCTAGATGTGGCATTGAGAAGTAAAGGGAAGTGTCTTGTGGGGCATCTGGGATAGTTGGTATGTCTGCTTTACCCTCTGTGTCCCTTTCTCCATCTGGCTGCCAGGAATGTAGGCGTCACCATCCTGGACCATAAGGTGGAGGCCACCACAGAGCAGAGCAACAAGACAAAAAGAGCCTAAGTTCCTGCCGGGCACAGTGGCTCACACCTGTAATTGCAGCACTTTGGGAGGCCGAGGTGGGCGGATCACCTGAGGTCAGGAGTTCGAGACCAGCCTGACCAACATGTGGTGAAACCCTGTCTCTACTAAAAATACAAAAATTAGCCGGGCGTGGTGCCACACGCCTGTAATCCCAGCTACTCAGGAGGCTGAGGCAGGAGAATCGCCTGAACCTGGGAGGCAGAGGTTGCAGTGAGCCCAGATCACACCACTGCCCTCCAGCCTGTGCGACAGAGTGAGACTCTGTCTCAAAAAAAAAAAAAAAAAACCTGAGTTCCTGTCTCTAAGTGGCAAAATACCTGTCCTCAAACACCTGCCCAAGAGAAACAAACATCTATCTTATTTAAGCTATTGTTATTCTGTATTTTCAGACACTTACACCTAAACCCAATGCTGATACACCTATGCAGCCTGGCTAGCTACTTGACTGCCCCAATGCTCATGGACTAGGCCAGTCCCCTATTACATAATCGCATGGTACCTTGTAGGTTTCCTTGGGAGAACTGGGCATGACGTGTGATTAGGTTATTATTAATTCGCTAGTAACTACTACCCCATCTGAGTGAAAGTTCCCTGAGAGGGGCCTGTCGGGGGGTAGGGGGCTAGGGGAGGGATAGCATTAGGAGAAATACCTAATGTAGATGACGGGTTGATGGGTACACAAACAATGATGCCATACACAAATGGCACGTGTATGCCTGTGTGACAAAACTGCACGTTCTGCACATGTATCCCAGAACCTAAAGTATAATTTAAAAAAAAAAAGGAAAGTTCCCTGAGACAAGGTGGTATCACCATCATATCCTAGCATCCAGCCAGACCCTGCACATGCTGGGGATGCACTAACTATGCGTTGAAGTTTGAATAGAGGCTTCCCAGGGAGGCAGGCCTTCCCACGGAGGCAGGCCTTACCAACAGAACAGCGGATGGGAGGGGAGGTATCAACATGGGCCTCCGCTGTGGGACTGGTGAGGTCTGTGAGCAGACCAGGCTGTCAGTCCCAGATGGTCCATCCACTCAAGAGCCAGTGGGAGATGGAGCTAAGAAAATCAGATTGTGTCTGCAGTACGTGGGAAGGCTCTGGGTCTCTTTGAGCAGGGAACAACAATACAAGTTAAGTTTTCGGATTATCAATCTTGTGGAAGCCTGTGGTAGGTAGCCAGCCTCCAGTGACCCTGATCTCCTGGTATTCCCATGCCCTTCTAGAATCACCTCCCACAATGAATAGGGCTGACCTATCCTGTGTAATCAACAGGATATTGCAGAAACGACAGTTATGACTCCTGTGGCTACGTCACAAAAGACTGAGGCTCTGCTTAGCCACTCTTGAATCACTCGTTCTGAGGGAAGCCAACTGCCTGTCCTAAAGAGGCTCAAGCACGATTATAAAGGGGCCTGGTCGGTGAGGAATGAGGCCTCCCACCAACAGCCATGTGAGTGGGCTCTCTTGGAAGTAGCGGCTCAGCCCCGGTCAGGGCTTCAAAGCTGCATCCCCAGCCCACAGCTTAACCACAGGTTCTTGAGAGACCCTGAGAAACACCCAGCTCAGCTGCTCCCGAATTCCTGATCCATAGAAACTATAAGATAATAAATGTTTGCTTTAAGCCATTAAGTTGTGGGTAATTAGTTACACAGCAGTAGATAAATAACAGAGACTCCATCCTCATTATTTTTTTTTCCTACCAGTAACTTCTCCCTGCCTTCCTCCATCTCACCCCCCGCCAGCCTGGGGAAATAGAAAACCACTTTGGACTCAGATCACTCTCTGCTGGGTGACCTGGACCAGTTGCTTAACTAGCTGGGTGTCTAGGTATGAAATGAAGGATAATAATACCTTACCTGTGGCAGGTAGCCTCTGAAATTGTCCCAATTAACCCACCTCTTGGTATTCATACCCTTGTGTAATTTCCTCCCTTCAAGTGTAGGCTGGACTTATGGACTCATTTCTAATGCACAAAATATGGCAGAAGTGATGAGCATGTTGCTTCTGAGATTAGGTTATCAAGAGATGGTGACTTCTGTCTTGGACACTCTCTTGCTATCTCTTGGATCAGTCACCCTGGATAAGCTGGCTTCTGTGTGTGGCTTCTGTGCCCTAAGGAAAAGCCCCTGTGGGTGAGTTTGCAAGTGATTCTTCTAAGGCAGGGGTGTCCAATCTTTTAGCTTCCCTGGGCCACGCTGGAAGAAGAAAAACTGTCTTAGGGGCCGGGCGTGGTGGCTTACGCCTGTAATCCCAGCACTTTGGGAGGCAGAGGCAGGTGGATCACGAGGTCAGGAGTTTGAGACCAGCCTGACCAACATGCTGAAACCCCGTCTCTACTAAAAACAAAAACAATTAGCTAGGCATGGTGGCGCATGCCTGTAATCCCAGCTACTCAGGAGGCTGAGGCAGGAGAATTGCTTGAACCTGAGAAGCAGAGGTTGCAGTGAGCAGAGATGGAGCCACTGCACTCCAGCCTGGGTGACAGAGGGAGACCCCGTCTCAAAAAAAAAAAAAAAAATAGAAAAATTGTCTTGGGCCACACATAAAATACAGTAACACGGGCTGGGTGCGGTGGCTCACGCCTGTAATCCCAGCACTTTGGGAGGCCATGGCCGAGCACCTGAGGTCAGGACTTCAAGACCAGCCTGACCAACATGGTGAAACCCCGTCTCTACTAAAAATACAAAAAATTAGCCGGGTGTAGTGGTGGGTGTCTGTAATCCCAGCTACTTGGGAGGCTGAGGCAGGAGAATGGCTTGAACCCAGGAGGCGGAGGTTGCAGTGAGCTGAGATTGCGCCATTGCACTCCAGCCTGGGCAACAAGAGCAAAACTCCATCTCAAAAAACAAACAAACAAAAAAACAGTAACACAAACAATAGCTGATGAGGAAAACAAATCACAAAAAATCTCATAATGTTTTAAGAAAGTTCAAGAATTTGTGTTGGGCTGGATTCAAAGCTGTCCTGGGATGCATTCAAAGCCATCCGGGGCCACAGGCAGCCTGCAGACCACACATTGGACAAGGTTGAGCTAAGGCCTGACAACAACCCTGTGAATGAATTTGGAAATGGATCCTTCTGCTCCAGTGGAGGCTTGACATGACCACGGCCCTGGCCCCCAGCTTGACTGCAACCTCGTGAGAGACTCTGAGCCACAGGCAGCCAGCTGAGTTGCACCTGGATTCCTGTGTGATAACAAATGTTTGTTGCTTTAGCCCCTAGGTTTAGGGTAATTGGTTATGCAGTAGCAGATAACAAATACATTGGCCTAAGACAGAGCTTGCTGTGAGGATGGAGTAACATGTATAGTGCCCACACATAGTAGGTGCTAATTCATTGCTTGTCTAATGAGTCAGTCAATAAACAAATGAATGTTCTATAACACCGAATGTTCTCTGAATCCAAATGTTCACTCCCTTCCACCCACTCCCGTCCAAAACATCACCAAAAGTTGTTTTAAGCAGAGAATGGCTGGGTCAGATTTGTTTTTCTGTAATGGGAGATGGGTTTGTGTCCCATGGGTGCGGCCGGTTCATCTGTGGTCTGGGTGAAGAGAGATTTAAAAATAATAATCCTTTGTCAGCTCAGAGAGGACTTTAGTGTAACTTAGATCTCATAGCAGGTAGGTCTCTGGAGAAACAACTCTCCTTTCTCACTCTATTAAAGTCTCTTGACCAACTAGAAGACACTCATGTGTTCATTCATTCATCCTTTCTTGTATTTGTTCATTATACCATTATTCACTGAATACCTCTTTTAGGCAGATACTCTGGATGTAGAAATGAACCTGACATACCTCAAATTTCAAAAAAGAAGGGAGGAGGTAAGCAAAAGTGTGATACCATCACAAAAAAATCAGGGACAGGGAAAGGGTCACGTATCTCTGGTGCAGTTTTTTGTGATAAGTGCAGTGACAAGGGTGGTACCAGAGGATCTGGGAGTCTAGAGGGAGTCCCTGATTCCACCCGTGGGGATGAATTGGTCTGAACTCTTTCAGCTGAAAGTGACAGAAATCATCTAAAAGCAACACACACTGTCTATGGCACTCAAAAAAAAAAAAGAAAAAAGGAAGGAAGGAGGGAAGGAAGGAAGAAAGGGAGGGAGGGAGAAAGAAAGAAAAAAGAAAAATTAAAGTCCAAAAGTCCAGAGGTAGATTTGGATTTCAGGCACAGTTGGATACAGGCACTTCAACAATTGCATCAGGAATCTGTCTCTTCCCATCCCCAGGTTCTTCTTTGTTTTCCTCTGGCCTCGTCTTGAGGCAGGCTTCCCCTTGTGCTGGCAAAATGTGTGCCTGTAGCTCCAGGCTGATATTTTCCCACTCAGCAATGCCAGGAGATAAAGATTACCACTTCCCCCGTACCTCCTGAAAGGCTCCTGGGCTGACCCCCAAGGGTCTGGCTTAGGTCACAGCCTAAACAGTGGCTCCAGGGGTTTGGAGAGTGCTGATTGGCCAGGCCTAGGCTGGCAGCCAGGCCCTCAAACCTGGGGTGGAGTCACCCTCATCCTACACACACAGACTCAGATGGAAGAAGAGTGGTTCCCTAAAGAAGAGTCTGGGCAGTGCAGCCAGAGAAGGAGGTATTGGGAGGCTAAACCATCAGGTGTCTTGGACAGAGTCAGGAAAGCTTCTGGGAGGAGGAAGAGTCTGAGCTGAGACCTGATGAAGAAGTTAGTCAAGGGGAGAGAAGCAGGCTGGGTACATTAGTTATCTATTGCTGCAAAACACGTTACCCAAAATTTAAAACTTTAAAACAATACACAAGGTCTTAGTCCATTTTCTGTTGCTATACAGAATACCACAGACTGGGGAATTTATAAGGAAAATAAATATATTTCTTACAGTTCTGGGGGCTGTGGGAAGGGCAAGGCTGAGGGGCTGCCTCTGGTGAGGACCTTTCTCCTGTCTCATAACATGGTGGAGGGCATAGCATGGTAAGAGGGCATGAGCATGTCAGCTCAGGCCTCTCTTTGCCTTTTTCTTTTTTTTTTAGTAGAGACGGGGGTTTCACCATGTTGGCCAGGCTGGTCTCAAACTGGCGACCTCAGGTGATCCGCCTGCCTCGGCCTCCCAAAGTGCTAGGATTAACAGATGTGAGCCACCGAGTTTGACCTCTTCTTCCTCTTATAAGGCCACCAGTACCATCAGGGGGACTCCACCCTGATGGCCTTATATAATCCGAATTACTTTCCAGAGGCCCCCACATCCAAATACCATCAACACGAATTAGGGGATTAAGTTTCTAATACATAAAATTTGGGTGATGGATTTAAACCATGGCATATATTTATTATGCCCCCATGTCTGAGGATCAAGAATCCAACAGCAGCTTAGCTGGGTGGTTCTGGCACGGTCAAGGCTACAGACTCTGCAGATGACTGGAGGTGAGGGATAGACACTCACTCACTTGGCTGTTGACTGGAGGCTTCAGTCCTTCTCACATGGACCTCTCCATAATGCTGCTCATGATATGACTTCCCCAGTGTGAGTTAGGAAAGAGAGTCTGCCTTTTATAAAGTAGTCTTCAAGGGACTGGCTACATACTGGGTAAGGATCCAAATAACATGGGTGGTGGGAGAGAGGACAGCATGGATGCAGCCTGGGCTAATATCAAGCTGGAGAGGTAGGGGCTGGATGGTGAAGGACTTTGAGGGCTGTGTTAAAAATGTGAACTTTCTCTAGTAGGCAGTTAGAGGCCCTGAAGCATTTTAAGTTAGGATGTATTGCAATAATTTGGTTTGGGGGTTTTGGGGAACCCAATATAGTTTCTCTTTTCTGCCAATGCTCTGAACAAATGTGATTTCTATCTGCAGAGGGCTTCCTAATGGTGAACCTCAGAATTTGGCAGACAGACCCACACAGGAGGCATAAAAAGCAAAGAAAAAGTACAGGCCTTCTTGGGGAGGGGAGAGCAAAATGCAGCTCCCTGCGGGTGGTCTTCTCCCAAAAGGAAGAAGAAAGGAAGAGCTGAGCACCACCATGTCAGACTCCAGTCCCACACTCACCAGTCAGAATTCATCCATCTTACCTGGTGGGGCTTGAGGGGAGCCCAGAGTATTGAGGGGAAATCCTTCTTTGTAGAAACCAGAGCAGTAGGAAAGAAGTATATCACCCACAATTAGGCCACATCATACCACCAACCATTTGCCATTTTTAGAAGCATGACTCTGGCAGCCAATGTGGAGAAGGGACTGGAGTGGGAGGCCAAAGAGGAGGTTGCTACAATCTCCTGAGAAGAGAAGGGGAGTAGGCCCAAGTCAGTGGGAGTGGGGAATGGGTCTGGAGGCAGTAGAACTACTCAGAAGATCCGGGGACTAGGGGGCTCAAACACAAGGGCTTACAGGGGCCAGGCAGTCAATTCCTCAAATTTCCCAAATTTTCCTTCCTCTCAGTCCAGGGCAACTCCATTAGTTTCCATTTGCCTGTTATCCTTACCATCATCCCTGACTCCTCTCTGTCTCTGCAGGGTCACTATAATGAGTATGAGTGTAGACTTGAGGTTCATTGGACTTATTGAATCTGTGGATTGATGTTTTCTCAATGCCCTGGAAAATTACCAACTACTTATTTGTGGATATTAACTTTGCCCCGTTATCTCTCTTCTCTCATCTTGCTTTTATTCTCTGTTAATTTTACATAGTTTCTTCTGACCTGTTTTCTAGTTTACTAATTCTCTCTTTGGTTGTATTGAATCTGCTATTAAACCTGACCATTGAATTATTAATTTTATCATTGTATTTCCCAGTTTTGGAATTTGTGTTTAGTTCTTTTTCAAATATGTGACTTCACTGTGCCAGGTGCCTTCTATTTGTCCCTCCAGAATAACTCTGCTTCTTCACCCTTTTCTGTGTGCTGGGAGGTTTCTTGACCTGTTTTGATGGCTCCTTATTTTTGGCTTCTGGCTGATTTCAGCCTGTGGGGAGTACCTGCAGTAGATTGGAAGGAAGGAGAAGAATGAAGTTTTGGTATGTATTTGCCCAGCTTCTGCCCTGAGTGGTCACCCAGGTTGACCGTGTCCTTCAGTGAACATCATAATTTCTACCAGGTGGTACTCTTCACCTAGGTCCACTCTTCTTAGTTCCAGTAACCATTTCTTCTCCTTCCCCTTCAGGCCTTGGGATAGTAATAGCACTCCACTGTTACTTACTCCAGGGTACTAGCTCTAGAGTATCTCTTGTAGTTTCCCTATACTCTTTTCATTCTGTTAAAAGCATCTGGCCAGGTGCAGTGGCTCATGCCTGTAATCCCAGCACTTTGGGAGGCCAAGATGGGTGGATCACTTGAGGTCAGGAGTTTGAGACCTGCCTGGCCAACATGGTGAAACCCTGTCTCTACTAAAAATACAAAAATTAGCTGGGCCTGGTGGCACATGCCTGTAATCCCAGCTACTTGGGGGGCTGAGGCATGAGAATGGCTCGAACCTGGGAGGCAGAGGTTGCAGTGAGCCAAGATCATGCAACTGCACTCCAGCCTGGGTGACTGAGCCAGAGCCTGTCTCAAAAAATGATGAAAATAAAAATAAAAGCATCGCTTAGTTAAACTCCCCTCTAACCACCTAGATTATGCCATCATATTCAGGACTAGACATGACTGACACAGTTACTTTGTATAGTTTCCAGTCTCCTTACAGAATTTTCAGGCATGACTTTTAATCTCCTTAAACATAGGAAGCATAATTATATTACAGTCAGTGTCTGATAATTTCCATGTCTGGAGTCCTTGAGATCCATTTCTGCTTGTTACCATTCATGGTGTATTTTCCCCTCATGAAATCTGGTTATCTTCGATTATGCGCTAAAAAAAAAAATACTGTATTTGGAAAAATATTTATAAAAATAATTTTAGGCCTGGGATGATTTTTTTAAAAATCCCTTTCTCCAGGCACCTGGAGCAAATCAGCATTCTAGGATCACCTTATTTCAAGTTCAGAGGCTGAAATGTACTAGCTTACCCAGATGACCTGAAGCTCAGGACTAGTTTGCTTTTATTTCACCCCTACTTCTAGGGTACAGCCCTTTCAGGGTCACCGCCCAAGCTAGGGAGGTTTACCAGGGTCATCAAACTGTGGCAGACCCTGACTCTGATGTCAGTCTCCCTGGGTTTCAAAATTCAGATCCAGAATCTGAGCCCTTTTAATCACCTCACATGACTGCTGTCCTGATATAAGCCATCATCATATCTCACCTGGGTCAGGCATTGCTATTCAACTGGTTTTCTGTGTTCAGCGTTGTCGCCTTCAGCCTGTTTCCAACACCACAGCCAGAACTGACCTTTTATCCGAAGTCAGACCATGTGCCTCCTCTGCTCAGAACATGCCAGAGGCTCCTGTCTCACTGAGAATAAACGGCAAGTCCTTACGATGGCCTGCAGTCTGCAGGGTCTGCCTCAGTGTGCTTCTGACCTCCTTTCCTGGTCCCCTCCCCTTGCTCACTCGGCTCCAGCTGCAGTGGCTTTTCACACCTCAAGCCAGCAGGGATGCTCCTGCCCCTGGCCTTTACACTGCTGCCCTCCCCCAGTGGCTGCTTGTCCAGCCCCCTCCTCTTCAAGTCTTTGCTCAAACATCTTTTCAGGGAGGCTTTCCTGGCCCCTTATTTTAAGTTACATACCTCCCCAACACTCCTGATCCCCATTTACCCTACTCTTTATTTTTTTCATAGCATCTATCACCTTCTAACATACAATTCCACTCATTTATTTTTCATTTACCTGTTTTGCGTGTTTTCTCTGTTCCCCACTAGAACCTCAGCTTCATGATGGTAGGGATTTTTTGGTACGTGTTTGGTTCCCAGAATCTGGAATAGTGACTGGCACATACACAGTAGGTGATCAGTAAAGATTTATTGGAGGAATGAATGTAAATCAGAGTGAAGTGATACCAGGGCCAGCAGGAACTTGGCTTTTGTGGCCCCCGTGTCCAGCAAGGCCAGGGCCAAGGAAGAGGCCTGTGTTAATGGGAAATTGTTACGTACAGGAGCATTGAACAATTAAGTTTATGTGTTGGGGATGGTGGGAATCAGGTTCTTACTTTGGAGATGGGAATTGCAAATACGGAAAAAAGGAAGACTAGAAGAGGCCTTGTCGTTTTGTATTGGAATTGGGGGTATTGGTGTGAACTCGTGGATTTTACCATGTGCATAGAGAGATGATAGATAGATTAGATGGAGAAATGTGTGTGTGTGAATATGCATATATCTTCTTAGCTCTGTCATCTAGGAAGCACTAGTGACATACTTACTGCCCAGATCGTGGTTTCTTAATACCAATCTCCATGTAATAGAACCAGGGGTCCTTGGAGAAGCACAGGTTGAGCATCCCCAATCTGAAAGTTTGAAATAAAAAATGCTCCAAAATCCGAAACTTTTCGAGCACTGATGTGATGCCACAAGTGGAAAACTCCACGCCTGACTTCATGAAATGGCTTGTAGTCAACATGTGGTCAAAACCTTGCTTCTGGCCTGGCACAGTGGCTTACGCCTGTAATTCCAGCATTATGGGAGGCCAACGCAGATGGATCCTGCCTGGCAAGAGATGAGGATCACTTGAGGCCAGGAGTTCAAGACCAGCCTGGCCAACATGGTAAAACCCCATCTCTACTAAAAATACAAAATTAGCCAGGCGTGGTGGTGCATGCCTGTAATGCCGTCTACGCAGGAGGCTGAGGCTCGAGAATCCCTTGAATCCAGGAGGCGGAGGTTGCAGTGAGCAGAGATAATACCACTGCACTCCAGTCTGGTTAACAGAGTGAGACACTATCTCAAAAAACAACAAGCCAGGCACAGTGGCTCACGCCTGTAATCCCAGCTACTCGGGAGGCTGAGGCAGGAGAATTGCTTGAATACAGGAGGCAGAGGTTGCAGTGAGCTGAGATCACACCATTGCATTCCAGCCTGGGCAACAAGAGCGAAACTCCATCTCAAAAATAAATAAATAAAATAAAATAAAACAACAACAACAAAAACCAAAACAAATAAAAATCCCCAAATTATTTAAAATATTGTGTAAAATTTTATTCAGCCTATGTGTATATGATGTGTATAAAACATGAATGTTTTATAGAAATTTCATGTTTAGACTTGGATCTCATCGCCAAGATATCTAATTATGTATGTGCAAATAATATTCTAAAATCTGAAAAATTTTCATGTTTAGACTTGGATCCCATTGTCAAGACATCTAATTATGTATGTGCAAATAATATTCCAAAATCTGGAAAAAAAAATCCCAAATCCAAAACACTTCTGGTCCCAGGCATTTCAGATAAAGGCTACTCAACCCGGAGCTGATTCTTCGGCTGGGCCGGGGGGAAGTGCCAGATGAGTCCGGAGCATCTTTTCAGGTCAGAAGTAAGGACATGCTCAAGGTATAATAGGCACGTGCATGTGAAAGGAAATGGAGCCAGCTTGAAGGAGCTCCCACTGGCCAAATATGGGCCAATCTGGGACAATTTCAACATCAAAACCAAAAATGATGATCATGGATGATTACACATGGAATAAAATAAGAATCTGGGTTTATACAAATATAAACAAGTAGATCGCTACATGGGGGAGAAGGGAGAGCTCTCCCTTGCAGTAGGATGCCAACTAAATAGACATAGAAGGAATGATGGAATTGGAAAACCATTTGACACTCATCCCAGTAATTGATTCAGGCAAGACTCATCCGTGGTGGTGATGCTCAGGGCACTCTTCACATTTCCTCCCACACTCACCGTGCTGGGCTCTTCCTTTCACTTAGACTGAACATATATAGAAGTGCTTTGGAAGCTACAAAGCAACCTACCAATCCAAGGCCTTTGGAGAGTGATGAGAAGTCTGAAGAGCTAACTCTTCGTGCCTATACATATAGTCCACCTCGGAGCTGGGAATCACAGTGACTCCCCTTTGGACAATCAGTGTCTGGCAAAGCACCATGTATACAGTAGGTGCTCATTAGTAACCAGGTATATGGACGGTAGGTGTGTGTTCCCCTCTTCCTCCAGCACCAACCTCTGCATGCCACACACATGCCCACCCATTGGGAGGATACATATGCATGTGTGTGTGTGAGTGCACACCTATAAGTGTGTGCACACATGAGCAAATGAGTGTGTGGGTAGTGTTTCCATTTTATATGAAGTGCTCAGATGCTCCCCACAGCTATGTCAAAACCCACTTTGTCACCAGCCCCTGCGAGGCAACTTTCTAACATTTTCAATGCACATGAGACCTCGGTTCTTTGGACCCTCTTTTCCTGAGCCCCACCTTATCCTTCCTTCATGAGTTCTCACTCTGTCATTGAATCCAGATAAATCTGGAAGTGTCTAATGCCCCTTGCAAGGTACAGTGCAGTCTTGGCTCTTGCTGGGGACTTGCTTGCCTGGCCCTTTTCTGCTTGACACAGTAACCTTTCCTGGGACCCCTGCTCTGTGAGACCCTTGATGTGATGTGCTTTGGGCTGAGCTAGACCTGCATTTCAGTCCCATCCTGGCTCCCGTTTACCAGCCTGTGTGACTCAGGGCAAGTTACTGATCCACTCTGTGCCGTGCCTCAGTTTGCCCACTGGGAAACCAGGGTTAGTAGTGCCCATATCATCATGTCACCTGACTTGGTGGAGGTCCAGAGCTTGGCACAGAGTCAGGCACATAGCATAGACTCAACCAAAGGCAGCTTCCCTCATCCTCCTTCTTTGGGAGATCTCTAGGGAGGGTGTAAGTGAAGGTAGTAGCATTTTGTCCATAAAGGGGAACAAAGGATGTCCAGGAAGGGGCCATTTGTTTCAAGCAGATAGTGGCCCTCTGGTCTATGTAGGGTGTGGGCATTTCCTCCACACTTTTCAGGAGCTGTGAAGTGTGAAGTGTCTCATCCAGCCAGTGCTAACTCTGCCTCAGCAGTCGGCTTGGCAGGCTGCCGTGACTCGGCTCTGCTGGCTCACCTTCTTCTTCTCCAACCCGGAGCCCACCTGCACCCTTTCTTTCGTCTTCTGACAGTTGGGGCTGGGTGGGGCCTGTCCCACCCTTTCCCCCTCCATTCCCCAGCGGGGTTCAGTGCCTGCCCCACCCCTGTGCGCTCCTCTGCCATTCCCTCTCCTTGGTTGGACCTGGGGAGTCTGGGGCCCAAGTGTGAGTGTGTGTCACAGTGCGTGGGTGGCACCGTGTGTGGGCAGCGCTGACGTCCTGGGGCAGGTGAATCTGTTCTCCTGGCTGGTGACTGTGCTGCGCTTCCTCAGGGAGGGCCGGTGACTGGCTGGTTGACAAGCCCAGCATGACGGAGGAGGAAACAGAAACAATCTTTCTTCTCTGAGAAAAAAGGGAGGCCCGACGATTCCTGGCATGATTCCTGTGTCTCTGAAGCAAGTCACTGCACCTCCCTGAGCCTCAGCCTCTTCCTCTGTAGAGAGGGGATCTGTGAGGATTAGCATTTGTTCATTCATTCATTCATTAGCAAGTTGATGATACATCAGTGAGCAGGACAGGAACTCTCTCCTTCCGCATATAAGTGCTTATCACTCTATAGATAATTATAAATATAAATAAGCCCAATCATCAAATGTTCCAGGTTGCTCCAGCCAGATCTCTATTTTCCAAGGTGCCTCCATTGGAGAAAGGCAAAATGAAAAACTGGCTCACTGTAACCTTAAGAGCTGCAGGACAAGACAAGGGGGTCAAAGGTACAAGAGAGAGCTTTGGGGTCAGAGTTCAGGCTTCTAAGCTTAGCCCAGTCAATTTCCATTCCCCACACTGGCCTCAGTTTCCACCTCTGCAGAATGGAGTTAGTGCCCACTTTGCCAGGTCGCTGGGAGGGGTCGAGTGTCGATTCTGTGATCATATTGCAGCACCCCTGCCCTCCCAACTCTGGATCTGGGTCTGGCTGGATCTCAAGTCACATCCCTTCTCTGGGTTTCATGGCCTTGATGGTGAAGTGAGAGGACTGGTCAGGACAGCAACCGAGGCCTCTTCCTGCTCTGTGGCTTCATCGCATCTTCTCTTTGCTTTTCCCTCCTAAACAAAACAGCTACATTTTTAGCAGACTCTGGGCTTGGCTTCCTATGTGGATTAAATTAAATAAATCCTCACCCAAGCCTCAGGAAGTGCTTTAGGAGTTATGTGGGCAGGATGCAGACATCAACTTTATCCTCCTCTCCAGAAAAGTAATACCACCATTGTTCATATTTAGAATCATCAAATGATCATTGTTCTTTCTGCTATAACCCCAAAAATCATATATTCACCAAGAACTCTCATGTGGCCTAAATCAGAGTTATCAAAATAGAATTTCCATTTGTAAAATTTATTTTTTGTTTGCATCAACTAATTAATTAAAAGAATGGTCTATGGTCATACCATACTCTATCTGCCCTGGATACTCCCACCGGATACCATACTCTATCTACCCTGAATGCACCCAGTCTCATCCAATTAAAGGAATAGTATGTATTTAATTTAAAAAGTAACATAAGGCCAGTTGCGGTGGCTCACGCCTGTAATTCCAGCACTTCGGGAGGCCAAGGCGGATGGATCACTTGAGGCCAGGAGTTTAAGACCAGTCTGGCCAACATAGTGAAACCCCATCTCTACTAAAAATACAAAATTAGCCAGGCATGGTGGTGCATGCCTGTGATCCCAGCTACTCAGGAGGCTGAGGTGGGGGGATCACTTGAACCCAGGAGATGAAGGTTGCAGTGATCTGAGATCGTGCCACTGCACTTTAGCCTGGGCAATGGAGTATGACTCTCTCTCAAAAAAAGAAACCTAAATAAAACTAAATAAAAAATAAAAAGTAACATTTAAACAAGATATTCAAACAGGAAAAAGGAAGGCAAGTGTGGTGGTTCATGCCTGTAATCCCAGCACTTTAGGAGGCCAAGGTGGGCCAATCACTTGAGGCCAGGAATTTGAGACCAGCCTGTGACACATGGTAAAACTGCACCTCTACAAAAAATACAAAAATTAGCTGGGCATGGTGGTGTGCATCTGTAGTCCCACCTACTCAGGAGACTGAGGTGGGAGGATTGATTGAGCCCTGGAGGTCGAGGCTGCAGTGAGCTGTGATGGTGCCATTATACTTCAGCATGGGTGACAGAGGATTTTTGACCTGTCTGGAGAAAAAAAAAAAAAAAAAAAAAAGGAAAAGGGTCCCTAACCAGGAAGTGAAATCTCTCTGGCATCCCCCTCCTCCCCTGGTGCAAAGGCCACCACTGCTGATGGTTTCCTTTGTTGAGACTGGGCTCTTTGATGTGCCAGGGATAATCTTGGCCTTTCTTTGGGAAGGCAATGGAGGCAGCGATTACTCTGTCTTCCCAGCCAGGAGCTCTGAATCCTGAAAGGAGCAAGAGCGGATGATTCCCAAGGAGTTCAGGGTCTACCAGAAGGCTAGAGGGATGGCAGCTCCTCAGTATGGCTCAGGATGGCTGCTGAGGACTAGCTCAATTCCTCTGTGGTCTCCAGGGCGTCAAAGCCTTGGGCTCATGGTTCTGCCAAGACAATCTTCAATTCACTTGCAAGAGATCAACTGACCCCTTCAGGGAAGATCTTCTACGAATATTTATTGAGTGACTATGACGGGCCAGAAATAACTCTGACCTTGAACTGAAGTTGGAATGAGGGTGAATTAGGAAATGGAACTGGAAACACCTTTACTGTGTAAGTGACAGGAAGGGAGATAACACGGACTGGACACCTACTCTCTGTCAAGGGCTTTTGTTAGGTTATTTAAAAATTAATTAATTTTTTTTTTTGAGGCAGAGTCTTGCTCTATCGCCCAGGCTGGAGTGCAGTGGCATGATCTCGGCTCACTGCAACCTCCGCCTCCTGGGTTCAAGCGATTCTCCTGCCTCAGCCTCCTGAGTAGCTGGGACTACAGGCGTGCGCCACCATGCTCAGCTAATTTTTGTATTTTTAGTAGAGACGAGGTTTCACCATGTTGGTCAGGCTGGTCTCTATCTTTTGACCTTGTGATCCCAAGTGCTGGGATTACAGTTGTGAGCCACTGCACCTGGCCTTTAAAAATTAATTTTTAAGGACGCAAGCAAAGTAATGTAGGAGTACATTTTCCTTGTACAAATGAAAACTACAGATGAGGCTAAATCTCCCTTTGATCTCCAGCTCCAATCTTGGCTTCCTTCCACCTCTCCAGCGGCAACCCCTATTTTCGATTTGGTGTGACTCCTTCCAACTTTTTTCTCTGCATTTTACATACATGTGTGTTTTGCTTTATTAGTCTTTTAAGATTAATGATATTGTGCATATTATCCAGCCACTTAATTTCTGGGTTAACAATATATCTGGGAGATCAGGTGAGTACAAATCTACAAAAACATTTCATTGGATGCTCCCACACCGCCCCCACTTTGCAGATGAGCAGAGGCTCAGCGAATGTTGAAGTGACTCATCACAGCTGGTGAGTAGTGAGGCAGGATTCAGACAGGGATGTGTCTCTCCAAGTTTAGCATGAATCTGTCCTCTCCCTAATCTGCCTATAGTTTCTTTCTTTCTTTTCTTTTTTTTTTTTTGTTTCCCTGACATCATCAAGTGGGCCATTTAAATAGAAGATTGGTCATAATGCAAAGGACTCATTGGCCACCTCCCTTCCCTGTTAAAATACCTCCATGGCTCCCCAGTGCCCAAGAAACAGAGTCTAAGTCCCTCTACCTGATGAGAAAGGATCTTCTAGACATGGTTCCCGTTAGTTTCTCCACCCTCCCCTGGCCAGGCTCTGCCTCATGGTCACCTTCCCAGAAAGAAATAAACTACAGTACCTGCAGTTCCCTTCGTGCCATGCCGTTTTTCTCCTCCATGTCTTTGCTCATGTGGACTCCATGTCTTTGCTCAAAGAGGACTTCCAGACAAAATCCTCTTTGCCTGGAAGAACTCACCGTAACCCCTCTTTGCCTGGCTTAGTGCAGCTCATCCTTTATGACTTCATACAAGGGCCATCTCTTTTTGGTTGCCCTCCCTATTACCCCAGGCTGGGTTAGTCCCTTCCGCATGGCCCACAATGTCTTGTACATTCCATTCTAATGGCCATTGTATCTGCCTCCCAACCTTGAGGGGGTAGCTTCTTGAAGGGACAGTCACTGTGTCATTCTGCATCTCTAGGTGCCGAACAAGGCTTGTAGACATGGTGGGTGTTGCATACATGTTTGTGGGGCACACAGATGCCTCAAGAGAGAGAATGGTTGAGTTTGTTATCTTGTGTTGGGAGTGATGAAGGGAAAGAGATCAGGTACATAAGATGATAGTACTAAGAAGAGAAACCTAAGATCTCCTGAATCAAATTTAGCCCAAAGGCCATCGCACTACCCAGAACTATGTTACCTGTGTTGGACCATATATTCTCAAGCCATCTCCCAGCTCTACAATTTCTCTTAGCTCTGTTATTTCCTCTTTTTCATCTCTTTCATCTGCTCTTTAGGCTGTTGAAAGGGGATTTGTGTCAAGATTGTCATTTGAAATCAGTCCCATCAAGGACTGGCTGGGTCCCGTGGCTTTATCTCCTTGGTTATGTCCCCTTGTTTCCAAAGGACATCAAAACTCTCTGCCCACTCTTGAAACTGGCAGGGAATTTCTGAGAAAAGGGACCAGGGAATTTGCTTTTCGAAGGAACGTTTCCCTTCTCAAGATAACGGTTAAAACTCATTATCTCCTAAGCAGCATTTAACCTCAAAATTCCAATGTCATCTTTTATTGCAGTAGAATTGGGGGAAGCCCAGAGCTTTCACCCATCTTCTCTCGCTTCCCTTTTCTCCGAACAAATTTGAGGGGAAAACTCTCTTTGTTTCTTTTTTTTCTTATTGTAATTTAATGCCTTTTTTTCGTTATAAAAGTACAAAAGACTATTTTAAAAATACAAAAAGTAGAAAGTAAAAAGAAAGTCCCCCTACTGAGACACCATTAAATTTAGAGTTCTTCCAGGCTTTTTTCTATATATTGCATTTTAAAATAATTATGTGCTATCATTCAGATACCAAAAAGTGTATATAACACATATGTGTAAATTAAAGAACAAATGTAGAATGAATACCCATGTATCCATCACCCAGCTTAAGAAATAGATCATCATCAATATCCAAGAAGCCCTCTCATGCCCCACTCTGATCATGTGCCTCTTTCTACCCACCCTGAGTAGCCACCGTCTTGAATTTGTGCAAATCGTTCTTTTTTTTTTTTTTTTTTTTTAGACAAGGTCTTGCTCTGTTGCCTTGGCTGGAGTGCAGTGGCATAATCACGGCTCACTGCAGCCTCGACCTCCTGAGCTCAAGCAATTCTCCTGCCTCAGCCTCCTGAGTAGCTGGGACTACAGGCATGCGCCACCATGCCTGGCTAATTTTTTATTTGTTGTAGAGACAGAGTTTCACCATGTTTCCCAGGCTGGTCTCACACTCCTGAACTCAAGCAATCCTCCCACCTCGGCCTCCCAAAGTGCTGAGATTACAGGTGTGAGTCACCACGCCTGGCCCCTTTGCTTTTCTTTATATAGTTTTACGATAGATAGATAGATAGATAGATAGAGTCCCAAAATGATGTAATGTTTTTTACCTTTATATATAATTGGATTGTATTATTTTGTAATTTGCCCTTTTCATGTATTGTGTTTGTGAGATTCACCCGTGTTGATGGTGCAGGTTTAGATCATTCATTGTCATTGCTGTACAATAATACACCGTATGAATATACTGTATTTATCTATGCTCCTGCTGATATACATGTGGGTGGTTTCCAGGAATTTTTTTTTTATCTTTAAAACATTTTATTAAGCTAAATGATTACTGGTATTTTTCTATTATGATATACACATGTACATACAGCATATACATGTGTATATGTTGTATACATGTGTATATATGTCTATACTCTGTCTATATATATAAACATTTACCTTTTTAGCCATTGCTTTCTTTCTTTCTTTTTTTTTTTTTTTTTGGAGACAGTTTCACTCTTGTCTCCCAGACTGGAATGCAGGGGCAAAACCTCAGCTCACTGCAACCTCTGCCTCCCAGGTTCATGCCATTCTCCTGCCTCAGCCTCCCGAGTAGCTGGGACTACAGGCGCCTGCCACCATGCTCGGCTAATTTTGGTATTTTTAGTAGAGATGGGATTTCTCCATGTTGGCCAGGCTGGTCTTGAACTCCAGACCTCAAGTGATCCACCTGCCTCGGTCTTCCAAATGCCAGGATTACAGGTGTGAGCCACCACCCCCAGCCTCATTTTAGCCATTTTTAAGTGTATAGTTCAGTGGTATTAAGTACATTCACATTGTTGTACAACCATTGCCACCATCCATCTCCAGAATTTTTCATCTTCCCAAACTAAAACTCCGCACCCATTAAGCCATAACTCTCCATTCCTCTCTCCCCTCAGCCTTTGGCAACCAGCATTCTACCTTCTGTCTCTATGAATTTGACAACTTTAGGGACCTCATATAAGTGGAATGATACAGTATTTGTCTTTTTGTGAGTCTAGCTTGTTTCACTTAGCATAACGTCCTCAAGGTTCATCCATGTTGTTGCATATGTCAGAATTTCCTTCCTTTTGAGGCTGAAAGATATTCTATTATATGTATATACCATATTTTGTTTATTTATCCATTGATGGACATTTGGGTTGCTTCCACCTTTTTTAGCTATTGTGAAGAATGCTGCTATGACCATCAGTATAAAATATCTGTTTGAGTTTCTGCTTTCAATTTTTTTTTTTTTTTAACATTCCCGCTCTGTTGCTCAGGCTGGAGTGCAGTGGCACAATCTCAGTTCACTGCAACCTCTGCCTCAAGAGAGTTCAAGCGATTCTCTTGCCTCAGTCTCCCAAGTAGCTGGGATTACAGGTGTGTACGACCACACCCGGCTAATTTTTGCATTTTTAGTAGAGACGGGGTTTCGCCATGTTCAGGCCAGGCTGGTCTCGAACTACTGGCCTCAAGTGATCTACCTGCCTCGGTGTCAGGCCTCTGAGCCCAAGCTAAGCCATCATATCCCCTGTGACCTGCACGTATACATCCAGATGGCCTGAAGTAACTGAAGATCCACAAAAGAAGTGAAAATAGCCTTAACTGATGACATTCCACCATTGTGATTTGTTTCTCCCCCACCCTTAAGAAGGTTCTTTGTAATTCTCCCCACCCTTGAGAATGTACTTTGTGAGATCCACCCACTGCCCGCAAAACATTTCTCCTAACTCCACCTCCTATCCCAAAACCTGTAAGAACGAATGATAATCCCACCACCCCTTGCTGACTCTCTTTTTGGACTCAGCCTGCCTGCACCCAGGTGATTAAAAAGCTTTATTGCTCACACAAAGCCTGTTTGGTGGTCTCGTCACACGGACGCGTGAGACACTTGGCCTCCCAAAGTTCTGGGACTACAGGCTTAAGCCACCGCCCCAGACCCCTGCTTTCAGTTATTTTGGGTGTATTCTCAAAAGTGGAATTTCTGGATCATATGGTAATTCTATGTGTAATTTTTTGAGGATCCACAGTGTGTTTTCCACAGTCTCTGCACCATGCTACATTTCCCACCAGTAGTGCACAAGCATTCTAATTTCCCCACATGCTCACCAACACCTGTTATTTTCTGGCATTTTTATTTAAAATTTTTTTTTTATCATAGCCATCCTAATGTATGTAAAATGGTCCCAGAATTTTATTTATTTTTTTGAGATGAAGTCTCATTCTGTCACCCAGGCTGGAGTGCGATAGCACAATCTCGGCTCACCACAACTTCTGCCTCCCAGGTTCAAGTGATTCTCCTGCCTCAGCCTCCCAAGTAGGTGGAACTACAGACACGCACCACCATGCCAGGCTGATTTTTGTGTTTTTAGTAGAGACAGGGTTTCACCATGTTGGCCAGGCTGGTCTCAAACTCCTGACCTCAAGTGATCTGCCCGCCTCAGCCTCCCAAAGTGCTGGGATTACAGGCTTGAGCCACCACGCCCAGCTGGTTCCAGAATTTTTAATAAACGACAGCTATGACCATTCTTGTACATATACCCTGATGCACATGTACAAGAGGTTTTTCTAGTTATGTAATTAGAGTTGGAATTGCTGGGTCATAAGATGTGAGTGTTCTATTTTCTTTTTCATTTTTTTTTGAGACGGAGTCTCACTCTGTCACCCAGGCTGGAGTGCAGTGGCATGATCTTGCTCACTGCAACCTCCGCCCCCTTGGTTCAAGTGATTCTCCTGTCTCAGCCTCCCAACTAGCTGGTTTAAGAGGCTGCTGCTACCGTGCCCGGCTAATTTTTTTTTTTTTTTTTTTGAGACAGAGTCTTGCTGTTGCCTGGGCTGGAGTGCAGTGGCACAGTCTCAGCTCACTGCAAGCTCCACCTCCCGGGTTCACGCCATTCTCCTGCCTCAGCCTCCCGAGTAGCTGGGACTACAGGCGCCCGCCACCACGCCCGCCAAATTTTTTGTATTTTTAGTAGAGACAGGGTTTCACCATGTTAGCCAGGATGCTCTTGATCTCCTGACCTTGTGATCCACCCGTCTCAGCCTCCCAAAGTGCTGGGATTACAGGCTTGACCCACCGCGCCCAGCCCGAGTGTTCTATTTTCTAAAGTGGCAGCACCAACGTACAGTGTCATCAAGAATATATTGTCATCACAGTTGCTCCACATCCTAACATTTATTATTGTCAGACTTTCGGTTTTTACCAGTTTGGTGGGTACAGAATGATATTTCAGTGTGGTTTGATTTTGCATTTCCATGAATGATAATGAAATTGAGCATCTGGTCATAAGTTCCTTTGTCACATTTGTTTCCTCTTACGTAAAATATCTGTTTAAGTCTTTTGCCCATTTTTCTATGAGATTATCTTAGTTTTATGAATTGGTAGGACTTTATTCTGGATACTAATCATTTATTGATTATACATTAAAATATCTTCTCTAAATTTATGACATCATTTCATGTATTATGATGTATTTTAAATTATTATTTAAAACAATTTTTTTTTTGAGACGGAATTTCTCTCTTGTTGCCCAGGCTGGAGTGCAATGGTGTGATCTCTGTTCACTGCAAACTCTACCTCCCGGGTTCAAGTGATTCTCCTGCCTCAGCCTCCCAAGTAGCTGGGATTACAGGTGAGCGCCACCATGCCCGGCTAATTTTGTGTTTTTAGTAGAGACAGGGTTTCGCCATGTTGGCCAGGCTGGTCTCAAACTCCTGACCTCAGATGATCCACCCGCCTTGGCCTCCCAAAGCCTGGGATTCCAGGCGTGAGCTACTGTGCCCAGACAAAAACAATTTTTTTTTTAAGAGACAGTCTGGTTGTGTCACCCAGGCTGGAGTGCAGTGATGTAATCATGGCTCATTGCAGCCTCAACTTCTCAGGCTCAAGTGATCCTCCCACTTCAGCCTCCTGAGTAGCTAGGACTACAGGTTGCATGCCACCACACACAGCTAATTTGTATTTTTTATAGAGACAGGGTGTTGCTATGTTGCCTAGATTGGTCTTGAACTCTTGGCCACAAGCAATCCTCCCACCTAGGCCTCCCAAAGTGCTGGGATTACAGGTATGAGCCACTGTGCTTGACCTATGATGTCTTTTAATGAACAGAAATTATTTTATCAAATGTGCCAGTTTTGTTTTTTTTAATCACATACTTACTGTTTCAAAAAATGTCAGTCTTTTTCTTTGTGGTTGCATTTTCTGTATTTTGCTTAAGAAATCTGTCTCTACCCTGAGATCATAAAAATATTCTACATTTTCTTCTAAGAGTTTTAAGGGTTTATTTTCACATTTAGGACTTTGATCCACCTAGAATTGAGTTTTTATGTGTTAAGGGGTATTGTCTTTCCAATTTGGATAGCCAATTGTCCCAGCTTTATTTATGAAATAAATTGTTCTTTGCCCACTAGTCTTCAGGGCATCCTCCACCAGAAAGCAGGTATTCTGGATCCCTGTGTGGATCCATTTTGAGGCCCTTCATTCTGTTCCATCATTTGTTTGTCAATCTCTATGTCATTTTCATACTATCTTACTTGTGGTTGTTTATAGTAAATCTCAATATTTGGAGGCCAAGTACCTGCCCAGAATTCTGCTTTGGGCAAGACTTAGCCTTCCTTGGTCCTTTGCTCCTTCATATAAATTGAAGTTTCAGCTTGTCAAATTATACGAAAAACTGCTTGGGGCTTTTGGTTGAAATAGCATTAGGACACTGGGTGCAGTGGCTCACACGTATAATCCCAGCACTTTGGGAAGCTGAGGCAGGCGGATCATGAGGTCAGGAGTTTGAGACCAGCCTAGCCAATATGGTGAAACCCCATCTGTACTAAAAATACAAAAATTAGCCAGGTGTGGTGGCATACAACTGTAGTCCCAGCTACTTGGGAGGCTGAGGCAGAAGAATCTCTTGAACCCGGGAGGTGGAGGTTGCAGTGAGCTGAGATCATACCACTGCGCTCCAGTCTGGGCAACAGAGTGAGACTCTCTCTCAAAAAAAAAAAGAAAAAAAAGAAAGAAGAAGAAAAAAGAAATAGCATTAGGACAATGTGAAGATAATTGCCTTTCTGTCCATGAACATGGTATGCATCTCCACATATTTAGGTTTTCTTTAATGCCACTTAATATTATTTATAATTTTCTTAAAGAAGTCTTGACAACTGTGCAGGGAAAACCTCTCTCAAACCATGTTTTTCTTCTGCTCTCACACCATCACAACAGTCACCAACACAGCAGAAGACTTCTGTGACCAAATAAATGTGTGGGATTTTCCCCATACACCAAGCAATGGATAACAGCTGGGTGTCCTCCAATTCAATTTCAACACTATCTACCTGGAGATAGTGTCAGATACCACAGAGTGAGGGCTCAGTTCCCAAGACTGGCCATCCTCTCCCAACCAAAGAAGAAGAGATGTGTAGGGTGAGGTATAAGGGAAGGGATGCGGGGTTTCCATGCCCTCCCTGGGTACGCTACCCTCCGGGAACCTCCACATGTTCAGCTACTTGGAAGCTCTCCAAACCTCGTCCTCTTGGGTTTTTATGGAAGCTTAATGATGTCAGTCAGCATTCCTTCCTCCATGATATAGGACAGGACCCTTTCTGGGGAGGGTCTTAAAACCCACAGTCCAAAAGATGGGGGAAGATTAGAGTTCTTCCTTGAAGTAAGTGAAACGAGGTCAGGAGAGTTTGTTTCCTGAGACCCAACTCACCCAACATTATAATAAAACACTGTAACTAGGGCTATGGGATTATGAACCAGGAACTGTGGATGAAAATCAATACAGATCATAACACCACAACGACTTATCTTGGAGACTTTATATTTGTGATTGCTTTTGTAAATATTATCTTGTATCCATGTATAGGTTTCCCAAAAATGTGCTTATAGTCAACTGCATATAATGTGCTTTTCCTCTCCTTATGGTGACTAACCTGCTATTATCGGACACCCACATTTCTGGTTCTCATTTTGTTGCAGTCTCACTAGGTGTTTAGTTTTCCCCTAACAACTTGGGGTTTGGGGGCTGGGCTCAATGGTTTAAGCCTGTAATCCCAGCACCTCGGGAGGCTGAGTGGGAGGATTGCTTCAGCCCAGGAGTTTGAGATCAGCCTGGGCATCATACGGAGACCCCATCTCTACAGAAAAATAAAATCTTGGCTGGTGTGGTGGCACACACCTGTGGTCCCAGCTATTCGGGAAGCTGAGGCAAGAGGATTGCTTGAGCTTGGGAGGTTGAGGCTGCAGTGAGCCATTATATCGCTACTGCATTCCAGCCTGGACAACACAGCGATACCCCATCTGGGAAAAGAAAAGAAAACAAAACAAAACAAAAATCAAATAAAAAAAGAATTTAGGGGCTGGGCGTGGTGGCTGAGGCAGGAGAATGGCATGAACCCGGGGGGCGGAGCTTGCAGTGAGCAGAGATCGCGCCACTGCACTCCAGCCTGGGCGACAGAGTAAGACTCCGTCTCAAAAAAAAAAAAAAAAAAAAAAAAGATAAAAAAGAATTTAGGGTTTTGGGCCTGACAGGCCTTTTAAGATGTCTTTTCAGAGTTTTGCATTTCTGACAACTGGATGGCCCTACCTGGACCCTTGACTCTCCACTCAACCAGTCCTGAGGCCTCCACCCAGAAGTGGACTCAGTACATGAGGACCATTTTCCTCACCCCTACGATTGCATCCCCACCCAGTCAGCAGCACCCATACCCTAGCCCCCTAAACTATCTTCAAAAAACCCTAGCCTCCAAATTTTCTGGGAGGCTGATGTGCACAATAATGAAACTCCGGTTTCCTGTTCAGCAGGCTCTGCGTGTATAAACTCTGTCTCTATTTCCATTCCCCTGGGCAGCAGACGAGATGAACCCACTGGGCGGTTACATACCTATCACTGACCAAACTCCTCTTCTGTGTCTTACACATGTTGGTGGTTCGATATACAAAATTGTTGGGTAGAAATTGTTCAATCATTCATTCTCTCTCTTTTTTTTTTTTTTTTTAAAGAGACAGGGTCTTGCTCTGTCATTCAGGCTGGAGTGCAGTGGTGTGATCACACAGCTCACTGTAACATCGGACGCCTGGGCTCAAGCAATCGAGCCACCCCAGCCTCCCAAGTAGCTGTGACTATGGGTGGGAACAAACATACCCAGCTAATTTGTGGGTTTTTTTCATAGACATGGGATCTTGCTACGTTGCCCGGGCTGGTCCTGGACTCCTGGGCTCAAGCGATCCCCCCACCTCAGCCTCCCAAAGCATTGGACATTCTTCCATTTTATAGATGAGGACCCTGAGGTTCAGAGAGCTAAAGTAACTCATCAGAGACCCCACAACTAGAAAGTACAGATGCAAGATTTAAATCCAAGTCTCTTGCTCCCAGGCTGGCTTTCTTTTCAGCGGTACCCCAGCTTTCTCACCAAGGGACAAAACCTCAGTTTAAAAAGAAAATAACCCCAGGAAAGGTAACACACTGATTTGAGCTCTTTTACACGTCATCTGTGGAGGTGAGTAAGAGGGTCTGAAAGGGGGCAGGGAAAGGATAAAGGTTAAAAGAGCGGCCGGAGGTAAAACAGAAAGTGTGCGGGCTGACACTTTTCACCCAAGGCTGAGATCTGGGCTGGGGGCTGGGCTAAACGTGGGGGCAGGCAGTGGTGACGCAGCTAATGGGAGGGGCAGGGCGGGTCGGTGGTGAGGTCAGGGCTGAGCATGACAGAAGCCGGGGATGGAGGAAGTGATTATGACCAGGAAGTAAGCCTGCTGAAACCACCCTTGGAGGGCTGGCAGAATATTCCTGGCATCAATTGACGTTTAAAAAATAGTAATAACTGCATCTTAAAAATCTCTGTGCCATTCACGTGGTTATTATTATTCCTGTTTTACAGAGAAGGAGACTGAGGCTCAAGACAGCCGAGGGGACTTGCTCAGGGCACCCGGCTAAGACTTGACAAAATCCAGAATGTGCTACCGGTCTTCGTGGCTCCTCAGGCCTCCCCTTCACTGTGCTTCACTGTGTAGTCATCTCGCTTCCTCCAAATGTGGCCGCACAATTTGGAGACCACACAAAGATCATCAGGGTTCTGCTTGATAGAAAATACAGAATACAGGCCGGGCGCGGTGGCTCACGCCCGTAATCCCAGCACTTTGGGAGGCCGAGGCGGGCGGATCACGAGGTCAGGAGATCGAGACCATCCTGGCTAACACGGTGAAACCCCGTGTCTACTAAAAATACAAAAAATTAGCTGGGCGTGGTGGCGGGCGCCTGTAGTCCCAGCTACTCGGGAGGCTGAGGCAGGAGAATGGTGTGAACCCAGCAGGCAGAGCTTGCAGTGAGCCGAGATCACGCCACTGCACTCCAGCCTGGGTGACAGAGCAAGACTCCATCTCAAAAAAAAAAAAAAAAAAAAAAAAAAAAAAAAGAAAGAAAAGAAAATACAGAATACAGAAGAGGTGATGAAAGGATAAAGATGCTGGTAATCTTATCATTGGGTGGATGCAGTATTAACCTCCCCTCTGTTCTGCCACTCCACACCCCATGCTCTGGGCACCCAGGACATAATTCCCTGCTAAAATATCCCCAAATCTATTTCCAGGGCCTACCTAGGCCTCTTTCCACATCTGATCTAACAAGAGTAGACCTAGGGCTGAGGGATGACCAAAGGGCAGCTTTAGGGGTGAGAGTGCGGGCAAGACAAGTTCAGGCTGGGCTGTCCACACAGCTTCCCAGAGGCTGGATCAGGGGCAGGAAGGGAAGGGGTAGGCAGGGATCGAGGACCTCCTTTTGCTCTCTTTCCCTGTGTCCCAAACTGGGAGTGACAGGTCTGGGTGGGGGTATGATTACTGTCTCTCTAAAACCGACATACCTCCAAGGAAGAAATTGTTCAAAAGGGTGGCAAGTGGTAAGCTAAAGCCCCTGAGCCTTCCCCAAGGTAACACCTGTAGAGAGTTTTTTGTGAGTCTGAGCAGGCCCCCAGGGAAGTCCTGGAGGACCGTAGCATCCCAGTTTGGCCCTCAGCCCACTGTTTGTTTTGCCCAGTTCTCAGTCTCTCAGCTTTGGAAATGTTAGGAAGAGAAAGGAGAAGCAAGGCGGCCAGAGTGCTGCGGAGCTGGGAGGGGCGTTTGACAGACAGCGCAGGGTGGGGCGTCAGGGATGCCGTGGACAGAGGAGCTTGGGGAAAAGAGAAGGGGCACTTAAGCGAAGTTTTCAGAAGCCTTGATGGGCCTTGTGTGGTGCAACACCCTCCTCCATCTCTAAAGGAAAACAGCAGTAAAATCTATGTGATTGAGACACTGGGTTCTGGCAATATGGTGGACCTGAACATATATACTCCTTATATGTATATTTCATAATAAAGAAAATACTTTTTAAAATCCACATGTTTGGCAATACTATAGGGTTGAATTTGTGGTTTGGAAGGAGATGGGCTCTGGTGGGATTGACCTCAGTTCAGCAGGAGAGCAGCTGAAGGAGCCAGTACCAAGTGGGTATTGAGTCTGCCTGTCTTCCTTCCTTCCTTCCTTCTTTCCTTCCTTCCCTCTTTCCTTCCTTCCCTTTCTTCCCTTCTTTTCTTTCTTCTGTTCCTTTCTCTTTCCTCCCTCCCTCCCTCCGTATCTTCTTTCCTTCCTTCCTTCCCTTCCTTCCTTTCTTCTGTTCCCTTCCCTTTCCTCCCTCCCTCCCTCCCTCCCTTCCTGCCTCCCTCCCTCCCTTCCTTCGTCCTCTCTCACTCCCTCTCTCTCTCCCTTCCTCCCTACCATCTACCTATTATCTGTCTATCCTTATCTATCTATCTATCTATCTATCTATCATCTATCTTCTATTATTATCTATCACCTACTCACTTTTCATGCACAAAATGGATTATGCTGTTCTGCAACCTAATTTTTAAATTCAATGCCATCTCTTGGACAGCTACATCAGCCCATGATGATCTGTGACATCCCTTCCAAAGTTGGCTGCATGTGTTAGGAGACATATTCTTGAAGGTTGAGGAGATACTATGTCCACATGTGGCTTCTGGGCTGGACAGGCCTGCGGTCATCCATTCAATTTTTTAAAAGGGCATTTGTTGGATTCTTGAAGTAACCTCCCACCCGGTCTCCTTGTCTCCCTGTGAGAGTTTATTCTTGGTACAACACACAGAGTGATTGTGTCTCTCTCCTGCTCACAACCCTCCAGGGGTCCCCATCTCACTGGGGCCCACAGGCCTGCCCTGCAGCATCCACATCATCTTCTTGGGGTCTTCACTCCAGTGTCATGTTCTCACTGACGTCTTCCCTGGCTGTCATGTTGAAAATGGCAACCCCTCTCCACCCAAGCACCCTTCCCCATGCTCCCCTGCTTTATTTTCTCACCACAGTTACCTGACATAGCCTATATCTTACTTACATGTTTGCTGTCTCCCAACTCCCCTACACGCACCCCAGAATGCCAACTCCACAAGACAGAGATTTTTGTCTGCTGGTTTTGTTCTATGTTTTTGGCTTTTTTTTTTTTTTTTTTTTTTGAGTCAGGCTTTCACTCTGTCAACCAGGCTGGAGTGCGGTGGTGTAATCATAGCTCTCTGCATCCTTGAACCTCCAAGGCTCAAGCGATCCTCCTACCTCAGTCTCCTGAGTAGCTGGGACTACAGGTGTGTGCCACCACACCTGGCTAATTTTTGTATTTCGTGTAGAGACAGGGTCTCGTTACATTGCCCAGGCTGGTTTTGAACTCCTGGGCTCAAGCAATCTTCCTGCCTCAGCCCCCCAAAGTGCTGGGATTACAGGTGTGAGCCACTGCACCTGGACTGTCTGCTGTTTTTAAATCTCAGTTATCCCCAGAATCTAGAACAAGCCTGGCACATCAGGCATGGCTCACTAGATACTTGTTGAGGTGAATTGAATCTAGAAGCTGATTTCTGCAGGCGTGTTGCCTCTTGGCTTGTTACAGAGGGAGAAGAACTTCCCATCATTAAACCGTCTACCTCTGACTCTCCTTGTTCTAAGTTGGATTATTCCCCCTTATTACCATTCTCCCAATTTGTCTCACATTTCATCATATTTAGAGCAGTTAACAGTTGGAATGCTCACCATCTCGTTGGATCCCCCACGATCTTCTTGGTAGAATCTTGGTTGGATCTTCTTGGTAGAAGAAGAAATGATTATTGTTGAGCTCTATACTGTTACTCCCTGCTTAAAACTCTCCAAATGAAGGACATCATGCTAAGTGAAATAAGCCAGGCACAGAAGGATAAATTCCGTGTTCTTACTCATAAGTGGGAGCTAATAAAGTTGATTCCATAGAGGTGGAGAGTAGAATAGTGGTTACCAGAGGCTGGGAAGAGAAGTGGGCAAGGAGGGGTAGGGAATGGCTGATTAATGGGTACAAACGGTTAAATAGAAGAAATAAGTTCTGATGTTCTATGGCACAGCAGGGTGACTATAATTAACAATAATTTATTATTTATTTTGAAGCAGCTAGAAGAGAGGATTTTGAAAATTCCCAGTACAAAGAAATAATAACTGTTTGAGATGATGGATATGTCAATTACCCTGATTTAATCATTACAGGTTGTCTGCATGTATTGAAATATCACGTGTACCCCATAAATATGTACAATTATATATTAATACCAATTAAAAGTTTTTAATGAAAATATTAGAAAGATCACGAAAAAAGTCATCTTAATAAGTCACAAATGAATTTAAAAAATAAAACCTCTCCAAATGGTCACCAACTCACTTAAATGAAAACCAGATACTTTAGCCAGGCACAGTGGTGTGTGGCTGTAGTCCCGGCTACTTGGGAGGCCAAGGTGGGAGGATCCCTTGAGCTCAGGAGTTTGAATCAAGCCTGGGCAACCTAGGAAGATCCTGTCTCCACAAAAAAAATTTCTGAAAAGGTACCTTATCAAGGCCCCTCTTCCCAACAGTGCTCCAGGTGCACTGGCCTCCCTCCATGTCCCCAGGCTGCTGACACTTGCTGTACCATCTACCTGGAATACTGTCTCTATTAGCTTTCTAAGGTTGCCATAACAAAATCCCATACACTGGATAGTGTGTGATAGTGAAACAACAAAAGTTTATTCCTCACAGTTCTGGAGGCTGAGAGTCCAAGATTAAGGTGCCGGCAGGTTTGGTCTCTCCTTGGCTTGCAGATAACCATTTTCTCACTGTGTCCTCTGAGGGTCTTTTCTTTGTGCTCACGCATCCTTGGTGTCTGTCCTAATCTCCTCTTCTTATAAGGACACCAGTCATTGGATTAGGGCCCACTGTGATGACTCATTCTAACTTAACTGCCTCTTTAAAGGCCTTATCTCCAAATACATTCACATACTGAAGTATTGGGGGTTAGGGCTTCCACATATGAATTTTGAGGGGGTAGCAATTCAGTCTATAACACTGTCCCAGTTCTTCAAAAGCCTGGTTCTAGCTGGGCATGGTGGCTCACACCTGTAATCCCAACACTTTGGGAGGCTGGAGTGGGAGGATCGCTTGAGCCCGGGAGTTTGAGACTAGACTGGGCAACAAAGTAGGGCCCTGTGTCTACAAAAAAACACAAAACAAACAAACAAACAAAATAAAAGTCTGATTCCTTCCTCCTCAGGATCTAAATATTAGCCTCAGGTGACTTCACTTCCTGGAAGCCATCCCTGGTCACCCCCATCCCATCAGTCCCTCTGTACCATAAGGCCCTGCTGATTTTTTCCCTTATGTACAATCTATTGTTACCACATTTGCCTATCTGCCTACTTGTTTATTGTCTATATCCCCTAGTGGTATCCTGGCAAATATTTAACATCGGCTTTTGGGTGCAGGATGGTTGTGGGTAGTGGGGAGGCTGCCTTACAGCGTCTGCCAATTTCTGTGGTGTAAACATACCCACTGTGGCCAATTTCAAACTACCAAAGTGATGTCACATGGCTGTCCAAATTCCTGAAAATCTAAAACAACCTGTTCTTGTGAGCAGGTGCAGTCTGGCTCCAACTCTCCCACTACCAGGTAGACTCCACTGAGGGCAGGAGCCTTGCCTTCTTCTTCGTAGTCAAGTCTCTAAGGTCTAGGACAGTTCCTAGATCAGAAATATGGCTCAACAACTTGAATTCATTCTTGAATGAATAAGTTAAATTCTTAATCCCAATCTGAAGACCTCCCATGAGTTTGCCCTTTTGGCCACCCTCATCTCTTTGCTGGCCCTTTGGCTGCCTGGGCCCCTTTACTCCCCAGATGTTGTGGTGCACCCCTGGCTATGTCCAGGTTCCCCAAAGGCCACATGTCCTTTCACTCCTCTCTTCCCAGACAGCCCTGAACCTGGATGACTTCTATTAGCCTTCCAGATGCAGCTGATGGCAGGCAATGTTTTTCTTAGCCCTGTGGGGTGACACGATCCCTGGGCTCACCAATTCCCTGGTGCCACCTTCTCTCTGGCCCCTGATCATGGTGGCTGCTTCTTCCTCTGCCTCCCTTGGGGCTCCTGACCCAATTTCCTGGCACACAGCAGGGCTCATGTGAGTAAGTGAAGGCATATGGCAGAATACCAGTTATGGGGCAGGGGTAGAATTGGTGCGGTGGGGAGTACTCACCTACGGCACAATTTGACCAAAGGCTGTACTCGCCCTGAAAGAATGAAGAAATTCTCCATTCATGAAAGTATGAAGAAACTGATGAGCAATTAAATGCCTGAGCCCAGAGTAATGATGATTAAGGAATGCTGGAAAAGGCATGATTACAAGGCTCTGACAGCATTTGAAAGTTCTAAGTTCCAGTGAGTTCAGGAGAGTGCTTTGGGTGGGCAGGGCCTGACTGTTATCAGAGGATGCTAGGCCCCTCGTTCCTGACCCATTAGATCACCAAGAGCTGAGAGTAAGGCAAGTTGTCACCATTTGTGCCCCACCTTACCTCACTGCATTTTTTTTTTTTTTTTTGAGTGGAGTCTCATTCTGTCATCCAGGCTGGAGTGCAGTGGCACTATCTCGGCTCACTGCAACCTCCACCTCTCAGGTTCAGGTGATTCTCCATCTCAGCCTCCCGAGTAGCTGGGATTACAGGTGTGCGCCACCATGCCTGGCTAATTTTTTTACATTTTATTTTTAGTAGAGAGGGGGTTTCACCATGTTGGCCAGGCTGGTTTCGAGCTCCTGATCTCAAGTGATCCACTCACCTCGACCTCCCAAAGTGCTGGGATTACAGGTGTGAGCCACCGTGCCTGGCCCTCACTGCCTTTTGAGAAGCAATTTGACCTGAAGGATGAGAAGGACCATGGGAAGATGTGGGGAAGGGGGTTCTTGCTGGTGGGTTCTTAAGGCAGGAGAGTGTGTTCTGTAAAATGGGATAACAATAAAGATTGCCTCCTACAGTGACAGAGAGGATGAAATGAGATATCATCAGCACAGTGCTTGGGACAGAGCTTGGCTTCCGGTAAACACTCACTGAATGCGGGAGGACAGTGTTCGCATGCGTTTGGCCACCAGAATGTCACCTTCCTGAGGCAGGGTCTCTATATCTGTCCCAGCTATATTTCCAGAGCCTAGAAACAGTGCCTGGCACCCAGTCGGCACTCAATACATGCTTGTTGAAGGCATGAGTGAGCTGATTACATAACCATCTTCTGGTAACAAACCCAGGGAGAGAGCTCCAGTGCCCCGGCGCTTGGTTCCCACGGCTCAGTGCCGCAATCTGTTTATTTCCCCACTCACCCTGCGCAGCCCTAGCAGGCAGTGACTGCACAGAGCTGATGACTCGGCCTAGTACTTCTCTAAATGCTGCCTGGGGCTGGTGGAATCTCCAGGGCCTGGCTCATCAGGGTGAGCTGATGACTTGGGGCCCAGTGCGGCCCACTTTCCCGTTAGCTCAGCCCGGGTCAGCGGGCTGGCTCAACCTTCGGGTTCTGTCCGGGGAAGGGAACAGAACATTCGGCCCCAGGCAGGAAAGACGTTGCACAGGCCCCTGAGAAGCGAGCCCTGGCCTGTCCCACTCCACTGCCTCTCTTTGTTTGTAGCTCACTTCTCTCCTCCCTCTGACCCTGAGGCTGCCCTCATCCTGGAAGATGATGGGGCTGTCCCGAGGAATATAGGCTTAGAGCTGGGGGCAAATTGATGGACGATCTAACAGTACCAATGTGCTGGACCCACGCTCAATCACTTAACTGAGCACTTACTCTGTGTCTGTTCCTATGCTAAATGAAAAGGTTGAATTTCACTTACTCTAAAGAAACACCCAACTATTTCCCAAATACTCTGTTCTTTGATGCCGCTCGGCCTTCACATGGGTTGTTCTTGTTTCAAATGCCTTTCCTGGTAAGTACTCAACCTTCAGCACCCAGCTCCTCTATCACCTCCTCTCAAAAGCCTTCCCCAGCTCACCCAAGACAGTAAAACCACAGTCTTTCCTGGGACCCCCAACATTTAGGCTTGCGCGTCTGTCTCGCACTGCGCCGTGGCACCTCCAAAGCCCAGGCTGGGCTCCATTCTTCTCTTGATCCTGGGGGTCCTTCTCCATGCCCAGCACACAACAGGGGCACTGCAGATGTTGGCTCCTCCCTTCCCAGTCCCTGGCCACTTCCTTTCCATCTCTGTATGCCCCTCGTCCCTTTGTCTGTGTATCATATTTTTGTTTTCATTCTAAGAACAATGCTCATCCTGTTATAGTTATTTGTTAATGTAAGTGGAATGACACAAATGAATCAATGACATTTGTCATTGTCTGGCAGGACACCACACAGGAGGTGTTCAATTATTTGCCTAATAGAATCCATGGTCACCTCCAGCAAGAAATCATCAGAATAGGTAGAGAAGGAGAGGATGAGGCCAGGACAAGGAGGAGAACAGAAGGTGCTGGAACTAACATTTTCTGACCTATGTGTGTCAGGCGTGTTTCATTTATTTCTCACCATAATCCTATTATGATCACCCTTCTTATGGATGGAAAATGAAGGCACAGAGAGGTGAGGTGACTTGCCCAATATCACACAGCAAGTGAGTGGCAGAGCTGGGGTTTGAGCCCCGTCTACCAAGCCCCACCCGTTGGACAGGGAAGGTGGAGTGTGCCTGTCGCAGAAGAGTGCGCAGAGAAGCAAGGAGAGACTGCAAGACACTGCAGGGAGAATGAATGGGTCAGACCCAGACCCCGGGCTGCACAGTCCCTGCCTTCCAGATGTTCTCTGTCATGGCTCCCCGGACAGATGCCCCCTGGCCCGTAGAACCGCCCCAGACTCCTCCAACACACTTAACCACTTTCCGTGGAGACCACTGTGCTTTTCAAGGAGCTTTTTTCTAATATTGACCCCAACCTATACAGTTCCCTTTCACTCCCTGGACCAGGGTTTGGGTTACCTTAACCCCTCAGGATTGCACAACGCCCACTGAAGGCTTCAGGAACCCACAACTTCTCAATAATGCTGAACTGGGTGAAATTTCCCAGTAGCCACCTCCTCCGCCTGACTAATGCTTCTTAGCTTGGCAATGCAATGTCCTATTTTTAAGGAACCCAGTCATTTGGTTTAGATTCTTTATTTGTTTTATTTTAATGACCTTCTGAATCATTCATTTTTCTACTTTTGAACTGATTCACTCTTCGCCACTTCCTTGTATAGAAATCCAACCCCTCCTTTAGGGCTCAGCACCAACACCCACCTTCTCCCGAAAATTATCCTCATACCATCCTCTCTCCAGGAAGAAGTATTCCCTCCCTCTCCCATTTCTGTGCCATTCATCTGGTATTTATTATATTGTCATGGTCATTATCATAATGATAATAATAATAATAATAATGATATGCCAGCTACTTGGGTCATTGCTTTTCATTTTTATCATGACCCCAGGAAGAAAGTGATTATTATTTACATTTTACAGAAAATGAAACTAAGCCTCAGGGAGTTTATACCTTTTGCTCAAGGTCACACAAAGTAAGTGATGCAGCTGAGGTGCTAGCCAGCTGAGCCCAACTCTGAAGCGAGTGTCTTGAAAGGCAGCTGTTTGCATGGGGTGCCTGGTACTGTGATGGGGGCTTGGGATGATTGCGCTTGGGGCTGTGATTTTGGTTTTGATGTCTGTCAACCCCCGCTGGAGACTATGAGCTCCACGAAGTGTTCTGTTTCCTGTTGCACTGTAAGTAATCAATATCTGGGAGCAAATAGCTGATGTTCCATAGACATCGACCCATGGCTGGAGGACTTCCTGTCCTTTCTATAGTGTTAGCAGCTTGAAGCCTTACACAGTTTTGCATTTCTTACAACATCAAGTGCTGGGTAGCAATCTTGATCAATGCTCATTGAATGAAGGAAGTAAGGGACAGGCATGGGCTTGGGGGCTTCCAGTGAGCTTATTTTCTAGCTGAAAACATTCGGTAGGAAATTTTCTAGAATGATCTCTATAGCTCAGGATGAATACTGTCAGATAAGACCTCCTCATCACTTTTTTCAAGTTAAAGTAACAGAATTTATAGACTAAGGGTTCAGTTGAGTTTAGGCAACACACATTTATGGATGTCTACTGTGGGCCAGACGCTTCACTCAAAGACAGCTGTGTGAGCAACCAGCCAGGCAGAGGGCCTTTGGGTGTCCACCCTCGCTCTCACTCCTTCTGGGAGGCAAGCTCCCTAGTGCCCTGAAAACAGGCAGAGTTGGAACCTTGGAAACTGGGGGAGAGAGGGGATAATAGCCATGTCTGGTCAAAGAAGACCAAGCAGTAAAGATCTCAACCTCGTCTGGGCACGGTGGCTCACGCCTGTAATCCCAGCACTTTGGGAAGCTGAGGTGGGCGGATCACAAGGTCAGGAGTTCGAGTCCAGCCTGGCCAACATGGTGAAACCCCATCTCTACTAAAAATACAAAAATTAGCCAGGCATGGTGGTGCACGCCTGTAGTCCAGCTACTCGGGAGGCTGAGGCGGGAGAATTGCTTGAACCCGGGAGGTGGAGGTTGCGGTGAGCCAAGATGGCACCACTGTACTCCAGCCTGGGTGACAGAGCAAGACTCCGTCTCAAAAAAAAAAAAAAAAAACAAAAAACTCAACCTCCCAAAGGCCCCTGAGAAAGGAAACCAAGCAGCAGTGGGAGACCTGGAGGCTGGCTCATCTCTCGTGGGGCATGAAGAGGGCGGGCCTTGGCCACCAAGGGGCCACAGAAGAACTGGATGAGGTGGAAGAGGTCTAGGAAGGATAATAAAAATGAGAGGCCAGTTGGAGGTGGCACATGGAGACAAAGAGGTCCCCTTATCCTTCAATTTCATGCTTTTCTCCTCAAATTCTGTCTTGTCTGCCATCCATATTGCTAGCCCTGCTTTCTTTGTGTTTGTGTTTTCCTGATACTCCTGTGCCCAGCCTTTCACATGTAACCACGAAGGGATACTTTGTCTCTGGTAGGGCTTCTGTTACCAGCATCTCATTGGCTTTTTGGTTTTAGGGCCCAAATCACAAGCTTCACCTTTTGATAGGAGTGGTCTCTCGGGGAAGCAGAGAGCCCAGTGGTTAAACCTGGCCTCTTGGAGCCAAGCTGCCTGGGCTGGACGGTCACCTGACAATCTGCTGACATCTATGGGGCCTCTCCTGTTTCCACCCTAAGGACAAGGGAGAGCATCCCCCCTTGGCAGGCCACGTGACAAGAACATTCCATTGGCATGCAAGGGACCCCCACATTTGGGGTGAGCGATTGGCCCTTTTTAACTCAAGAGCATCTTGACTGCTGGATTTGGCCAGAAGGGCAGGGATCCCTGCCCTGCTTCTTCTCGCGTGCAAGGATGAGACTCTGACATGCTGATGAAGTAATAGTAGTAATAGTACTAGCAGCAAACACTTACTTGGAGTTCACTGTGGGCCCAGCACTGTGCCAAGGCCTTCCCCATTTCATCTCGTTTGCATTTCTCTATATCGGGATTAAGAGCATGCGCTCTGAAGACAGACAGCCTAGGTGTGAATTTCAGCCATGCCACTTACTGGTTCGGGCAAGTTACTTTACTTCTCTGGGCCTCAGTTTCCTCACCTATAAAATGGGGTGAATAATAACACCTGATAATAGATCCTTTACACACAGTAAATGGCATATAAATATTACTATTCTATTTCAAAAAATCTAATATCAGCTTCCTCTTTCCTCGGCTTGTGAAAGGTAAATATTTAAAAGAGAAAGCTGATAGAGGGAACGGTTCATTTTTCAGAGCTTCAGGCAAAAGGGAAGGGACTTTTGCAAGAAGGAAGACATCAGAGTGGATCATTGTGGCCTGCATTTCCAAATGGGGAAAGAGAGGCTCAGAGAGGGTGAGTTAGTTGACCGAAATCACACAGCCAACAAGCAGTCGAGAAGGATTTGAACTCAGGCCTATCTGATGTCATAGCTCATGTCCTTGATTCCGACGCTATATAGCCAGTCCTGGTGGTCATGGAAAGATCAGGCTCCTGGCCCCACATTGAAAATGGAAATATGAGTCACCAGCCATCCCTAGGGGAAGCTAGGGAGTGAAAAGAGCTCAACTATGGGGCAGAATGTTCCGCCAGATGCTGGGGAGTGGCTGCCAGCACCACTCAGTCTCCTTCACGCCAAGGAAAGGGAGGAGGAGACAGCATGGAGGAACAGGGGTCGCAATCCATCGGAGCGCAGCCTGGAATGGGGCCACGACTTGGTGGGTGACGTCAGGCTCACACATCTGGCCTCTGGAATGCTGAAGCCTTGGAGGATGGGCCCAAGTTTCTGCTTCTCCATGCAGCAGGTTCCTCCTCTGAAATAACCCAGGCTGCTTTGTCGAGAAAAATCTCTGACTTTCTAGGCTCTCCTAGACAAACACAGATGATGATGTGTGAAATGTGCCTTCAGTGCCTGCTGATGAAGAGTAGGTCTCTGTAGAGAAAACATCAAAAGAAGAAAGGTTCGGGGTCAGCCAGCTCTGGGATGGATTCCTGGCTGTGTGAGCCAGGCCAGTGCTTTGGTTTTCTTTTCTTTTCTTTTTTTTCTTTTCTTCTTTTCTTTTTTCTTTCCTTTTCTTTCTTTCTTTTTTTTTTTTTTTTTTTTTGAGGGGGTAGTTTTGCTCTTTTTGCCCAGGCTGGAGTGCAATGGTGCAGTCTCAGCTCACTGCAACCTCCACCTCTTGGGTTCAAGCGATTCTCCTGCCTTGGCCTCCCAAGTAGCTGGGATTACAGGTGCCTACCACCATGCCCTGCTAATTTTGTATTTTTAGTAGAGACAGGGTTTCACCATGTTGGCCAGGCTGGTCTCGAACTCCTGACCTCAGGTGATAAGCCCACCTTGGCCTTCCAAAGTGCTGGGATTACAGGGGTGAGTCACTGCGCCCAGCCACCTTTGTTTTCTTGTCTGTGGAATGAGGCTCCTCTTCCTCTTATGCAGGGTCTGGAGAAGAGATGGCATGTAGAACACCTGGCACCAGCTGGATGTCCTGTCAATGCTTGCTGACTCCCTGTCTGAATCCATGGGCAAATGAGTGGGTGTGTTGTATGGCGTCCCAAAGCACTAGTGTGCCTAGGTAGGGGGCTACCACCTTGCTGACCGGCCTTGTTCGAGGCATCGTGCCTGACCTTCCTCTTCTGGGTCCAGTTACCACTTTGCTCCAAGGAGAACAAGGTCTTTTCTGGCCTTTTGAATGAGGAGAAGCTCAACCTTTTTGCTCCTGTTCATGACCATTGATGGGGCCTCACCTAAGATTTGATGCTTGCAGTGGTTCTACCCGGGAAAGTTCGGGACTGGCCGGTGTGACTTAATGAGATCAGTGATTCATTTTGGTCCCAAAAGGAACAAAAGCCCAGGTCTTCCCAAGGCCCCTCTGCTCTAGCTGGCCTGGTCCCTCCGTCAGGGAATGAGTCACCATCTTTCTCATGGGTGCTCCTATTTTCACTTTGCCTGGGCCTCCAGAAAGCAAACAGCAGCTTCCTCTTTTCTTTGCTCTTAGGGGTAAAAGGCAAGTATAATAGAGGCCTGAAAAGAGCAAGTAAGTCGGCCTTCCGTGGCGGCTGCTGGAAGGAAAAGGCTTCTCCGTGAGGGACCTTTGAACCAGAGCTGCGTCTCTCATGCGACCTTTTCCTCTGCCTGGCTGGAGGCAGGGCCTGCAGGCTGAAGTCCAAAATCCTTACCCAAAAGTGGAAAAACAACCCACCCTCTCCAGTCTGCTGGAATTTTAAAAAGCGTCCTTGATAATATTATTTGCCTGGGGCACCACCGAATGATTCCCTGCTTGGATAAACCATTCGACCTCAATTTCCTCATCTGCAAAATGAAGCTCCTCATCCCGAGCCAGGAAATTGTCACAGGCCACAAAGAAGATAACGTGGGTGCATCACGGAGCAGGTGGCCCAGGTGGGAAGAAGCCCCTGCTTGAGCTTCAGGGAGGAAGGAGCAGTGGAGACGGTGTGACCTTCCATGGTCTGTGCCTTTCTTCCCTAGAGCTCAAGTTTATCTGGAGGTCAGACCTCTGGCCAAAGGCTAGACCCTTAGTTACCTGGAGTCCACTGTAGGCCCAGAGTAACTGAACAGGAATTCTGAGGAGGAACTGGGAGTCACAAAGCCCAGGTCACATTTCTTTGAAGCCTCAGCTGAGACCATTGGCATCAAAGAAGATAGAGAGTAGAGGCAGAATGTCCTCAGAGGCCACCATCTCAAACAGTGGGATGAGGGCTGAGTCACTTCCCCTCTCTGGGCAGCGGGTTTTGGTTTTTCTTTAATCAATGAATGGGAGATGAAAATTCCTCCTTCACAGAGCAGTGGGATTTGGGCATGGTTTGGTGATTACGTCCAAATTGGCAGAATGAGGGCATCTCATCATGTGGAACCTGCTTTGCTCATCCTTATGGTTGGGATGATCATAATTCCTCCCCAGAAGGGATCTGTGATGATTGAATGAGACGCTCCTGCCACGCGCTTATGGCTGGTGGATCCGAGCATGCAGTAACTGATAGCTACCATGATACAAACCACCAAGTTTAGTCTCTGGCATAAAACAGGTGTTCAATAAATGCTCGCTACTGTTGAGGACAACGATGCTACTAACAGAAGACGCAAAAATAGAATAACGGAGTCTGTGCCATCAAAGAGGCAGTGGAGATCACAATCTTATTTTAGATCATCTGCTACCTTACCACGAGAATGTGGAGGCCCCAAGGGGAGAGATGCCCAGCCTGAGGCTGCCACAAACCACAGGCAGAGCCAGGATAGAAGCCCTGCTCCACTGCCCAGGGCTCTTGGCTGACCCCACTTCACCCAGCACTCTGGGGCCATTTAGAGTAAGGACGCTCATGGGCCTCAGTGCCCCCACCCCCAGGAATTGCTGGGTGACAGCCCAGGGCAGGAATGAAGGGGCTTCAGACGGACTGGAGTCATCTGGAAAGATCCAGAGGGAATTAGCAGTAGCAGCAGAGGCCAGATGCAATGGCTTATGCCTGTAATCCCAGCACTTTGGGAGCCCAAGATGGGAGGATTGCTTGAGGCCAGGATCATCCTGGGCAACATAGTGAGAACCTGTCTGTGCAAAAGACCAAAAAAAAACCAAAAAAATTAGCCAGGCATGGTGGTGCACACCTGTAGTCCCAGCTACTTGGGAGGCTGAGACAGGAGGATTGCTTGAGCCGAGAAGTTTAAGGATGGAGTGAGCTAGGATTGCCACTGCACTCCAGCCTTGGTGACAAGAGCAAGGCCCTGTCTAATAAATAAATAAATAAAAATGTAAAAACCAGCAGCAGCAGGGAAGAGCTGACACCGTTTAGAAAGCTCTGCTCCAGTGAGTCACGGTGACAGCTCCTCTTTGGAAGCAGTGCAGCTCTCTGGGACCCCACATGCATATACAGGCATGTGCATGGCTTGGAGACAACGATGGTGGAGGGCAACAATGGCCACCATTGGGTGAGTGCTGACTGTACTCCGGGCCATGCCAAGTGCATATATCTCACTAATCCTCATGGCAACCCTAAGGGGTCAGCACTCCAGGACCCAGCAAACTGAAGCACAGAGAGGCTAAGGCACTTTCCCAAGGCCCCACAGTTGGTCCCTGGTAGAGCTGGGATTTAAACCTGGACAGTGTGGCCCAAAGCCTGTGACCCTCCACATCAGCCTGCTACCCTAATAAATCTGCTACCCTAATAAATCACGCCTGTGTCACCCTCCTCACCGATTCACATGGTTTCCACCTCTGTGACCTCACGGTCTCCTGGTGGGCAGCCCCGTGAGGCTCCAAGGGTCCTACCCCTGTGCCCAGCACCAAGTAGGGTCTCACTTGCGCAGCGGGTATTTCCAAGCCCTACCACATGCCAGGGCCTGAACCAGGGAAGATCAGCTTGGTGCTGGTGATCATGGGGCAGAAATCAACCTGTCCACAGTCTGTCCCCTCTTGGGCACTGGAGGTGGGCAGGGTGGCCTCAGTTGGAGTGCCCAGCCAAGTGAGGGGCATGGCTGGGGTCAAGAGCTGGGCATCCTGGTCCCTGCCGAGTGCCTGCTGGGCACCTTGGCCAGTCCCTGCCCCTCACTGGGCCTTGCTTTTCCCTATCAGAATGAAGAAGCTGGGTGTGGGTGGGGGTGGTCCTGGCAGGCTCTTTGAGCTGGCCAAGGCAGTGGGGGTAGGACCCGCCTGAGGCCCCCGACCTGGCTGGCATCAGCCTTAGGCTCTGGTCTGAGAATCCAGCTGGCAGCCCTCAGCGGGTTCTTCTGGGCCAGAGCAGGCAGCCTGCTCCCAGGCTGGCCCCACCCGAGTCTCAGGCTGTGTCTCACATCCTTGGTTGGCCCCATCACATGCTGGCTCACAAGGTGATATCAAATATCCCTGAGTCCCTCCTCTGAGCTGAGGCCCTCACACCTCCGTCCTGACCTGGGAAAGTTCTCCTTCTGTCTGTGAACTCAGGAAGTTCAATAGCAGCAAAACATCTCCCAAGACACTGGGTCTGCTCTTCAAAGTCCCTTTGCAGACAGCTCCCCATTTCCAATTAGTAATGGCAGGTACCATTTATCAAGCGTCGCAGGTGTGAGGGGACTTTATATGCACCTCTTACCCTTGAACCTTCATAATCCCCTTTGTGGTACTATTATTATGATTGTATTTTACAGATGAGGAGACAGAGGTTCCAAGAGGCAGAAGCAATCAAGCAGTAACAGAGTGGAGAAGTGAGAGAGCTGGCAAACAGTGGGGGTGGGGGATGGAGGGGAGTCCTCACTCCAGAGCCCAGGGAATTTCCTTCCTATGTCTGCACTGCTGCTCTCTTGCCATTCAGAGTACCGACTCTGCACCAGGCATCCTGCTAGGTGTTGGTGCTGGGATGCACAGTGAATGGGCCAGGCCTGACCCCTGCATGAGCCACAGTCTACCAGAAGCCCCTAAAGTGCTGAGAATACTCATCAGAGGCCAAATGAGACTTCTTTTTGCCTCTACTCAGCTACCCCCCGCTCTACCACCTGCCAGCTGCGTGACCCTGGACAATTACCTTCCCTCTCTGTGCTTTAGTCCCATGAAAATGAAAAAATGGCAGAAATACTAATTTCTACCTCACTGGGTGATTGCAAGGAATGAATAGGAAATGCACGTCAATCAGTAATGCCAGTGCCTGGCCCAGAGAAGGTGCTTGGTGTCCCATCTAGGTCTGTCTTCGTTCCATCTGCAAGCATGCTTTACCAGGCTGTTGTCATCGCCAAACTCCATTTGAAGCTGAAGAGGCTCTGAGGGGTGAAGTGGTCCATTTAAGGCATAGGCTAAGAGGTGAAGCTGAAACAGAGCCCTCCAGGGTCCCGGATGCATGCTCTCTTTCCCTGGAACCCCTGGGCACCTGTACACCTCTGACCCTTCCCCTCTGGGTTCTGAGTCGCCTCGGAAGGAGTGGGAGGTGAGGGGTTAAGCAGGCTGCTTGGCACTGCAGCAGAAATCTCAGGAAGTACTGGGCTGAGAGTACTTCTAAGAAAGAGGGAGGCAGAAAAGGACATACTCATCCTGGCCTCAGTGGGCAGAGGTCAGCCTGGCTCCCGGCCCAGAGGCTTGCCCTCGAGGGGCCCCCGGCCTCCAGCCCAGCTTGGCTCAGCATACAAATGAAGTATTTGATGCCCCATGGTGGACCTCCTCCTTCCAGATTCTTCTTCAGGCCTGCCTCTCCTGGCCTTCCTGGGTAGATGCCCACAGCTGAGGCCTGGGGCGAGATGACCAGGGCTGGGAAGAAAGCCCTCAGCCCCCTCCACCATTCAGGCACTCTGAAAGCACTGTGAGGCCTGCACTTTGGGGTCAGGGGACTTGGCTCTGCCCATTCTGCAGGGAAGGCCCTGGTCACGTGACCAAATGGCTCTCAGCCCCAGGGTTCTTGTCTGTAAACAGGAGAAATAATAGTATTGCCTCCCTGGGATTAGGGGAGGCCTTCATTTCTCTTAAGTTCCTGGCCTGGCAGGTGCTATGCTTCTGGTTGGGGAAGCAGTTGCTAGGACCCTGCTCCAACAGGCTTAGGGCTGGAGCAGGGATTTCCTAGCGCTTCCCCATGCTTCAGGTTTCCTGGGGGTCTTCCTTAGGCTGTAGAGTTACCTGGCTTCTGCTCTGTGTCTAGCCAGGAGAGCCTGAGGCAGAGTCCCAGGACGGTGCCAGAGTGGAGCCGGGCCTCAGGATGCCATGAATTTCAGGGTCCTAAAATTCAGGAGCTTGTGTGGCTTAGGACCAGCACCAAGGGACCCTGAGCCTAGCCTTGGTGTCCCTATCAGCAGCCCAAGGACCCTGAGCTGGCCCTCACAGAGTGTCATGTGGCTTTTACCCTAGATAACACAGCCCTTGGAGCGTTCTCCTACCGCTGCCTGGAGTTTTCTCTGAAACACCCAGAGGCGGGGCCTGGTGGCTATGTCAGTGTGAGGTCACTAGAATGACTTGTCTCCACGACCTTGATCTAGTGATCTAGTGGAGCTCCAAGGCTAGCTGACTCGGGAACCCAGGACCACCCCCAACCCCCACCAGTGCCACCATCCCACAGGGCCTCCCCAGCTTTTCTGTTACCACAACCCACGGCGGGATCCAGGCTGCCGAGCTTAGGGACTTTTGAAGGGGTTTTGGAGGGCTCAGCAGCTCAGCCCTGTGGGCTTCAGCTCACAGATTCAGCCCCCACTGAGGCGTTTCCTTTCCATGGCTATTTATGGGCGTTTCCTGTCCCTTGAATAGGGAAAGTAAAAGGAAGCAAAAGAAACTGACCTGTGGGTCCTTGAACAGCTGGCAAATCATCTCCATTATTATTGATTTTAAAAAGCATACAAGCGGCCAGGCGCAGTGGCTCACGCCTGTAATCCCAGCACTTCGGGAGGCCGAGGCGGAGAGATCACCTGAGGTCGGGTGTTCGAGACCAGCCTGACCAACATGGAGAAACCCTGTCTCTACTAAAAATACGAAATTAGCTGGGCATGGTGGAGCATGCCTGTAATCCCAGCTACTCGGGAGGCTGAGGCAGGAGAATCGTTTGAACCCAGGAGGCGGAGGTTGCAGTGAGCCTGCAGTGTCCAGGCTGCACACCAGCCTGGACAACAAAAGTGAAACTACGTCTCAAAAAAAAAAAAAAAGCATACAAGCTTGGAGTAAAGAATGCCAAAGCTAGAAAATAAGCATGGAAAAGGGCAAGTCTAATAATAGGAGGGAATCCATGCTGGATACTTCAACCCTCCAGTGAACATATGCTGAGCACCTACTATTTGCCAACCACCATGCAGATTCCTTGACTTGCTATTTTCTCTCCATAATATATGCTGGGCATGAAAGATAACCCTTTAAGTCAGTAGTTTGCAGCCCTGAGACTGTATGTTGGGACCCTTGTGAAGATGTTTAAATTCCACATGCCCAGGCCTACCCCAGGTGAGTGACATCAGAAGTTCTGGAGGTGGGGCTCAGGAGGCAGGAATCACGAAAGGTCCTAGGTGAGGAGCCTGGGATGGAGTATTGCTCTGGGCTTCTCCGGGCCGCTAGCGTCGGAGCCGGCCCTCCACGTGGCATGTGAGGTGTTTCACTTGAGTTCGTGTGAAGAGACCACCAAACAGGCTTTGCGTGAGCAACAAGGCTGTTTATTTCACCTGGGTGCAGGCGGGCTGAGTCTGAAAAGAGAGTCAGTGAAGGGAGTTAGGGGTGGGGCCGTTTTATAGGATTTGGGTAGGTAAAGGAAAATTACAGTCAAAGGGGGTTTTTCTCTGGCGGGCAGGGGTGGGGGTCACAAGGTGCTCAGTGGAGGAGCTTTTGAGCCAGGATGAGCCAGGAGAAGGAATTTCACAAGGTAATGTCATCCGTTAAGGCAGGAACAGGCCATTTTCACTTCTTTTGTCATTCTTCAGTTACTTCGGGCCATCTGGATGTATACGTGCAGGTCACAGGGGATATAATGGCTTAGCTTGGGCTCAGAGGCCTGACAAGGTGAAAAGTAGTGTGTGCTTGCATCTGAATCTCACTGTGCTGCTTTCTGCCTGGGAAAATGGTGGGAGGGAAGTCAAGGAAATACCCCTTTATTTTAACCATAATGGCATAGTGTCTCTTTCTCCTTGGGGAGATTGTGACAGCTTGTCCTAGGAAGAGCTTACCCAGGTCATTCCTGAGTAGGTTAGCCCTGGTGTCACCTCTTCTGTTCATTTCTACAGGAAGAATTTCATCAACGCTTAGCTCATTCTGGAATTTGTTATTTTGACAATTTGGCAGTTCAGTTTACTAATGTATTATGTGTGTTTACGTGTGTGTTTCTGTGTGTGTGTATGAATGTGTGTGTCTGTGTGTGTCTGTGTGTCTCTTTCTGTGTGTCTGTATAACTGTGTGTCTCTGTGTATGTATGTGTGTGTCTCTGTATGTCTGTGTGTCTCTAGAGGTCTCTCTGTGTATCTGTGTGTCTCTGTGTGTCTCCAGATGTCTGTGTATCTGTGTGTGTGTGTGTTTGTGTGTATGTATGTGTGTCTCTGTATGTCTCTCTGTGTGTCTGTGTGTGCCTCTGTGTGTCTATGTCTCTCTGTGTGTCTGTGTGTGTTTGTTTCTTTGTGTGTGTGTGTGCACCACCTAAATGACTCATGTAGGAGATGTCACTGCTACTCCCCCATCCCCTAGGTAAGGAACAGATTTAGAGGCCAACGGCGGCACGGTAACCATGTACTCTCTGCCCTTTCCTGCCCAGCAGCCAACCTGCCTCTGGACTTCCCGCTCGCTTAGCCCGGCTCCCCACGGTCCTCTAGACAAATGTCTCTGTGTGTGTCTGTGTGCTTCTGTGGCTGTGACCTTGGGCAGGCGCTTTACCTCTCTGGGCCTGCAGGTATTGGGGGATAGAATAGGGCTCATGATATAAGTGGTGGGCTTGGTGCTTACTGTGTGTCACTGTGCTGAGGACTTTCCTGTGAACCTATCTCCTCCTCACCCTCCCAAATGAAGTGTGTCCCACTGTCCTGGTACCATACACATCCATCCGTCCTTGCTCTGCCCACTGTGTCCAGGGTTCTTGCTTCACTCAGGGGAGAAACCCCCCATCCTTTTGATGGCCTGAGAGGCCCTGCAAAGTCTGGTCCCCTACCTTTCTGCACTCTTTCCTCCTCTCTCCCCCTCACTTATGCTGTCCCCCTACACTGGCCTCCTCTCTCTCTCCTTCCTTCTCTTCATTCATTCTTCCTGTCTCTCTGTTTCTTTCATATAACATGTTTTTATCATCCAGATGCATCAGCTTCTCCAACCAAAGTTTTCGTTTACCTATATTTTTCTCTTACTTTCTATTCTCCACCAACCCTTTTTAGGGAAACAGTAGGTTGTTTGCTCACTTCGTTCACGTTAAGTGGGCTATTTTCCCTTTTGCCCAGGGTTCTCTTATATCTAGGATAAAATCACATTAGGTTAAATATATTGTACTTTTGCCATGCTAAGTTTTTCTTTTTTTCTTATTCTCACACTAATGTAAATCTCAATCAAACACTTCCTTGACAAAAGAAAATCGGAAGTGGCATTCTCTTTCTGCTTGGCTCTGGCTTTCCAAATCACACTTATTAACTTTGTAAGCCTTTATTAAGTCCCATTTGTCCTCAGAAGTTTATACCGAAGTGGAGAGCTGACTATATAAATGAATACAAACCAGTGCCCATCCTACGTGGGGTGGGGTGGTGTCTACAATGCTACCATGCCCAGCAAGGGCTCCATGGCAAAAGAAGTGGGTCCTATCCTTGCCTAGTACAGCCAGAAGGCCTTTTGGGTCAGGTGTTCAACACTGAATTATTGAACTTGAACCTTGAACTCTGGACCCTGTGGTTCCCTGGCCAGAGTTGAGCTGAGAGCAATGTGAACAACGTGCTGAGATTGTCCAAAGTCACAAGGAAAATGGTGGAAGGTTCACCCTTGCTGTTGCCAGAAAGAGGCATTTATGGATTTTCTTTTCTTTTCTTCTCTTTTCTTCTCTTCTCTCTTCTCTCTCCTCTTCTTTTCTTTTCTTTTCTTTTCTGACAGGGTCTTGCTCTGTCGTCCAGGCTGGAGTGCAGTGGCACAATCTTGCCTCACTGCAGCCTTGACCTCCTGGGCTCAAGCGATCCTCCCACCTGAGCCTCCTGAGTAGCTGGGACTACAGGTGTGTGTCACCACACTCAGCTAAGTTTTGTATTTTTTATAGAGATGGGGATTCACCATGTGGCCCAGACTGGTCTCGAAATCCTGGACTCAAGCAATCCTCCCACCTCAGCCTCCCAAAGTGCTGGGATTACAGGTGTGGCCACGGTGCCGGGCCTTGTTTTTTTCTTGTTTCCAGTTTAACTTCATACTGTATATTGTGTGGGCCTTTATTCCTGAATCATGGTTAAACTCCTTAGGCTTAACTTATGGGCCTCAAAATTATTGGGCAGTTACATTGTCTATCTCCTTATTCCTTATTTTAGTAATCAGTTACTGTTAGGCCATTCTGGCATTGCTATAAAGAAATATCTGAGGCTGGGCGCGGTGACTCACACCTGTAATCCTATCACTTCACGAGGCTGAGGCAGGTGGATCATGAAGTCAGGAGTTTAAGACCAGCCTGGCCAAGATGGTGAAACTCCGTCTCTACTAAAAATACAAAAATTAGCTGGGCACAGTGGCAGGAGCCTGTAATCCCAGCTACTTGGGAGGCTGAGGCAGGGTAATCACTTGAACCAGGATGATAGAGGTTGCAGTGAGCTGAGATCGAGCCACTGCACTCCAGCCTGGGGGACAGAGTGATACTCCATCTCAAAAAAAAAAAAAAAAATTCTGAGACTGGGAACTTTATAAGAAAAGAGGTTTAATTGGCTAATGGTTCTGCAGGCTATACAGGAGGTATGGCACCAGCATCTGTTTCTGGGGAGGTCTCAGGAAGCTTCTAATCATGGCAGAAGGCAAGGGGGAGCAGGCACATTACACAGTGAAAGCAGGAACGAGAGAGACAGGGTGTGGGGGGTACCATATACTTTTATTTTATTTGTTTGAGACGGAGTCTCGCTATGTCCCCCAGGCTGCAGTGCAGCGGCATGATCTTGGCTCACTGCAGACTTCCCCTCCCAGGTTCCAGCTATTCTCCTGCCTCAGCCTCTTGAATAGCTGGGATTACAGGCGCCCACCACCACGCCTGGCTAATTTTTGTATTTTTAGTAGAGACTGGATTTTGCCATGTTGCCCAGGCTGGTCTCGAACTCCTGGCCTCAAGTGATCTGCCCGCCTTGGCCTTCCAAAGTGCTGGGATTACAGGTGTGACCAGATCTATCATGAACACAGCACCGAGCCATGAGAGATCCACCCCCATGATCCAAACACCTCCCACCAGGCCCCGCCTCCAACACTGGGGATTACAATTCAACATGAGATTTGGGTGGGGACAAATATCCAAACTATGTAAGTTATGCACTCTTATTTGGAATTAACACAATGGATACCCCTCCACTCAATTCCATTCATACAGTCACAGATAACTAGGCCAAAAACCAACAACAGAAGGAATACCAAAAGAGGTCACCCAAGCATTAAGAGATACTCCCCATAGTGAAGTAAAACTAGCATCCTTTCTTGCAGCCAAAACACTTTATGCCAAATACTGAATTGTGTGTAGACATACTAATACGAAGCATTTGTTTTTAAGTTTTTGGCATAATTTTGACCATAATTATTTTGACTATTTTTTTTATTAATACCCAGTATTGAGATATTTTAAAAAGTAAGTTGAATTTATTTTAGATTAAGCTCCATTAATATTGTAAATGTTCTCAAATAATAGCTATTAATGGGCAGAACAAATAAAATACTGGATTACCATAAAAAAAGAAACTCAAATCTTTTTTAAAAAATAGATCTATTGAGGTACAATTTAAATACTGTAAAATTCAACCTACTCAAGTATACAATTCAATGTTTTTTTGTAACTTTACCAAGTAGTGCAACCATCACTATAAATCAATTTTATAGCCAGGAGCAATTGCGTGTGCCTTTAATCCGAGCTACTTGGGAGGCTGAGGCTGGAGGATTGCTTGAGCCCAGGAGTTTAAGACTAGCCTGGGCAACAAAGCAAGACCCCATCTCTACAAAAAAAAAATTTAAAATTAGTCAGGCACAGTTGTTCATGCCTACAGTCCCAGCTACTCAGGAAGCTAAGGTGGGAGGATTGATTGTGCCTGGGAGGTTGAGGCTGCAGTGAGCCAGGATCACACCACCATACTCCAGCCTGGGCAACAGAGCAAGATCCCATCTCTTAAAAAATTAATTAAAGGGCCAGGTGCGTTGGCTCACGCCTGTAATCCCAGCAATCTGGGTGGCCAAGGCGGGCGGATCATGAGGTCAGGAGTTCAATACCAGCCTGGCCAACATAGTGAAACCCTGTTTCTACTAAAAATACAAAAAATTAGCTGGGCGTGGTGGTGGGCACCTGTAATCCCAGCTACTCGGGAGGCTGAGGCAGGAGAATCCCTTGAACCCGGGAGGTGGAAGTCGGAGTGAGCCGAGATCCCGCCATTGTACTTCAGCCCAGGTGACAGCATGAGATTCCATCTCAAAGAACAACAAAAACAACAAAAATTAATTAAAGATCAATTCTAGAACATTCTCATGGTTCCCAGGAATATTCCTCCCTGATGCCCACTTACAGATAATCATGTTCCCACCTCAGACCCAGCCATTAATCTGTTTACTGTTTCTCTAAATTTGCCTTTCCGGACATTTCATATAAATGGAATCATACAATACGCAGTTCCTTGTGCCTAGCTTCTTGAACTTTCCCACCTTTGAGGTTCATCCATACGGCAGCGTGCGTCAGCAGTTTGCTCCTTTCTGTTGGTGAATAGTGTTCCAGTGCATGGATAGAGCACATTTTGCCTATTCATTCATCAGTGGATGGATATTTAGGTTGTTTCCAGTGTTTGGCTATTATGGATTATGCTGTATGAACAGTGACTCACAAGTCTTTGTTTGTATAGTACCTGTTTTCATTTCTCTTGGGTAGATACCTAGGGAGTGGAATTGCTGGGTCATATGGTAATTGTATGTTTAACTTTTTGAGGAACCTCCAAACTGTTTTCCAAAGAGGCTGCACCACTTTATATTCCCACCTGCAATGTATGAGGGTTCTTGTCTTAGTTTGTTTTCTGCTGCTATAACAGAATACCACAGACTGGGTAATTTATAAAGGTCCCACTACTTAATACTGCAAATGGCAATTAAATTTCAACATGGGTTTTAGAGGGGACATTAAAACCATAGCAGTTCTGTTTCTCCACATCCTAGCCAACTTCTGTTATTATCTGTCTTTGATTAGTCATTCTAGTGTGTGTGAAGTAGTACCTCATGGTGATTTTAATCTGTATTTCCCTAATGACTAATGTTGTGGAGCATCTGTGCATATTTTATTAGCTATTGGTATATCTCCTTTGGAGAAACAGCTGTTCATATATTTTGCTTCTTTTCTTTTTTAATCCTCACTGCTAGACCACCAGGGATTTTGCTCCTTTGTCGTCGTTGTTGTTATTAAGTTTAGAAGTTCTTTGCAAATACTGGATACAAGTCCGTTATCAGATTTGGTTTTGCAAATATTTTCTCCTGGTCTGCTGCTTCTCTTTTCGTTTTCTTAGTGGTGGCTTTCTTCAGCTTTATTGAGGTATAATTGACAAATAAAATTATATAAATATAAGGTGTACTCGATCCTAACCCTAACCTTAACCCTTATTCATCCTCAATAACTGAAAGTTTGTACCCTTTGACCAACATCTCCCCATTTCCCCTACCTCCCAGTGCTTTGCAACCACCATTCTATTCTTTGATTTTATGAGTTCGACTTTTAAGATTCCACATGTAAGTGAGATCCCGTTCTGTGTCTGGCTTATTTCACTCAGCATAATGCCCTCTGAGCTCAACAGCATTGCACGTGAACACCCTTATGCCCATCATATAGACACAACAATTGTTAATGTTTTGCCACGATTAATTGATTTATGTGTGCATATTTTTCCTCCCCAAACCATTTGAGACCAAGTTGCCAACATCATGACCCTTCTCTGCTAAATACTTCAGCATGCATCTCTTAAGAACAAGATATTCTTCTAGGCACCCACCAAAGTGGAATTAACAATTCCATAATATTACCTAATATCCAGTCCATAGTCAGGTTTCCCTTGTCCCAGAGGGTGCTGTCAAGTTTTTGGATTTTGGCTAATCTGATGATGGATGAGAAACAGTCTCTTAAGTAATTTTCTTGTCTCTTATTATGATTAACAGTGGAAATCTAGGCCAGGTGTGGTGGCTCACGCCTGTAATCCCAGCACTTTGGGAGGCTGAGGCAGGCAGATCACCTGAGGTCAGGAGTTCAAGACCAGCATGGCCAACATGGTGAAACCCTGTCTCTACTAAAATTACAAAATTAGCCATGTGTGGTGGCGGGTGCCTATAGTCCCAGCTACTGGGGAGGCTGAGACAGGAGAATAGCTTGAACCCAGGAGACGGAGGTTGCAGTGAGCTGAGATCATGCCATTGCACTCCAGCCTGGGTGACAGAGCGAGACTCTGTCTCAAAAAGGAAAAAAAAAAAAAAGAATGGGCATTTAACATGTTCAGAAGGACTGTAGTTCTTTTTCTGTAAACTATCTGCTCACAGTTTTTGTCTATTTTAAAATCATATTTTTGGCTTTTTCATCCTTTGTTTTTAAGAACTCCTTTAAGATAGGTGGAATTGGCCTTCATCTGTAAATTACAATTTTTTTTCCCATTTGCCTTTATTTTTTATTTTTGTTTATTTATTTTTTTTGAGACAGAGTCTCACTCTGTCGCCCAGGTTGGAGTGCAGTGGTGTGATCTCGGCTCACTGCAAGCTCCACCTCCTGGGTTCACACCACTCTCCTGCCTCAGCCTCCTGACTAGCTGGGACTACAGGCCCCCCGTCCCCACACCCAGCTAATTTTTTTGTGTGTGTGTATTTTTAGTAGAGATGGGGTTTCACCGTGTTAGCCAGGATGGTCTTGATCTCCTGATCTCATGATCCGCCTGCCTTGGCCTCCCAAAGTGCTGGGATCACAGGCATGAGCCACCACGCCCAGCCCCATTTGCCTTTTTTTAAATAAAATTTAATTTTGCTTATGGAGCTTTAGGCATAAAAAGCTTTCTAAAAATTTGGCTTTAATTTTTATATAGTTGAATTTATCAAAATTTTCTTTCATTGTTTGTGGCTTTTGAGTCCTAAATAGATAAAAAATTTTCTTACTCCTGGGTTATAAATACATTTCCCTCTGTTTTCTTTTAAAAGTTGTAAACTGGCCGGTGTGGTGGCTCACACCTATAATCCCAACACTTTGGGACGCCAAGGCGGATGGATCACTTGAGGTCAGGAGTTTGAGACCAGCCTGACCAACAATGGTGAAACCCCATTTCTACTAAAAATAGAAAAATTAGCCAGGCATGGTGGTGGGTGCCTGCAGTCTCAGCTACTCAGGAGGCTGAGGCAGGAGACTTTTGAACCTGGTAGGCGGAGGCTACAATGAGCAGAGATTGCTCCCCGGCACTCCAGCCTGGGTGACAGAGTGAGACTCTGTATCAAAAAAAAAAAAAAAAAAAAAAAGAGTTGTAAACTTTCCTTGGCTGGTTCAAAGGTAGAGAGTTATCTCAATGATTTGTTGACTGTCAGTTACTGATCAAACTCCTTGTTCTACCCTTTCCCCTCTTCTCACTACTGTAGTTGACTAGTCTTAAAAAATGAAAAAATAATAAAAAAGAAGTTGTAAGGTTTCATTTTTTAAAATCTGGATCTCTGGACCATTCGGTGTTTATTCTGATGTTTGGTGTGAGGTATGGATCCACTTTTATCTTTTTTCCAAATGCAATGCCATGGTTCCAGCATGCTTATTAAGAAGTCTTATGTTCCAGTGATCTGAGACGCCACCTTGGCCATGCACCAAATCTTCATGTGTACTTGGATACATTTCTGGACTTTCTATTGTGTTCCATTGGTCTGTCTCGCTATTTGTTTCCAGGTACACCATTTTTATTACAGAGGCTTTAAAACATTAAAAAAAAAAAATTTAGAGGCCGGGTGCGGTGGCTGACGCCTGTAACAGTCCCAGGAATTTGGGAGGCTGAGGCGGCTGGATCATGAGGTCAGGAGTTCAAGACCAGCCTGGCGAAGATGATGAAACCCCGTCTCTACTAAAAACTACAAAAATTAGCTGGGCGCAGTGGCAGGCACCTATAATCCCAGCTACTTGGGAGGCCGAGGGAGGAGAATTGCTTGAACATGGGCGGCAGAGGTTGCGGTGAGATGAAATCGCACCATGGCACTCCAGCCTGGGCGACAGAGTGAGACTCTGTCTCAAAAAAAAAAAAATATTTAGAGACATGATCTCACTCCATCCCCCAGGCTGGAGTGCAGTGGTGTGATCATGGCTCAATGCAGCCTCAGATTCCTTGGCTTAAGCAAGCCTTCCACCTCAACTTCTGGAATAGCTGAGATTACGAGTGCACACCACCACACTTAGCTAACTTTTAATTTTTTATTTTTGTAGAGATGGAGTCTCGCTATGTTGCTCAGGCTGGTCTGAAACTCCTGGGCTCAAGCAATCCTCCCATCACAGCCTCTCAAAGTGCTGGGGTTACAGGCATGAGCCACTGTGCCCTGCCAATTACAGAAGCTTTATGATGTGTTTTAATGTCTGGTAGGGCTTACCTCCACCCCATTGCCCTTTTTTAAAAAAAACAATTCTGGCTATTTTTGCTTGTTTATTATTTCATATCAACTCCAGAATCAACTTGTTTAACTCCAGAAAAAAACACCTACCCTCAATATTTTGGTGACGATCATGTTAAACGAATATATTTACCTGGGCCAGTTGGACCTGCTTGTGGTATCGAGTCACCCTATCCAAGAACAAGGGGTGTTTTTTTCTCATGTTTAGAACTCACACCTTCACTGCACACAGAAGGAGGCTCTCTTTGGGGCACAGGCCCTCCGGAGGGTTGAAGTGTGCCCCCAAAAAACATATGTTCAAGTCCTAATCCCCAGCACCTTGATCTCAGACTTCCAGCCTCCAGAACCATGAGATGACACATTTTTATTTAAGCCGCTCAGTCTGTGGCGCTTTGTTACGGAAGCCCTAGCAAACTAATTCAGGCCCCCGGAGGATCTCCTAGGGAAGAATCGAGCAGCCCAGCTACAGCTTGAGGATATCCAGAAACACCTGTGTGCTCTCCTGTCCCTGATCCTGGGCAGGCTCACACAGGCCTGTTTCTTGCCTGCCATGAAGCTAGGTGAGTGGATCAATAAATGCATCGCAGTGCTGGAGGTGTGACTTCACTCTCAATGGGTGGCCAAACCCACTGAGGTCAAGGCCAGTGAATGAATCATTTGTCCAATGCAGCTCAGTGAGTCAGGCAGGGCCAGGCTGAAAGCCTGAGTTTGGGGCATATTTCCTTTCTCTTTCCTTTGGAATCTAGAAGCAGTCCCCTATAAATTATTATTCCAAGAAACAAACAGCGAAATTGTGCAGCATGCTGCCTTCATACTACGCCTGCTATGTGCTGTGGAGCGATAAGAACAAAAATCTTAGAAAGCGGAGAGTCACAGCCCTTACTGTGTGTCTTTGGACAAGTCAGTTCACCTCTCTGGTCCTCAGTTCCCTCATTTCTTCACATGGAGATAGTAAGGGTACGCATTTCACAGGGTTAATGTCATGATCATACCAGGAAATGAATATAAAGCGCCTAGCAAAATACTGTGTCTCAGTAGAGATTGGCAATTACTAATAAGAACTGCCCCCACATTACTTACAAAGGCAAAATTGGGATGAACAATTTCTGCATCTTCAGCTATGATTCTGAACATAGTGCCAATAATTTTTCCTCCTCCTTTTCCCAGAGATGAGTTTGGAACAGACAAACTGTGATCTCATTTGCTTCCACCAACATTGGTTACTAAGTGTTAGGTTCTGATTATGAAAATGAAAGTATGTCTCAATTCATATTCTGCTTGAAAAAAAAAAGAGTCAACAGAAAGCTGTCACTTCTCACCGCAGCATCAGTTCCCCCTGTGGCGGGGTGTGGCTTGGGGCCATTGTTGGCAGGCTGCGTCCTTGGTTCAGGGATGAAGCTTGTGTGAGTCACGGAGGCCCTGCTGTTCCCGGTCCCTCTCCTGGGCTCTTGGGCTCATCTTCATTTATTTGTCCAACAAGCCTTGCTTTGAGATCTGTACTGGGGACCAAGAGAGACAAGAAATCATGCCCTAGCTTCCAAGCTAGTGGGAGAGATATAAATGATTATTGATAAGCCGGTCGCAGTGGCTCACGCCTGTAATCCCAGCACTTTGGGAGGCCAGGGCAGGTAGATCATGAGGTCAGGAGCTTGAGACCGGCCTGACCAACATGGTGAAACCCTGTCTCTACTAAAAATACAAAAATTAGCCAGGCGTGGTGGCAGGTGCCTGTAATCCCAGCTACTCAGGAGGCTAAGGTAGCAGAATCGCTTGAACCCTGGAGGCGGAGGTTGCAGTGAGCTGAGATCGCGCCACTGTACTCCAGCCTGGGCGATAGAGCGAGACTCCAAATGAAAAAAAAAAAAAAAAAAAAGAAAAGAAAATGAATCACAAAGTGGTCTTTAGGGGTTATTACTATTCTTATTTTATGGGGAGGTGAGGCTTCCGGGGGAAAGTGGTAAGTAACTGAGGCCCACCTCTCAAAGGCATTTCCTCCAGGTATTTCTATCCTACATCAGCCTTTACATCTCCAAGTAGACGTCCCCTCCTCTGGGCATCTTTCCTGGGCTACCCAGTTTCTATCCTGGCACTTAACAAGTCTGTCCCACTACTAGAACGGATGTTAACTGAATGACTGTAGCACTTTAATTCTTCTCCATCTTAAACCTTTTATACTTTACTGCATCTACTGGCTCTAAGATGTCATCAGTTCTGAGGCCCTTTCATTAATCTGTGCACCATTAAGAAAGGAAAATGCTGTCAATTAATGATGACATGCCTCCAATTGTTACACTCTGAGAAATGCTAAAATATGAAAACTGTGCCTTCAACACAATGAATTATATGATGAAAGCAATTACTGCTTTTAAAAACATCGGAAGGGAAGAAGATTTTATAAATATCTATATAATAATAATAACAAAGTTTTCTAAACACTTACTCTGTGTCAGGCATTGTTCTACAGTACTTTTCATCCATGAGCTCCTATCAGGGGTTGGCAAACTTTTCCTGTAAAGGGACTTGGGTAAATATTTGAGGCTTTGTGAGCCATACTGTCTCTGTCACAATATACGCCTCCCATTGTAGTGTGACAGCAGCCACAGATACCATGTAAAGGAACGGGTGTGGCTGTGTTCCAATAAAACTTTATTTATGGACACTGAAGTTTGAATTTTATATGACATTCACATGTCATAAAATGAGATTCTTCTTTTGATTTTTTTCCCCCAACCATTTAAAATATAAAAACCAGTCTTAGTTTGTGGTTTGTACAGAAGGAGGGAGCGAGCTAGGTTTGGTTCACAGGCTCTAGTGTGCCAATCACTGTCTTATATAACCTTCCTATCAGCCCTACAAGATCGATATGATTATTATTCCCGCTTTAAAGATGAGAAAACTGAGTCTCACAGAGGTAAAGTAACTTGCCCAAATACACACAGCTGGTGAGTAAGCAAGCTGGGATTCTAATCCAGGCAGTCTAACTCTGTAACTTGGTTTTAACAACAATGCTGTTACCTACATATGATTGCCTTCTAATCTTCTTTTATTCTTCGTTACAAAAGTTACACATTTAAGTTTAAAAAGTTCAAATCATTCAGAGTCATAAGGAAGAAAATGAGAGGAACTCCACCTTCCAAAGATAAACACTGTTAAGGGTTTGGACACACAGCTCACACAATGCTGACTACGGTTAGAATGTTCTGAACACTGTGTGACTTTGGACAGATTGCCTAACCTCTCTGGGCTCTTGCCTCTCAAATGAGGAGGTTAGACAGGATGACACAGCTCTGTGGGCCCTGCCAGGTCTGAGCATGGAGATCTGTTTGTAAAGATTGTGCAATGGCAGCTAGCTCTGTCCCAACTGCCTGGGTGTAGAGGGTGAAGTCAGCCCCTTGCCAGTCCCTCAAGGTAGGCCTGAGTGGCTACAGAGTCTCTTCAGCAGCGGCACTAGGGCCTGAGTTGGGAGTCTTAGAAGGCTCCAGGCTCCCTGCTGGGCTGACACCAGGGACCACTCCGTCCAGCGAGAAGAACTCCAGGAAGCTGGGAGGCAGAGGCTTCAGCCAGTGCTGCCAGACATGGGGCTGGCAGACGCGGAGGCCTCAACAGACCCAGGCCCAGCTCCCTCTCTCAAGTCAGACAGGCGCTGGGTTTGGATCTGTGTCTGATGATTACCAGCTTTATAACCTTAGGCATGTGACCTTTGGTATGTCTCCTCTCTGAGCCTCTTGCCTTGCCTATAAAATGGGGACAACAAGCACCTCACAGGATCACTGATAGATTCATGGAATGATACCTGTAATGCACCTGGCCCAGAGGTGAGGCCTAATGAGTGTCAGTGACCACCCTCCTCTCTTCTGACACTTTTCAACAGTACCCTTTGAAACAATTCTACCGTTTCCCAAATTGTGAACCTACTATGTGCCAGGCACTGCATCAAAGGTAGTAGGCTGGGGAGTGCAATGTTGAGAAAAACACACCCCTTGCCCTCAAGCTGACCAACTTAGAACCTGGGGAGAGTACGACAAAGATCTAGGTGACTTGTACACAATCAGAATATACGGACAATGTCCTCCAGACGCAGGAGAGGGAGAAGTTGGAGAAACCAGAGGAGTCTTCACCTGGAAAGACTATGGGGGAGCCCAGAGGGGCCACTGTCTGGCAGGGGGAGGGGGAGGAATGTGAGCAAAGATGTGGGAGAGGACAAGAACATTCTAGGAACACAGGCCCACAGAATTTTCCTGGAGCACAAGAGAGAAAGCAAAGAGAGTGGGAAGCTGAGCCATATAGATGGCCGAGGCCCAGTGGCAGTGAGTTTTGGATTTGCTAAGAAATGGGGAGTTATAGAAGGCTATTGAGGGGAGGAACCCCCATACAGCACAGGGGAGACAGGAAAAACGCCGTGGTTTTTGAAAGAGGGAACATGAATGTGGGGCCCTGCTCCCTCTCTTGAGAGCACCCTCTTTGGGTGTCATCCACATCAGGTTCTTATACACTGTTTTACTTGGTCCTAAATGGATGTTATTCCCAGTTTACAAATGGGGAAACAGAGGCTCAGAAACGGTAAGCTGCTTGCCCAAGGTCACCAAGCAGACAGTGAGCGGGGGCCTCTTTCTGACTGTCATCAGCGGGAGCTCAACTCTTTTCTTTTCCTGTGATCCCAAGAGAGATCCAAAGTCGCCTTTGAGAGCAGGATTAGGACAGGGATTGTGAGCTAGGGCCAACCCTGGCTACACTGAGTCTCCCCAGAGTCCCTGGAGGTGAATGTTATTATTCTTCTCTCCATCATGGGAAGGAGGGGGTGGAGCTCAGCACCATGGGGGCACTTACTCAAGGCCACACATTAAAGGTAGAAAATCCAGGCCAGCTTTTTGGGGAGTGTGGAACCCTGAACCCTTCTTTCCGCTACTCCTCACTGTCTCCAGGTTTATTCCTAAGCAGGACTAGGTAGAATTGGGAACAGCCCAGGTCAGAAAGGCCCAATTCTCTCCCCTGAGTCAACATCCACTGATTTATCTGCTTCACTCCCTCTGGCAGCCAGGCCCACAAGGCCAGTCCCTCACTCCTTCTGTGGTTACAGAGACCAGATTATGCTGGGCTCTCTTTGGCTCCATCCTCAGTCAGAAGCAGCATCTCCACTGCCTGGATTGGGGGCCTAGGTGGCTACACGTTTACCACTTGTCGCCGGGCAGGTGACCCACTGGCCCGAGCACTGTGTGTTAGTGGGCCTTAAAGAGGAGCTCTGCCTGAGTTGGGCCCCTGTCCACTGATGTATCTCATAAGCAGATGGCTTGCAGTGACCTTCTCCCTGGTTCTGAGGCAAGTCTCTGAAAGGCACAGGGGCATGATGATATATAAAGAACCATTCTGCTGGGAAGGGGAAACCCTAGAGATACAGTGAATCATAAAGAGCAGGGGTGAGGTAGGGCCTGAGTTCCCTAAACCCCCCATCTCTCACTTGGGCCTCAAACCATCTACAAAGTGGGCCAGTGTAGACGCACTGTACAGACGTGGGTTTGGAGGCTCAGTAGGGGTCGAGACTCACCTCTGACCATCCAGCAGCAAAATGACAGGGTTCAAGTCTACTCTCTGCACTCTTTCCAGCAAGGGAGGAGAGAGAAAAGCAGGAGAGGCCAGCAGACACCTGGCTCTAGGGCCAGACTGCGCCACTACTACTATGATAACGGCATTAAAAAGTTTTCTTTTCTTTTTTTTTTTTGAGACAGAGTCTTGCTCTGTCACCAGGCTGGAGTGCAGTGGTGTGATCTTGGCTCACTGCAACCTCTGCCTCCCGGGTTCAGCCTCAGGCTCTCGAGTAACTGGGATTACAGGCGCCCACCACCACACCCAACTAATTTTTGTATTTTTAGTAGAGACAGGGTTTCACCATGTTGGCCAGGATGGTCTCGATCTCCTGACCTCATGATCCGCCCCCCCACGGCCTCCCGAAGTGCTGGGATTACAGGTGTGAGCCACAGCGCCCAGCTCTTAAAAAGTTTTCTTTTTGAAAAATTTCGGTAGGGGAAGGTATAATAAATGCTCTTGGTGAGAAAAAAAATGGGACAAATCAAGTCGGTATGCAGTGAAAAGTCAGCAGCTGTAACATTCTATGATTCAACGCAAAAACTATGTTGAGTTCCTCAGCTGAATAAGTAGTATAAACAATTTCTTTTTCTTCTATCTCTCCATACAGGGAGGGCGTTGCCCTTATCTGAGGACCTCTTTGCTGTCCTCGACCAATGTTCAAATGAAGGTAGAAGACGCCCTTTTAAAAAAAAAAGCACTCCATGCCCTGAACTTTTCTAGAAGAATCCAGGCAGAACATTTGCGCAGGCGAAAACACACAAGCTAAGCGAGGCAAATGCAGAAGTTGCCACTGGTGATACAGCTCGCACAGCGACGACACAGGGTGGCCAGCGAAATCCCCTCCCCCAGGAGGGGAGGAAACCGCAGAATGTTCCTGACTCGGCACCCGGGCGGGTGGCGCAATGTTTATGTTTGTGTACCCAGCGCGTCGCGTCGCTGCAGCAGGCTCCGCTGTCCAGGGGGCCGTCACTGGGACTCAGGGCACGGAGATCGCTGGGCGGGGCGGGGGTCTTCCCAAGTGTTGCGATCCAGGTCCTGGCAATCCGCCCACAATGGCCCGGGATTGGATTTTGCTTTCGGCCTATAACGGCCGCGACGACAGGGAGCGAGGGTTGTGGCCGGCTTCTGTTCCGGGTTGGAGGCCCCCAGCCCAGCGCTTAGTGGGCGCTCACTGTGTATACTGCCTATTTGTATAATAAAGAAAGGGATGGAGAAGCTCAGTCTGGAGCCAAGGTGACAGAAACGTGTCGGGCGGCCCCTGGGGGGCGCCGTCGAGTCGCGCTGCGGGTCGCCCCTCACCCCTCCAAACGCCAAACCCTGGAATCCACTGCGGGGCCTTGCGACCCCTCACCGGGATTTCAGCCCCCTGACCTGCCTCCCTTGGCTCCAAGTCTTCCGGGGGCCACAAGACTAGGAATAGCATTATTTCCCGGTGGGAGTTTGCTTGCTCACACTTTCATGGCAAATGTAGATATTTTAAAGCCACCTTAAAGAAAAGTCTGGGAAACAGGAAAGCATTGCCCTGAACCTCTCCGCCCCAACTCGCTCGAGTCGGTCTTGGTAGGGACGACTTTTCTATCGGCAGAGTTGTTCATTTTTCTCTAAACTTCATCTTAGGCGCCTATTTGCTGCCCCCACCCCAGTAGTGTGGTTCTGGGCAAGTCAGTCGCTTCGCCTGGGGAACCTCAGTTTCCCCGCCTGTTAGTGATGAGGAAATGAGGAAAAGGGGCACAAGAGTATGCAAAAGCACAGGAAGCCCCTTTCGGTTCAGGTCGGCGGCCGAGGGGCACGGGGAAGGGGACTCGGGGAGGGAGAGAGGGAGGAGCGGCGAGGCCAAGGCAGGTGGCACGTCGCCCGTTCTCCCGGCCGCTCGCATCCCGGAGGTCAGCCTCAGCTGGCAGCGAGCCCTCCTCCTCCCCGCTGGGCCTGGAGCGCGGCGCGGGTCCGGTCCCTGGGGACGCGCCAAGAGCAGGCCGGACAGCAGGGCGGGGGCCGGGCCGCGAGCCAGCGCGCGGCGAGCGGACCCAGCTCCGAGGCTGATGACGTCTCCCCCTCTGGCTCGGCGGCGCCTGGCCTGGCAGGGCGGGTGACGTCACCGCCCCGTCACGTGATCACCATTCAAACAAACACCCCCCCTCCCCCTGCGCGCGGGTCTGGCCCGCCCCGTCCCCCAGAGGCCGCATATAAACGCGCTCCCCGGGCCAGGCTCGCTGCGAAGGACATTTGGGCTGTGTGTGCGACGCGGGTCGGAGGGGCAGTCGGGGGAACCGCGAAGAAGCCGAGGAGCCCGGAGCCCCGCGTGACGCTCCTCTCTCAGTCCAAAAGCGGCTTTTGGTTCGGCGCAGAGAGACCCGGGGGTCTAGCTTTTCCTCGAAAAGCGCCGCCCTGCCCTTGGCCCCGAGAACAGACAAAGAGCACCGCAGGGCCGATCACGCTGGGGGCGCTGAGGCCGGCCATGGTCATGGAAGTGGGCACCCTGGACGCTGGAGGCCTGCGGGCGCTGCTGGGGGAGCGAGCGGCGCAATGCCTGCTGCTGGACTGCCGCTCCTTCTTCGCTTTCAACGCCGGCCACATCGCCGGCTCTGTCAACGTGCGCTTCAGCACCATCGTGCGGCGCCGGGCCAAGGGCGCCATGGGCCTGGAGCACATCGTGCCCAACGCCGAGCTCCGCGGCCGCCTGCTGGCCGGCGCCTACCACGCCGTGGTGTTGCTGGACGAGCGCAGCGCCGCCCTGGACGGCGCCAAGCGCGACGGCACCCTGGCCCTGGCGGCCGGCGCGCTCTGCCGCGAGGCGCGCGCCGCGCAAGTCTTCTTCCTCAAAGGTACGCCCTCGGGGAAGCTCGGGGCGGGCCGCACACCCCTGAGGTTTTGCCCGGTACCCCTGGCTCTCGGCTCCCGGGGGATCGCCCCACCTGCAGCGCGTGGGCGCTGGAGTACATTTATCTCTGGAACTTGTCATTGGCTTTGTTTGGCTCTGGAAACAAAGACTTGCCTGGGCCTTTCCGATGTAAACTTCCAGCCCTTGGTGGGTGGGGGAGTTGTATGAAGGTGCCGTGTCCCGGTGTCACTAATGGGGAAAAAAAATGTCTTTGTATTCCCAGGAGGATACGAAGCGTTTTCGGCTTCCTGCCCGGAGCTGTGCAGCAAACAGTCGACCCCCATGGGGCTCAGCCTTCCCCTGAGTACTAGCGTCCCTGACAGCGCGGAATCTGGGTGCAGTTCCTGCAGTACCCCACTCTACGATCAGGTTAGTAGGTGTCCCTGCCACAGGGAAGAAGTAAGAACTGGCAAAGGCATGGAAGAGTAGTGCCAGGGAGAATATAGAAAGTGACCTGCAGCATTATTTATAACGGAGGGGACACAGGGATATGATTTATTCCACAGTTAAGTGGTCTGACGGAGCCGAGTCTCCAATTGTAGGCTCTACGGAAATGAACTTGCTGGTCCTGCCCAGGCAAATGGGCTTAGTTCCCTATTTATTTATCCTCCAGCAACAGAACTGAGTTCACTCGGTATCTGAAATTGACTTTTCCAGCAGAAAGTTTTTGTGGGTATGGGCACTGGCCTTGGCTTTGAGCAAGCTTGATGAATGTTGGATATTTCTGGATTTCAGGGTGGCCCGGTGGAAATCCTGCCCTTTCTGTACCTGGGCAGTGCGTATCACGCTTCCCGCAAGGACATGCTGGATGCCTTGGGCATCACTGCCTTGATCAACGTCTCAGCCAATTGTCCCAACCATTTTGAGGGTCACTACCAGTACAAGAGCATCCCTGTGGAGGACAACCACAAGGCAGACATCAGCTCCTGGTTCAACGAGGCCATTGACTTCATAGGTAAATGGAATGGATGCCTGGGGCTTTTCTGCCTTTCTCTTCTCATTTTAGCCACTAAGCCCAACCTCTGTGGCAAGAGCTTGAAGTTTTCTGAGCCTTCTTCCACACATTCAGTATCAGTCTGGTGTGGGCAACATTCCTGTAAAATATGAATTTGATTCGATGTCCCACTTTACAGATTTGCAAAGTGGGGCTCACAAAGTTGAATTGACTGGTCTGAGATCTATCTGCTAAGTGGAAATCCCCAGTCTGAGTTTAAATCCTGTGCCATCCTTTGCACAGTGCCCACGTTGCCTCCATGAACAGTATCCATGTGATGGCATGTGGTGATGTTGACCATTTCTAGACAAGACACACATGACCTTTCTCAGATACACTGTACCTGGGCTTGGGGTGGTTCTCCTGAACTCTCAAGTAACCAGCCGCTCCTTTGGTTTTCCAGACTCCATCAAGAATGCTGGAGGAAGGGTGTTTGTCCACTGCCAGGCAGGCATTTCCCGGTCAGCCACCATCTGCCTTGCTTACCTTATGAGGACTAATCGAGTCAAGCTGGACGAGGCCTTTGAGTTTGTGAAGCAGAGGCGAAGCATCATCTCTCCCAACTTCAGCTTCATGGGCCAGCTGCTGCAGTTTGAGTCCCAGGTGCTGGCTCCGCACTGTTCGGCAGAGGCTGGGAGCCCCGCCATGGCTGTGCTCGACCGAGGCACCTCCACCACCACCGTGTTCAACTTCCCCGTCTCCATCCCTGTCCACTCCACGAACAGTGCGCTGAGCTACCTTCAGAGCCCCATTACGACCTCTCCCAGCTGCTGAAAGGCCACGGGAGGTGAGGCTCTTCACATCCCATTGGGACTCCATGCTCCTTGAGAGGAGAAATGCAATAACTCTGGGAGGGGCTCGAGAGGGCTGGTCCTTATTTATTTAACTTCACCCGAGTTCCTCTGGGTTTCTAAGCAGTTATGGTGATGACTTAGCGTCAAGACATTTGCTGAACTCAGCACATTCGGGACCAATATATAGTGGGTACATCAAGTCCATCTGACAAAATGGGGCAGAAGAGAAAGGACTCAGTGTGTGATCCGGTTTCTTTTTGCTCGCCCCTGTTTTTTGTAGAATCTCTTCATGCTTGACATACCTACCAGTATTATTCCCGACGACACATATACATATGAGAATATACCTTATTTATTTTTGTGTAGGTGTCTGCCTTCACAAATGTCATTGTCTACTCCTAGAAGAACCAAATACCTCAATTTTTGTTTTTGAGTACTGTACTATCCTGTAAATATATCTTAAGCAGGTTTGTTTTCAGCACTGATGGAAAATACCAGTGTTGGGTTTTTTTTTAGTTGCCAACAGTTGTATGTTTGCTGATTATTTATGACCTGAAATAATATATTTCTTCTTCTAAGAAGACATTTTGTTACATAAGGATGACTTTTTTATACAATGGAATAAATTATGGCATTTCTATTGAAATTTCAACGCTTTTATTTCTTTGGCAACCACACCCAATCCCTCTCCCACTAGTGAACTAGGGAAGAATTTCGACAAGGGCCTGCAGAATGTGTTGAGATCTGATCCCATGCCCTGTGGTGGCCCGTTGGTCCCATGAAATGGCTGGGTTGCAAGGGAGGAAGACAAGTGAGTATCATGAAACACCGGACGCTACAGCTGAACTCTTAGTATTGGATCAGTGTGTCTGCCCATGCCCATTTTAGCGGCTCTGTAACCTACCATGTCACCCAGGATGCCAAGGTGTCCCCAGAGCCAAAGCTAGGAGGAAATAGCCACTTGTCTGGATTGCCTTCTTCATTTAATACCCTCCTCAGGTTAATATAAAAAGTCGCCTTCCCATCTCTGAGCTGTGCTGGAGTTATGAGGAGACAAAAGTTTTTCCAAACACATGACATAAGGCAGGTGTGTGCTACCTGCCCCTAGAGAAACTCAGCAAGGCCTTTTGCAAATGAGATGCTGAGACCCAGCATGGCTAAGTGGCAGAAATAGGAGAATTGGAATCTACATCTGTTTCAGACTTTCACTTGCCCGTCTCATGGCTTTTTTTTTTTTTTTTTTTTAGACGGAGTCTCACTCTGTCACCCAGGCTGGAGTGTACTGGTGTGAGCTCGGCTCACTGCAACCTCCGCCTGCCAGGTTCAAGCCATTCTCCTGCCTCAGCTTCCTAAGTAGCTGGGATTACGGGTGCGCGTCACCATGCCCGGCTAATTTTTGTATTTTTAGTAGAGATGGGGGTTTCACCATGTTGGCCAGGCTGGTCTCGAACTCCTGACCTATCTTTTTGCTTTTAAAAAGGCTTTTGTTTTTGTGAAAATTTAAATACATTGGCAAAAAAAAAAAAAAAGAAAGAAAAAAAATCCAAGCACTATAAGCAAATACCATGTAAAGAAATCACCCGCAACAGCCCATCCCCAACCTGACCATTGCTAACATTGTGGAGGACATTCACGCTGGCATTTCTGCATATAGACATGGCATTTTTGGTAGTTGCCTCCTTCATGTCACCTGCTGCTCTGATTTCATAGTTTTGTTGAGATAAGCAATTAAACCTGACTTGTTCTAGGATAATATTCTGAATTTGTACTCCTTTGCCAAGCAGGCAAAAAACAGAAGAGATGTAATTGCTACCAATCCATAATCCAGTCTATAATGTTGCGTTAAGAAACAGCGAAGCTCTTGGATTACTGGCCCCTTAGCGCCCCACCCCACTCTTTGTTTCTGGACAAAGTGCTATGGGAAGCAGAAAAGGAAATATCCCATTCGCCTTATCCATGAGCACCCTGTGCTATGGTTCTGGTCCTGTCCTGTTGTTCAAGGTCTTTACGCAGAATCAGTGTCCTTGACTTTGCCCCTGTGGCTCACTGTCTGCCACTTGACTCCCAGGGTCTGAAAGATCCCTGTGTTCTAAGTTCTAAGAACTTACCCTGGGCTGGCAAGCTCATTTCCTCAGCTGGGTTTCCGATTACAAGTATGTTCATGCCTATCAAAACAAATCGTACCCAGTGTTTTTATCAAAGCCTAGAAATTTACTATTGTAAATATCTCTCTCCGTGGAAATGTACCAGCGACATCGAGTCTGTGACAGATGCCATGGCTGACTTCCCCGTGGGCTAGGGCCTTCGCTTTCTGCTTGGCAGGCACTGGCTGAACCAAAATTAATCTCCAGTGTGATCCACGCAGTGGAAAAATACAGCGGCTGCCTAAGGGAGCCGCCAGTGAAAACAAGTCACTCACTTCTCCCGGCTCAAGCCACTCTGCCTCATGCCAGCCCTGAGAGCCAGGAATGATGACCCCTGATCCCCATGTACCGGAGTCACTGTGTTCAGACCCTCCAGAAAAATCTCATATTTGGCCTCAGACTGCTTTCCTTGGGAAAAAATTAATACCTCGTGATGAAAGATACTTAAAGTCTATTAATGTGTTTCCCAGGAAGAGATTGAAATAAGACTTTTAATACTGATAATGTGGCAATGATGGTTGCCAGTTTTAGAGTGAGCACTGTGTGCCAGGTACTGCTAAGGTTAAGTAACCTTTGACAGCAATACCCATTTTACAGAGGACAAAACTGAGGCTCACTTGTGAGAAAGACATGGGCTGATGAATGTAAAGTGCCTGGCACACAGTGGGCCGTGGAGAAATGTTTCCATCCCCTTGTCTCTGTCCTAATGGCTTCTGGCAGTTCTTCTGGCTCAGTTTTCCCACCCCGTAAAATGACCAATTTGCACTGGATCTGAGTACTGTTCTTCCCATCTCTCTAATTCTGGGATGTAGAAAATGCATCAATGCATACATTATGCTTTTCTGTGGTTTCCAGGCACCCATTATTTCATTATAATACCTCTAACACTCCCCCTCCCCCACCTCCACCGCATCCTCTCCTTGGAATTTTGCAAATCGTAGCTAATTTGCTTTGGACTTGCAGCCTCTGGCGTCCCTTTCCCTCCCTCCCCTGGCCCGTCAGAGGATGACATCATTGTGTGTACACCTTTAAGATTATATAAATCTGTGATCCTACAGTGGCCTCCATCCCCATGGTAACGCGGAGGAGTTTCCCTTTTGTGAGGAAAGCTGTCATGTCACTTCCTGCTGCTGACAAATCAGTTTAGGAGATTAAAATAAAGGGGGGCGGGGTGCCTCTGAGAAGTGCTGGCTGCCGTGGTTTCTGGTTGCCATACACAGAGGCAAACAATGCCGCTGCGGCCCCTCCCCGCGCCCGCCGGGTGGATCCAGGTCAACCCGGGCTGTTTTTCTCTGCAGGTTGCTTTCTGGAGAGCAGGTGGGAGGGCTGCTCACCTCGTTTCCAGAGCTCTGCGGGGTGAGCCTGTTTGAGAACAGCCTGTAGGTGCAGACCAGCAGCCCTGCTCCCCTCTGCCCACCGAGGAGGTGTCTTCCACCCCGTGGAGAACAAAGGGTGTGCTCTCTGCTAGCGCCACAGTGGACAAAACTGCTCTGCCAAGGAAGATAAGCTCATAGCCACCTTTTCCTTGAATGTGGCTTTTAAAGCTAGGCAGGAGGCCCACGCATTCATTCACTCATTCGTTCATTCATTCATTCATTCATGTGTTCAACAAATATTGATAAGTATAGTCTCAGGGGATACTTTGGTGCAAGACAAAATTCCTACTTATAAGTAGCTAAAATTACTTTTGCTATTTTCGCTAAACAGCAAAAGTAATTTTACTTTGTCACTTGCCGTCTCATGGCACTATATATGGGTGGGTTATAGAAATAAGATAATCACAAAATAAGATAAGGATGAAGGCTATGAAGGCAGGATAAACTAAGACCTGAATGATATAACCCAGTTGCCCATTTGAGAGGTGAACTGGAAAGAGGGCTCCAAGGCCAGGAGAGCAGCAAAGACCTGATGTTTGAGAGGTATGTTTGTGGACCAGTGGATACAGCGTGTGAATTGGAGTTGGCTAGACCTGCGTTCAAGTCCTGACTCTGCCACCTGTTAGTGGTGTGTAAGCTATCAAACTCTTTTTTTTTTTTTTTTTTGAGATGGACGCTTGCTCTGCCGCTAGGCTGGAGTGCAGTGGCGCAATCTCAGCTCACTGCAACCTCCGACTCCCTGGTTCAAGCGATTCTCCTGACTCAGCCTCCTGAGTAGCTGGGATTACAGGCACGCACCACCACGCCCAGCTAATTTTTGTATTTTTAGTAGAGACAGGGTTTCACCAGGTTGGCCAGGATGGTCTCGATCTCCTGACCTTGTGATCCACCCGCCTGGGCCTCCTAAAGTACTAGGATTACAGGCATGAGCCACGGCGCCCGGCCTGCTATCAAACTCTTTAACCTCTGTTTTCCCAATCTGTAATACGGCCCAGTAATATTCTCTTGTGACTCAGCTGCTCCCTATTCTGTCCCTCAAGCATGAGCGCCCCTCCGGAGTGGCTCTGGAGCGCTCCGGAGGGGCGCTCGTGCTTGAGCGCCCACAAAAGTGGGCTGCCTCACCAAAGTGACACCCTGGGCGCGCATCAGACAACGCTTTACTCTAGGCCATCAGAGCTTTGGAGCAGTGGCCTCTGTTCTAAGCCCATCTAGCCCTGCTCCACTAACCTGGGGCAAGCTGCTTCCCCTTTCGGGGCCTCGTACCCTCATGTGTAAGAAGAACCTGCGGTGAACCTCATCTATTCTCCTCTCCCACCCATCTGCCAGTGCTAAGTCCCTTCCATACCCAAACTTGGGAGGGTCCTGGAATCCCCAGGGTTCCTGAAGGCTGGTTCAGGGAGACAAAGTGGGAAGGAAATAGACACTTTCTGGGAAGAGGCAGTGAGGGATCCTGGACCTTCAGAAGGTCGGTTGGTGTTATGGAGATGTGACTGGTTCTTGCAGGGATGGGTTCCCCTACAAGGGCCGGGGGGGGACTGCATACTTCTGACCCCTGGGCCCTCCTTCCCTCCCAGCCTGCACAGCCCTCTGCAGTGGAGCACACTGCAAAGATGGGATTTAAAAGTTTCACCAAGATTGACACCAATCATTCACTCATCCAATAAACATATTTTAAGTACCCATGGTTTGTAAAACACTCAGTAGATGTGAAAATCATACCACCAAAGGAAATTTTGAGATTCTGTTCCAAATACCTGGGACAAAACTGATAGGTCCAACTAGTTAGTGTCTGTATGACTTTGAGTGGATTATTTCTCCTCTCAAACCCTCAGTTTTGACATCTCTAAAAAGGGAGTTGGACCCTCGTGTGGGGTGGGGCGGAGGAGTGGCGAGCACCCCCCCCCCGCTCTGCTGGCCTCTGCGCGCAAAGCAGCCTCTCCTTCCGCCGGGGCCGCCGGGCCTCATGGAAGCCCCGGAGGGCGGCGGAGGGGGGCCTGCAGCGCGGGGCCCCGAGGGGCAACCGGCGCCCGAAGCCAGGGTGCACTTCCGAGTGGCGAGGTTCATCATGGAGGCAGGTGTCAAGCTAGGGATGAGGTCCATTCCCATTGCCACTGCTTGCACCATTTACCATAAGTTCTTTTGCAATACCAACCTGGACGCTTATGACCCTTACCTGATTGCCGTGTCTTCCATTTACTTGGCCGGCAAAGCGGAAAAGCAGCACCTGCGGACTCATGACATCATCAATGTGTCCAACAGGTACTTTAACCCGAGCGGTGAGCCCCTGGAATTGGAATCCCGCTTCTGGGAGCTCCGGGACAGCATTGTGCAGTGTGAGCTTCTCATGCTGAGAGTTCTGCGCTTCCAGGTCTCCTTCCAGCTTCCACACAAGTACCTGCTCCACTACCTGGTTTCCCTCAAAAACTCTGAACCGCCACAGCTGGCAGCGGACCCCGGTTGCCGTCACTGCCTGGGCCCTGTTGCGGGACAGCTACCACGGGGGTCTGTGCCTCCGTTTCCAGGCCCAGCACATCGCGGTGGCGGTGCTCTACCTGGCCCTGCAGGTCTACGGAGTTGAGGTGCCCGCCGAGGTTAAGGCTGAGAAGCCGTGGTGGCAGGTGTTTGGTGAAGACCTTACCAAGCCAATCATTGATAATATTGTGTCTGATCTCATTCAGATTTATACCATGGACACAGAGATCCCCTAAGGTCCTGGCCCAGGCCTGTCCAAAGAGAAGCCCAGGATGGTCGGCTGCCTGGGGACATTGCCACCACGTCGCCATGACGGCTGGTCCTCAGAGGACCAGCTGGGAGGACTGGTTGTGCTGCTGGAGAAGGGCTGGAGAAGGCGATGGCATGCTGCCGCTTTGACAGTCCCTAGCAGTCGCGGTGCAGGTGATGGGAGCCGCGCCTCCAGCGGCCAGGTCGGGAGTGCACTGCGTGCAGCTGATCCAAGGCAGCCATATCTGCTTTTGTCCTTTGAGAGGACTCTGACTACAATAGAGGCCTGACATCAATGAAAGGAAAATCATGAAATCGATGAGACTGAATCCCTAGGGATTTTTTAAAAGCCAGATCTATAGCGAGAATGAATGTGCAACATGGCTGAAATCTATTTTGTGTAATAAAAGGTGATGCAAGTCAAAAAAATAAAATAAAATAAAATAAATAAAAAGGGAGTTAAAGTATTTACTTCATGGCCAGGTGCGGTGGCTCACACCTGTTAATCCCAGTACTTGGGGAGGCTGAGGCAGGCAGATCACCTGAGTTCAGGAGATCGAGACCAGCCCGACCAACATGGTGAAACCCTGTCTCCACCAAAAATACAAAATTAGCCAGGCATGGTGGCGCATGCCTGTAATCCCAGCTACTTGGGAGGCTGAGGCAGGAGAATCACTTAAACCTGGGAGGCGGAGGTTGCAGTGAGCCGAGATTGCGCCATTACACTCCAGCCTCGGCAACAAGAGTGAAACTCCATCTCCAAAAAAAAAAAAAAAAAAAAGTATTTGCTTCACTTCACATGGTAGCTGTCAAGATGAAATGAAATAGTATATATAAAATGTTTTGCACAGTGCCTGACACATAGTAAAGAATAAATGTTAGCTATTTTAACCATCATTGTCATTATCTTCATCATTATAAGGGAAATATGAAAAAAGGAAACAAACTCATATCTCTAGCCTAGACCTCTCCCCTAACTGCAGACTTGAATAGCCAGTAGCTTCCTTGACATTTCCATTTGTTTGTCAAATAGACTCTCAAATTTGGCAATTCCAAAAACAAACCTTTGCGTCACCCAAAACCAGCTCCTTCTGTAGTCTTCCCACCTTTGTTAATAGCAACTTCATTCTTCCATTAGTTCAGGTCAAAAACTTTGGAGACACCCTTGACTCCTCCCTTTCCCTCATAACCTATATTTAATTCAATGGCAAATTGAGACAGGTCCACTTTCAAACACATCCATTTCCCAAATATATCACTTCTCATCATTTCCAAAACTACTTCTCTGAGCTAGGCATGGTGACTCATGCCTGTAACCCTAGCACTTTAGGAGGCCGTGGCAGGAGGATCACTTGATGCCAGGAGTTTGAGACCAAACCTACCTCTCCGGTTCAGCCACCATCATATATTGCCTAAAGTGTTGCAGCCTCCAAGCTGGCTTCCTTGCCTCAGCACAGCCCCTCTATGTCTATTTTCAACCAGCAGGCAAAGCTATCCTTTTAGTGTTGCATTTAGGGCATTAGCTTCTGAGAACAAATTCTAGTTTCTAATTCCCTACAAATGTTTTTATCTTCATTATTGAAGATTTTTTTTTTTTTTTTTTTAGATGGAGTCTCTCTGTCACCCAGGCTGGAGTGCAGTGGTGTGATCTTGGCTCACTGCAACCTCCATCCCCCTGGATTCAAGCGATTCTCCTGCCTCAGGCTCCTGATTAGCTGGGATTACAGGTGTCTGCCACACTGCCCGGCTAATTTTTGTATTTTTAGTGGAGACAGGGGTTCACCATGTTGGCCAGGGTGGTCTCGAACTCCTGACCTCAGGTGATCCACCTGCCTTGGCCTCCCAAAGTGTTGGGATTACAGGCGTGAGCCACTGTGCCCGGCCTCATTATTGAAGAATTTTTCCTGGGTAAAGAATTCAAGTTTTGACCTTATTTAATCACTTTGAAGATACAATCCATTGTCTTCTGACTTGTTACGTCTGCTGAGAAGTCAGCTAACTGCCTTGTTGTCCCTCTGAGGGTGATCTGTCTTTTTTCTCTGCTTTAGGAATTTCTCTTTGTTTTTGACTTTTAGCAGTTTTATTTATAATATGCCTATAGTTTTTTTTTTCCTGTTTATATTGCTTGTGATTCATGGGGTTTTTGAATCTGTGGTTTGATGCCTTTCATTTGCCTTGGATAATTCTCAGTTATTATTTCTCCTTTCATTTGCCTTGGATAAATCTCAGTTATTATTTCTCCATTTATATACTTTAGCATATTAAACAGAATTAATGTGTGTAACCAATAACTATCTGGATCCTTGTGTTTATTTCTGTTGCCTATTTTTTCTCTTGATTTTTGATTATGTTTCATTTTCTCATATTTTTGGTTGTCAGGCATTGTATATGAAAAATTTTAGAGATCATTTGAAGCTTAAGATAATGTTATTTTCCATTTGTAGGAGGTGTCTAGGGGTGTTAGGAACCCCACATCACCTTAATCCAAGCAGAGATTGAGATGAGTTGAGATGACTTGAAGCTGGGCTTTAGATCCTGTTATGACTGGTTCATTCTTAGTCCATTGGTGTATCCCTTTGGAGTTTCAACTAAAAGCTTGGTGAATCTACCAGACCCTCCAGCCTGGATTTTTTTTTTTTTTTGGGTAATACTCCCAAAAGTATGGGGGTGTGCCAGGATCTCCCTTGGTGTGCCCTGAGCTTTAACTTTCATCCCATTAGATCCATGAGTCTTTTAAAAGTTCCACTCAACTTCTCAGCCTTTGATCCTTTTATTTCAGAATTGGCAGATACCCTTTGGGGAAAAGAGGTCCCAAGGGCTGTGTTCATCCCTCTGACCGACCTTCCTTCCTTCCTTCCTTCCCTTTCCTCCCTCTCTTCCTCCCTCCCTCCCTCCCTCCCTCCTTTCTTTCTCTCTCTCTCTTTCTCTCTTTCTTTCTTCTTTCTTTCTTTCATCTTGAGGCACAGTTTCACTCTTGTTGCCCAGGCTAGAGTGCAATGGTGCGATCTCGGCTCACTGCAACCTCCACCTCCCGGGTGCAAGCCATTCTCCTGCTTCAGCCTCCCGAGTAGCTAGGACTACAGGCATGCACCACTGCGCCCGGCTAATTTTGTATTTTTAGTACAGACAGGGTTTCTCCATGTTAGTCAGGCTGGTTTCGAACTCCTGAACTCAGGAGATCCACCCGCCTCGGCCTCCCAATGTGCTGGGATTACAGGTATGAGCTACTGGGCCCAGCTCATCCCTCTGACTTTTCTTTTCCCAGGTCTTGGTCCCAAAGTTCCTCACTGCCTTTTAGTGTCATAATGCCTTTAAACGAAAATATGTTAATATTTTGTCCAACTTACCTTGTCCTCACCAGTAGAATTGTTCTGAATTCCGTGCTCTGCCATGACTAGAAGGGAGTCGGGCTTTTAAAAATCCAGAGGGAAACTTTTAGCATATCAGATAATTTTTCTCCTCTATTCAAACCCTCTCATGGCTCCCATCTCACTCAGGCTAAAAGACACATCCTAACAAAGGCTACAAGACCTGATACTATCTTGCTGCACATCTCTGACCGCATCTTTGCCACTCTCCTCCCTCATTCGTCTCTTCTAGCCAGCCTGGCCTCATTGCTTTATCTAGCGCTGGCAACGTTCACTCCTGCACTGGGCCCCATGCTCTTCTTTCTGCCTGGACCTTGGCCATCCTGCCCTTAGAACAGTGCTTGGCGTGCAGGGGAGTGCTCAATGAATGTGATGGATAAGTGAAAGATCTTTGCAGGCTGCGGACAATTCCCTTCCCTCCTGGGTGGGTCCTGGGTCCAAGCTAGGCGGAAGTGATTCTTTGCTGCTCGACCAGCCTCTTTCCCTTCCTCATGAAGCAGTTTCCCTTGGAGACCTTCCCATAACACACAGTGGTGTGCAGATGAAATAAAGTGTGTGAAAGCGCTTTGTAAGCAGGAAGCCACACGAGGGTCCTGGCTATTCAAGACCGGGGCCATCCTGGGGCTCAGCTTCTGGGGTCAGGGCTTTGGGTCTAGAAAGATAATGGGAAAATCTACTTCGGGGACTCCACTCTGAGCCCTGTCCTCCTACCACTTCCCCCATATTTCCTCCCTCCCGTCCGAAGGAGAATTCCCCATGGCGTGTGCCTCCAACGAAGAGAAGAGGGCAGTGAGTGATTCATGGGGAAATCTGTAGGGCTGCTCGGGGCTTATGACTCACAGCTTCTCCTCCAATAGGAAGATTCAACATCTATGCTGAGTCTCCTGGAAATCTCTTTCGTCAAGGCCTCTAGTGACCGCTGGGGATTCTTCTCGGGACTCCCGCAGAGCTCTCAACAGCCACCTTCCTGGCACTTGTCACTGCGTAGTTGTGTGTCTCCTGCCCAATAAATACATACGGAAAGGAAGAAGGAAGACAGGCAAGGATGGAGGGAGGCAGGGGAGAGGGTCTTGGCCTCCCTCACCTGACTGTGAGCCACCTGAGGGCAAGATTGTGCCTTTTTCATTTCTGTGTCCCCAGCCCCCACTGCAGGGCTAGGCACATTGTTGAGGAAGTGAATGATTGAATACATGAAGGAACACTTTGTGGGCGAGGGACCTCCTTCTAGGATATGACCAGCCTGGAAGAGCCTCAAGGCAGTGGCAGCGTTTGGGGTCCTGCTGTGGGTGTTGCTAGGGAGGCTTTGGAAGACAGTTCTGGTGGAGACACATGCTCTAGCTCCCGCCCACAGTTCAGTCAGGGAACCAACCATACTGAGCTATTAGTAGTGCCGGGCCCTGCATGGGACGCTGGGTGCACAGGGATGGGAGAGACACGGTTTCTGACCTCAGGCTCTCCTGGCAAGTGGTGGAGACTGATGCATTGGCCCATGATTTTGCCACAGTGATCTGGGGGCTGTAGGTGAGGTGCGGGCAGAGCAAGGGGGTGGAGAAATGCAGGGAAGAGTGGGCAGAGGAGAGAACAATACAGGAAGGCTTCCTGGAAGAGGTGACCCTTGAGCCCTAGAAGGCTGAGCACGTGGCACAGGAAGGACTCCCATCTCAAGTGTCGAGGGATGACCTGATGCCAATTTATTGCTGTTCCATAGATTTTATAAGAGGAATAAAGGCCTCAGGACTTGTTCCAGGCCCAACCTTCTTCCCTAGAACTGAATTCCCAAGAGCCCTCATGAGGGTCCCTGCCCTTATGCTGCTATTTTACGCAAAAAGGATCAGAGCCCCGTGTCCCCTGCGGTGGGTGTTTCAGAGTGTGGGCACCGGGCTGCTCTGAAGCCAAGGAAATGACCAGCCGGGAAGAAGGACTGGAAAGCACTAGCCTGTCCGCTGGCCCCAGCTTCCCTCAATGTCATCATCGGATGAGCAGTTTAGGCTGTTCTCCCTTCACCATGAGCCAGAGGAAGGGTCTGTTGTAGGTTTCACTGGCCACTCTCCTTCGTCGTGTCCTCATCATCATCAATGACTTAAGACTTTCTGAGCCATAGCCAAAGACTTCAGGCAGCAGCTTTGTGTTCTAGCCCCAAGTGTAGCATTTCCTTGCTGTGTGACTCTCAGCAAGTTACATCACCTCTCTGGGCTTCAGATTCCTACTTATCTGCTTTATTTTTTGAGACAGGTCTCACCCAGTATTTGCTTTACATATGTGACTGATTTAGTACATCCATCTAGCCTGCTTGGTGGGCTTATTATTATTGCCACGTTTAGCAAACCATTGATAGAGTTTGGATGTTTTGTCCCCTCCAAATCTCACCTTGAAATGTGACCTCCAGTATTGGAGGTGGGGACTAGTGGGAGGTGTTTGGGCCATGGGGGTGGGTTCGTCCCTCATGAATGGCTTGGTGCTGTCCTCGGGGTAATGAGTGAGTTCTTTTTTTTTTTTTTGAGACAGAGTCTCGCTCTGTCACCCAGGCTGGACAGTGCAATGGCTTGATCTCGGCTCACTGCAAACTCCGCCTACTGGGTTCAAGTGATTCTCCTGCCCCAGCCTCCTGAGTAGCTGGGATTACAGGCACCCACCACCACATCGGGCTAATTTTTGTATTTTTAGTAGAGACAGGGTTTCACCATGTTGGCCAAGCTGGTCTTGAACTCCTAACCTCAAGTGATCCGCCTGCCTCGGCCTCCCAAAGTGCTGGGATTACAGGCATGAGCCACTGTGCCCAGCCAAGTGAGTTCTGACTACGAGTTCACGTGTGATCTGGCTGTTTATTTATTTATTTATATATTTTTTAAGATGGAGTCTCACTCTATTGCCCAGGCTGGAGTGCAGTGGCATGATCTCGGCTCACTGCAATCTCTGCCTCCTGGGTTCTAGCAATTCTCCTGCCTCAGCCTCTCCAGTAGCTGGGATTATAGGCAACTGCCACCATGCCAGGCTAATTTTTGTATATTTAGTACCGACGGGATTTCACCATGTTGGCCAGGCTGGTCTTGAACTCCTGACCCCAAGTGATCTGCCTGCCTTGGCCTCCTTAAGTGCTGGGATTATAGGTATGAGCCACTGCACCTGCCGAGATCTGGCTATTTAAAAGAGCCTGGCCCTTCCTCCCTCTCCCTCTTGTACCCTCTCACCATTTGATACACAGGCTCCTTCCTTTAGCTTCCACCATGACTAGAAGCTTCCAGAGGACTCACCAGAAGCTGAGCAGATGCTGGCACCATGCTGCCTGTACAGCCTGCAGAGCTGTGGGCCAAATAAACCTCTTTTCTTTATAAATTACCCAGTCTTGGGTATCCCTTTATAGCAATGCAAAACAAACTAATACACCATGTCACCTGGAGGGAGTAGCTGAGGCCTGGAGAAGGAGAGGACTTACCCACAGCTCAGGTTTAACACAGTGTGTGGTCCAAGACCTAAGCCTGGCAGGGCCTTCCACTGTACCAGGCAAGACAAGGGTGAATCCCACCCTCACTCAGGGGCCTAACATCCCCTTTAAGGTTGGGGAAAGTAGGAAGTACCAAGGATGGCACTAAATGAGAAGCTCCCCCAAGGACTCCTAGAATAAAGGTTCATGTGTCCTGTGTCCTCAGCACTTGATAGACCACTTACAGACCATTGTGACAGACCATTGTGATGCTGACTATGTAGAGATTCACAGACCACTGTGACACTGACTATGTAGAGCAGAAAGGCTGGTTGTTCCCCAGGCTCTAGTCTTCCTTAGTAATAGGCTTTTGGCCAGGTATATGTCCACATTCCCCAGCCTCTCTTACAGCCAGACATAGCTGTTTGAATGTCAAACCTAATGTGTGTGCAACTTCCAGGGAGTGTCCTTAAAGAGAGGGCTGATACATTTCTTCCCTGTTTTGTCCTTCCTGTGGTCTGGAATACAGAGTGATGGCTGGAGCTGAGGCAGCCATTTTTAGCCATGAAGTGATGTCGGGAATGACGGCAGAGCAGAAAGACAGAGGGAGTCTCCTTCCCTTAGGACTGTTGAGGGGCAATTCTCCATGGCATTCTTATACCTCTTGTGACACCTTTTGCGTGGAACCATCTTTTCAGGATGTTTATATGACAAATAGCCTGGGGGAGCAGGAATAGTGTCTCACTCTGGAGCAGAGGACAGATTTATTTCCTGACCAGGATTATAAAGATAATGCCTTTCTCCAGGTTGAATGTTGACCGGGTTCGTTAGCAGCCTCTTATGCTTATAAGATTAGGAGTTTCCTAAGCTCAGTATATCTCAGCTCTGACATGAGCCCTGTGTGCACAGGATCCACCTGGGCCTCCTGCTCCAGCCCCATGGAACTTAGGAGGCAAGTAAACCAGAGCAAAGATAAAGCTTGAGCTGCCTACTGTGTTGTGAGTAATAAAGTCCTTTGTCTCTGACCTAAGAGTCCTGAGTCTTCTGCTGGCATCTGTGCAATTGTGGTAAGCTCGTTGTTAGTTTGCAAGTAGGAGAAAAGAAATCTCAGACCCTTCATATGTCTGACAAGGACTTCATGGAGCAGAGCACTATCATTAGCTCTGGTGCACTTTTTAAAGTTTTCCTTTTTCTAACTTCATTGAGATAATATTTATTTTAATAACTATATCTCACTTAAGCTTACAATTTAATATATTCTGACAGATTTATACAGTTTTGTATATTTTTAAATTTCAACAATTGTTTGCAGACTGTATTATACCTACCAATACATTCAAGATATGGAACATATCCGTGGTCAAAAATTCCTTTGTGCTCCTTCCCAATCAGTCCGTAACCTCCCCACCTTAGCCAACTAGCATTATGCTTTCTGTCACTGTAGACTAAAGTTGTGATTTCTAGAGTTTTCTATAAGTGGAATTATATAGTATTCCTTTATTGTGTCTATTTCAATTAGCATGCTTTTTGAGATTAATCCATGTTTTCGTGTGCATCATTGGCTCTTTTTAAAAAAATTTTTTCAATGGACTCCATTTCTTAGAGCAGTTTTAGGCTCATGGCAAAATTGAGCAGAAGGTACAGAGATTTCGCATATACTCCCGTCCTCACATACACATAGACTTCTCCACTGTCAACATTCCCCACCAGAGCGAGTGGTGCATTTGTTACAGTCTGTTAACGACACTGACACATCAGTATCACCCAAAGTCCATAGTTTACATTAGGATTCGCCCTTGGTATTGGACATTCTGTGGGTTTGGACAAATGTCTAGTGATAGGTATCCCCAATTGTAGTATCGTACAGAGGAGTTTCACTGCCTTCAAAATCCTCTATACTCTGCGTATTCAGCCCTCCCTCCCCATAACTCCTGGCAACCACTGATCTTTTCACTGTCTCCGTAGTTTTGCCTTTTTCAGAATGTCATATGGTATGTAGCCTTTTCAGATCAATGTGTTTCACTTAGTAATATGCATTTGAGATTCATCCATGTCTCTTCTATGGCTTTGATAGCTCATTTCTTTTTAACACAGAATAATATTTCATTCTCTGGATGTATTACAGTTTATTCACTTACCTGCTGAAGGACATCATGCTTGCTTCCAAGTTTTGGCAATTGTGAGTTTGGATGCTATAAACATCCACATGCAGGTTTTTGTGTGGAAATATTTTCAATTCCTTTAGGTAAATGCCAAGGAGCACAATTGCTAGGTTGCATGGCAAGAGTATGTTTAGTTTTGTAAGAAGCTGTCAAACTGTCTTCCAAAGTGGCTGTAGCATTTTTCATTTTCACCAGCCCTGGATGAGACTTCCTATTGCCCCACATCCTCTCCAGCATTTGGTGGCATCCGAGTTTTGGATTTTGGCCATTTAACTAGGTGTGTAGTGGTGTCTCACTGTTGCTTTAATTTGAATTTCTCTGATGACACATGATGCTGAGCATTTTTTCACAGGCTCGCTTGCCATCTGTGTATCTTGTTTGTAAGGTATCTAAGGTATCTTTTATTCATTTTTAAAGTGGGTTGTTTCCATACTGTTGAATTTTAAGAGCTCTATGTGTATTTTGGATGACAGCTCTTTATCAGATATATCTTTTGCAAATATTTTCTCCCAACCTGAGGCTTGTCTTCTCATTCTCTTAAATCTGGTGGGCTTTTTGTGTGTGTGAGCAAACTATATTTTTATCTTTCTGTGTTGTTTAAGCTACTGTAATGCTGGGCTTTTATTGGAAATGAACCTAATTCTAATACATGAAGTCATATTTCTGCTTAGAACCTTCCAGTGGCTTACCATCTTATCCAGGATAAAGCCCAACTCTTTCTGTGTCCTCCATAGGCCCAGCTAGTCTGGGTCCCTGGCAGAGTGGTTAAGAGCAAGGCCTGTGGTTGAAATTCTAGTGGTGTTGCTTCCGACGTCTGTGACCTTGGGTGTTATTTAACTTCTCAGTGTCTCAGGTTCTTCACCTGTAAAATGGATTAGTAATAGAATATAGCTCATCAGGTTGTGGAGAGAGCCAAATGAGTTACTGTAGTAAGCACAGGGTCAGGCACATGGCAAGCCCTCACTATGTATCACTACGGCATAGTGTCCCTTCCACTGACCACTGCAAACAACACGTGGGTTTTCTTTCATTTCTTCAAGAAACTGAGCTTATTCCCACTGCAGAGCATTTGCACCTTTCCCTCTGCCTGGAACTCTAACCCCTCCACCCAACAAACGCACACCACACATGCTCACATACACGCTCAAATACATGCACTCACACATGCTCACGCTCACACATGCTCACACCCACCCACACATTCCCGAACACTAACACACACACACACGCTCACAAGCAACCACACACACTCACGCACCCACACACACATAATATTCACACTCAAATATGTTTGCTCACACAATACCCATTCCCATACACACTCACGTGTAGTCACACGCATGCACACTCACACCCAACATATTCCCACCCCTCTCCACACCCTTTTGTGAGGCTGGCTTCTCCCCCTGCTCAGAGGGTCTTATCGATTGCATTACCTCCTGTGGCCTACGTTGCTCTGTCTGGGCACCCATTCCTTGGTTAATAGCACCCTCAGCCATGGCTGTCCCATGCAGCCTGCATTCCCTGAGCACGCGATGCCCCAGGCACTGCTCCAGCTTCTGTTAAAGGGTGACTGTGGCTTAGTGTTATCTTCCTGACGGCCCTGTAGGCACTGGTAGGGCAGGGACCTTGGCGGTCTTGTTCACAGCTGTTTCTCCCAGCACCAGCCCAGGCCTAGAACATAGCAGGTGCTCAAGAAATGTGTTTTGGAATAAATGGATGAGTGAATGAACAGGACCATGGACTGTCTGCACAGGAAGGTGCCCTGTGTACACCACCTGCCAGTGGGAGCTGAAGTGTAGTGAAGGGAAAGTTCCCGGCACAGGTCAGAATGTGGGTGGGAGGGTCCTGACGGGAACCCCACTTCCTGCCTTGCTGCTGGGGTCTTGTCAGACCCTGGCAGGCAGTTCTTCTTTCTCTGCTTTTCCGCAGGGCAAGGATGTGGCCTCCACATTTTTGCGGGCTAGTTCCAGTATAGACCTCTTCTTCTTCCTCTTCTGTTTCCCCTTCAGAGAGCAGGCAGGCAGCCTGGGGCTGAATCTAGGTAGAAGCACCAGCAAATGCTTCTGCTCCTGTGTGTAGCAATGACCTCCAGGTGTCTTGGCCTCCTAGCCCTGGCCCCTCACCCTGGGCAGGGCACCTTCCCACCTTCTCCCTCCTAGACCGGGCTGTGAGGGTCAAGCTGCAAGGCTGGGCTGAGGATCTGGAGCCCCCTGGGTGCTCCCCAGGGATTTTCTCTTTTCTTTTCTTTCTTTCCTTTCTTTCCTTCCTTCCTTCCTTCCTTTCTTTCTTTCCTTCCTTCCTTCCTTTCTTTCCTTCTTTCTCTCTTTCTTCCCTCCCTCCCTCCTTTCTTTCTTTCTTTTCTTTCTCTTTCTTTCTTGCTTTCTTTCCTTCCTTTTCTTTCTTTCTTTTTCTTTCTGTTTCTTTCTTTCTCTTTCCTCCCTCCCTCCCTCCTTTCTTTTCTTTTCTTTCCTTCCTTCCTTCCTTTCTTTTTTGAAGCAGAGTCTTGCTCTGTTGCCCAGGCTGTAGTGCAGTGGCATGATCTCGGCTCACTGCAACCTCTGCCTCCCGGGTTCAAGTGATTCTCCTGCCTCAGCCTCCTGAGTAGCTGGGATTACAGGCGCCTGCCACCACGCCCAGCTAATTTTTGTGTTTTTAGTAGAGACGGGGTTTCACTGTGTTAGCCAGGCTAGTCTCGAACTCCTGACTTCAGGTGATTCACCTGCCTTGGCCTCCCAAAGTGTTGGGATTACAAACGTGAGCCACCGCACCTGGCCAGATCCTCCTTCTTTATTGGCCTTGGATTCTCGTTGACTTGATAGGAGGCAGGTAGAGGACAGATGTCAGATCGGGGGAGAAGCAGACAGTTTGAAAATATTTTGAGAATGTGTATTCAAACTTCTTGTTTTCTTGTTCTCAAGCTCCAGGTCCCAATAGAAAAATGCAAATTTAACAAAAATCTTCCTGGGACGGAGTGGGAGTTGCGGAGGAATAGATGCAAAGATAGGAAAGTTTGGAACCACTGTGTTAGGAATGCAGAGGACAGCTTGACATTTATATAGTGAAAATGATATGCTAGCCATGAGCGCATGTGTGTGGCTGTTTTGGGTGTGTTGAAGTGTATAGAAGGCAGAGAGGGTGTGGCTGTGTGTTCCCGTTTGTAGAGACACCCGTGAGGCTGTGGGTGATTGTCCAGGTGTGGACGCGTGTGATGGTGCTGTGCTTGCCTGAGTCAAGGACATAAGCATGCCAGTGGGTGGAGGAGGGGATGTCTCTGGGTGGGCGGCCCGGGTGGTCCTGGCCTGATAGGCGGTTTGAGGAAGCTGAGTGGGAGCTGACCTCCTCTGCGCCCTTGATCAGCCAGACCAGCAGAGCTCTTGGTCATTTAAGGCGCTGGCCCAGGCGGGCAGCTCATTAGGCCGTCTGGAGTCGAGATGGCGCAGGCCTTCCGGGGGGCAATGAAAGCTATTTTTAGTGGCCTGGGCTAACTCCCAAATCCTACTGACTATTTCTGGCACCAAAAGATTGCCCTGAAGGATGTGGAAAATTTTCATGTCAAGAATGTCTGGTTTCCCTTTGGCTAAGCAAGGGTGGAGCAGGGAGAGCAGGACAAAGGGCTCGAGGCCCAAGGAATTCTGGGAAAATCTCGATAGTGAGAGCATGAATGGCCATTGTCCTGCCCTTTGGAGAGGAGCATGGACTTTTAAAAACAGCTTCGTTACTCAGGAGGCTGAGGCGGGAGAATCGCTTGAACCCGGGAGATGGAGGTTGCAGTGAGCCGAGATCATAACACCACATTCCAGCATGGGCAACAGAGTGAGACTCCGTCTCAAAAACAAAACAAAATAAAAACAAACAAAAAAACCAACAGCTTTGTTATGGGTGACCATCTGTCTTGGTTTGCCAGGGACTGTCTTGGTTTTAGCATGGAAATTCCGGCATGCAGGGCTTTCGGCTCCAGCAGACTGGGACAGTTGGTCACTCCGGCTCCATTTCACAGCTTTTTAAGTTCTAGAAGCTAAATTATAGCAATAGCTTGAACTACGTGTATCATTTTCTAGAATGTTCACAATAACTCTATCAGTACGGACTGTTATCATATCCATTTTACACATAAGAAACTGAGGCACAGAGAAATGCTGCAACTTGCCTTTGCCTGGCCGCTATCTGAGTGATGAAGCCAGGATTTAAGTTCTGCTGTGATGGTGTCAGAGTCCACCATTGTGCTGTGTGGAGAAATAATATCTTTGGACCCAGGAAAACCTGGATTCAGTTACTTCCTAGAAAGACACTGTATTTGGCCAGGTTGTCAGGAGGATGAAAGGAGAAAAGCAGGTGCTTAGGAGGTATTGGCTCTCTCTCTGTCTCTCCACGGTCTTGTTCTGTCACCCGGGCTGGAGTGCAGCGGTGCGATCATGGCTCACTGCAGCCTCGGGTTCCCTGTCTCAAGTGATCCTCCCACCTCAGCCTCCAAAGGAGCTGGGACTACACGCTTGCGCCACCATAACAGGTACATTTTTGTATTTTTGTAGTGACAAAGTTTCGCCATGTTGGCCAGGCTGGTCTCGAACTTCTGGGCTCAAGAGATCTGCCCGCCTCGGCCTCCCAAAGAACTGGGATTACAGGAATGAGCTCCCGCACCCGGCCTCTGCGCTCCACTTTTCTTAGCCGTAGAATGGGCTGATGCGCGCATCCTCGCAGGGCTCCCGGAAGGGAGGGTTCGGGATATCAAGCGGGATCTGCTCATCTGACTTCTCCATCCAAGTCTCTCTCTCCCTAAGCAAGTCGGGCCCGGATCGCCAGTGAGCCTGTGCGCTGGGAGCCGAGGTGCGGACGTGCGTGCTGCCCGCCGGGGCATGAATGGAATGCGTTTGGCCCCAAGAGACGCGCTGTTCCTTCCGCAGGCCGCGCGTCAGCGACGGAGCAGGAAGGGCCGGGGCCTCCTCGCGTTCCCAGCGGCCCCCTTCGGGCTGGGAAAGTGGCTGAACAATAGGGCTGCCCGGCTGGCTGCCGGGGCTGCTGGGAGGCACTGATGCCCGGTGTGTGTGTGTGTGTTTGTGCGCGCGCGCACGATCCTTAGGGTGGGAGGGCCGTAGAGCCCTATGCTTCCTGACTGGGAAAAAGGAGGACTTCTTACTGGGTTTCCCCAAGTGTCAGGCCCTTCTGCCTTATCTCATTTGGTACCCACAGCCACCCTGGGAGGGAGGTATTAGCATTCTTATCTGCAGACCGGGCCACAGAGGTGAACTGGATTTGTGTCTTGCTTAGAATTTGTGCATTGCTTAGAGAGGGTCCTACGGGCATTGGCCGTCTTTCAACAGTGGGTTTGGGACTGAGGCTGGGGCCAGGGAAGAGGCTGGAAAACCTTGTGAGGTGCCCTGGAAAGCATGCATATGCACACAGCATTTGCTAAGAGGATGAGCTCTCCCCAGATACCAGGATAAAGCTGTGAGGTCACCAGCACCTCCAGTTTACACCTGTGTAGACCGGCTCAGAGGAACCTGCCCACTCCCACTGCAAGTTCATATTCACTTTGCCAAAAGGATTTAAATAATTAATTCTGCACTTTCTGTATAAATGGCACCTCCAGGTAATCAAAAGGTTGATGAGTGGAAGTTTCTATTTCTGCTTAAAAATGTAGAAGGGATGATAGACGAGAAAGTCATCGTTCCACTCCTGATGGGGTAATGGAACCAGGCATCGGGCAACTACAGCTGCTCACATCACAAAGAGACAGACAAGCAGGTAGTATGAGCCTGTGGGTGGCAGAACGTGGCACCGCCCATGGAACAGTCTTGCCCAAAACTCTAACCTGAATCTGAACAAGTCCCTAGATTCAACCAGGTTACAGAAGCTACAGGGGACAGAGGAACATGTTAAGTAGCACCACAGGGATGTAGTCAGCATACTTCAGATGTGGGACATTCTATAGATAAACAGCTGGTCTCTTCTACAAATAAAATGCAAGAAAAAAGACAGACAAATAAGAACTAAACAAGTAAATAAATAAATACAGGGAGGGGGAATCTGTAGAGTAAAGCAGATTAGGAGACATGCCAACCAGTCACCATGTCTGGATCTCATTAGGACTCTGATCTAAACAAACTGTGAAGCAAACTCACCAATCAAACAAATGAAAAACATTATGAAATAATCAGGAAATTCAAATAGATCCCTAAGAACCACCTGTCTGGGGCCTAGTGATCTGTTTTGAACTGATGCTCCCAGATGGCATTCTTAGGATCAGGCAGCTTTGAGACTTTGGGTAAAATGCGAACTGCCCCCCAGGCAGTGATAGCTGCCTGTCTCCTGCTCCTTGGAGCTCCTGGAGGATAGGTACTTGCTGAAAAAGTCAGTTTGTGGGAGGAGAAAGGTAGAAGGGAGAGACTGTTTTCTCTTTTCTGTTATCTACCCTCAGGGTCACCTTTTTTTTTTTTTAGTACCTGTGTCTTATAGGTAGCCAGGGTCTGGCCTTTTTATGCTGTCTGCCCAGAACCCAGTGTTTAAAATTAGGCCCCCTGAGCCAGGGGCTGCTGTAATCCTGCTCCCTGGGAAACGATGTAAACAACAAGCTTCTGTTATTGGGACATGAAGCGTGTGCTTGAATCTGGAGTGGCTCAGGATGGCTGATGTCTCATTCCCTCTGAGGACAAACATGCCTTGGTTGGTTTGGCCCCACTGAAATGCAATGTTCTGCCCAGGCCCACAGCCCTGGGTGCTGGGACTCAGGAATGGGTCTCTGATGTGCAGCCTGCATTTCTTCTTGAGACGGTCTTTTCATTTCAAAGATGGAGATATGGAGTCCCTATGAGTCCCACCCAAGGTCAAACAGCAAGTTATTATTATTTCAGACATATGGGCCTTACAAAATCCTTATTTAAAATGGTTTGCTTTCATTTTTACAGATTAAATCACATCCATAGCAAAATACTTAAAACTACTCAAGGGTCTGATCTGTGACAAGTGACTTCTTTCCAAGCCTACCCTCAGTCACCTCATTCTCTATTCCAGAAACTGATGTTATCAGTTTCTTGCATGTTCTTCCAGAGATGGTCTGTCCAGGCTTTCTCAGGGGGCTTCCACAAGAGAACTAGGTCTCAATGCCCCACGGCATCTGTGGTGTGTAAGGAATTAACTTCTCTCCTCTACATCCCTATGGTTCCAGGTCTGCGCCATCCTTGGGTAAACTGAGCATTAGTCCCTCATGCCATTTTTCTCTGTTCTGTGGTTAGACCCTGACCCCCAGCTGCTCAATGCAACAAATTATCCCATACCTTTCTTTTTCTCTTACATTATCTGGGAGATGACTTACTGTGAGTATGTGGAGAGCTGTCTCTTTGTTACGACTGTCTGGTACCCACTGCATGCATGCATGTAATTCATTGATCTGTTTCTTCTAATGGGCACGGAGGTTGTTTCCAGTCTTTGGCTTCTATTCACGATACTTCAGTGCACATTCTCTTGCACATATATGAGATCACCAGTGAGATAAATTCCTGGAGGAATAGGACCTTACTAATTCATGTCAGAACTGGACCTAGTGCCAAAGCTTATAGAAGCAAGGACAAAAAAGGTATTGCAGCCAGTCTAGGAAGAGCCTGGCTTAGGATATCTCATTTGCATCCTAGACATGCAAACAATCTGGAAGTTAGGGGAGAAGAGCAGGAATTCCAGATGTTCAAGGAGGGGAATGAACACTTATTGTGGGCCTGCTACATGTTAGACATTTTCTATTGACTTATATAACTCTAGCAGAAGCTCTGTGAGGTGGGTGCCTGTTCCCGTTTTACGACAGAAGTTCAGAGAGGTTAAGTCATTTGTCTGGGAGCACACAGTGGGGAAGTGGCAAAACTGGGATTTGAACCCAAGTGAGTCTGAATGCAATGCCTGTGCCCCTTTTGCTCCACCACCTGATGAGTTGCAAATATTTCCAGAATGGCCAAGGGTCAGGGCTGGCGCGTTGCCCATCTCCAGACAGTGTAATTCACATCACTGCCTGTGTGCTCAGCACCCCAAGGCATTGCGCAGTGCACACTCTATGAGGTTGCACATGGCAACCCCATCAGCGTGCCACACTCTGCTCTCAACAACAACAAAAATCAATAAACAAAATCGCAGCTCTTAAAAGCATGCAACGGCAAAGTAGTTGATTTATGAATTCTCTTATTTGTTCATTAAGAAGTTATTAGTAGGCTAGGTGCGGAGGCTCACGCCTGTAATCCCAGCACTTTGGGAGGCTGAGGCAGGCAGATCACGAGGTCAGGAGATCGAGACCATCCTGGCTAACACAGTGAAACCCCGTCTCTACTAAAAACACAAAAAATTAGCTGGGTGTGGTGGCGGGTGCCTGTAGTCCCAGCTACTCGGGAGGCTGAGGCAGAAGAACGGCATGAACTCGGGAGGCGGAGCTTGCAGTGAGCCAAGATCGCGTTACTGCACTCCAGCCTGGGCGACAGAGTGAGACTCAAAAAAAAAAAAAAAAAAAAAAAGAAGTTATTAGTAGACACAATGAGGATCAAAGTTGAAAGTCTGTTCTCTCTTCGGTCATTGTGATTTCAAGATACCCTATGATCAAAAAGGATGATAAGACTGACTCTGTTGGGCAAGGCTTCTTGGAGGAGGCAATTGGGCTGGGCCCTGAAGGATGAGTAGGAGTTTGGCAGATGGGAGAGGAGTGAATAGAGGAGTGAGGGTTAAGGAAGAGCATTTCAGGTGTGGAGGATAGCCCGCAGAAGGCACAGGGTGTACAGTAAGCAGAGTCATTGGGGACTGCAAGCGGTTCACTGTGACGTGGGTGGAAGGAGTGAGGGAGGAAATTAGGGGTGGGGCTGGTGGCCAGAAAGGCAGGTCGGGGGGGGCCCTTGGAGGGACTCAGACCACACAGACACATGCACTTGCGTGTGCAGGAGACAAAGAAGGAATCCTGGAGCCCCTACCAATCCTGATCCTGACTGTGTGACCTTGGACAAGGCCTCTTTGTCTGCACAGTAGGTGATAAAATGGGCTGTGATAAGATCCAGCAAAGGTGTCCTTGGCTGGAATCGTGTGTGCAGAGGCTGGAGCACACAGGTCACTCAGTTGTCCTCAGCAATGTGTATGCATCTCATTTGCCATGACCTGCCCACCTGGGAACTCCCGGGTGTGGAGAGTGGCATGGTGGGGCCAGGGGAAGGACAGGCTGGGGCTGGATTAGCTGGTCTGGCTTAGCTGGTCTGGCTTCTGCTGGGCTGGGCATGCAGGCTGCTGGGAGTCTCCTTCCCACCCTCCCTGGGTGGCTCAGCTCGCTACACACTGCAGTGGGGGTGGGGTGGGGACAAGAACGAGGAAGCCTGGCATTGAGTGCCTACCGTGAGCCAGGCCTGTGCCCAGCCCTTTATTCACTTGTCTTGTTTAACTCTCAGCAAATCAAGTACCTCATCCCCATGTCACAGATGAGGAAAATATGGACCCAGTTTGCACAGGGTAAAAGGTTTCACGCCATGGCCATCTACTCTGGAGTCTGAGTTCTTTCTATTCATCTTTGAATCAGCAGTTTCTTTATCTCCACTCAGGCTCAGGAGAAAATGGAGGCAGGGGCGTGCGTTCACAGCCCCCCTCGATTTAGGCACCTTCCAAGCTTGGGGTAAAGGTAGGACCTGGGAGTATCGCCATCAACCTCTTGCACTTTATGCTCTAGTAGTTTCCTACTTCAGGCCTCCATACCTTTGCATATGCTGTTCCCTGTGCCTGGAATGTTCTCATTCCTCTCTGTCTGCCTGGCAAACTCCTATTCATCCATTAAAACCCAAATTAACCAGCACCTTTTCCTAGAAGCTGTCCATGACTTTGCCCTAGGCAGCAGCATTCCCTCCTTCCTCTGGACCACCTGTGCCCCTTGTAGCATCCTTTTACTATGCCCCTTTTACCATGGGTTGTGATTACATAGAGGCTTGTCTGTCTTCCCAGTTAGATGATTAGCAGTATCAGGGCAGGGACTGTTCTTGTTTACCTCTGGACCCTTAGTCTTTATTACAGGGTCCAGGACATAGTAGGTGCTCAGGAAAGCCTGGTGGAATTTTTTTTTTTTTTTTTTGAGACAGAGTCTCACTTTGTGGCCCAGGCTGGAGTGCCGTGGTGCACCCAGCCTTCTGGTGGAATTTAATTGCAGCCTGTTTGATTTGTGTAACTAGATATTGTGTGTTCAGCCAGCGCTCTGTGCAGCACCATTCTAAACACTTCTCATACATTTAGTTCTCACAACACCCTGATGAGGTTGGGTCATTATCTCCACTTCACTGAAGAGGAAACTCAGGCTCAGAGAGGTTAAGTAACCAGGTCAAAGCCTCACAACCAGGAAATACCATAGCCAGAGCCCGGCTAGCGTGAAGTCCCCGACCCTAATTTATGTATTGCTATTTCCCAAACTTGCATGAGATGATTCAAACTGGTACTTGGGTTAACATTTTTAAAAAATAAGTATTTTATTTTAATGTATATTAGAAAAAATACTGTGTCAAATCCATGTGTTCCCATAAACCTTTATTCTTATAATTTCACTATTCATCTTTAGCATTAAGACTATATTCACTCATTCACCTAAACTTTAAAAATAGTTATATATTTTGGAGGCTGGGCACTGTAGCTCATGCCTGTGAACCCACCACTTTTGGGGGCCGAGGTGGGTGGATCACCCTGAGGTCAGGAGTTTGAGACCAGCCTGGCCAACATGGCAAAACCCTGTCTCTACTAAAAATACAAAAATTAGCCAGGCATGGTGGCACATGTCTGTAATCCCAGCTACTTGGGAGGCTGAGGCAGGAGAATCACTTGAACCCGAGAGGCAGAGGCTGCAGTGAGCCGAGATCACGCCACTGCCCTCCAGCCTGGGCGACAGAGTGAGATTCTGTCTCATAAAAAAAAAAAAGTTATACATTTATGTTCATGTGGATTAGAAAACACATGTAACCTGTGCGTCAAACCCATGGCCTTTGGCTATGACATAATTTCCTTTTAAAAAATAAAGTTAGGCCAGGTGCAGTGGCTCACACCTATAATCTCAGCACTTTGGGAGGCTGAGGCTGGAGGATTGCTTGATCCCAGGAGTTTGAGACCAGCCTGGGCAACACAGCAAAATCCTGTTCTCCACAAAAAGTAAAAAAAAAAAAAAAAAAAAAGTTAGCTGGGTGCCATCGGTCATGCTTGTGACTCCAGATACTTGGAAGGCTGAGGCGGGAGGATTGCTTGAGCCCACTGCACTTCAGCCTAGCAACAGAGCAAGAACCCGAGGCTGAAAAATAAACCCCAACCAAAACCACTACAGTGTTACCAGAGTGAGTGGGGGAGTCTTGCCCAGGCCCCACTGGAAGAAGTAGGGGGCAGACAGAGCAGGGCCTGAACCAGGGTTGAAGGCTGTCCTGGTCCCAACTTTCCCGTTACCTAACACCTGTCCACTCCCCACCCAGCAGCCAGAGTGAGCTTCAAAAAATGTAAATCAAATTCTGTTCCTCTGTAGTGAAAACCCCCAATGGTTTCCTGTTGCTTTTTTTTTGAGATGGAGTCTTGCTCTGTTGCCCAGGCTGAAGTGCAGTGGCATGATCTCGGCTCACAGCAACTTCCGCCTCCCAGGTTCAAGCGATTCTCCTGCCTCAGCCTCCCGAGTAGCTGGGACCACAGGCACATGCCATCAAACCCGGCTAATTTTTTTGTATTTTTAGTAAAGATGGGGTTTCACCGTGTTAGCCAGGATGGTCTCGATCTCCTGACCTCGTGATCCACCCACCTTGGCCTCCCAAAGTGCTAGGATTACAGGTGTGAGCCACCATGCCTGGCCCTGTGGCATTTAAAAAGGAAAACCTGGCCTGCCCACTGCCCCAACTTTGTTTTTTCTCCTTCCCCCTTGGCTGTGAGGCAGGAACCATGTTGGCTCATTCTCTTTCCAGATCTTCACTCAGACGGTTTGTCCTCAGCCACCTCCCCAGAGAGGCTGCCTCCCCACACCAACCACTCAATCAGAAGTTCTTCTAAGTATTCACGATCACTTCACCTTGTTTAATTTAGATGAGCAGAGCCTCTAACATTATCTAGATCTTTCTTTCTTTCTTTCTTTTTCTTTCTTTCTCTCTCTTTTTTCTTTCCCTCCTTCCCTCCCTCCCTTCCTTTCTTCCTTCCTTCTTTCCTTCCTTCCTTTCTTTCTTCCTTTTTCTTTCTTTTTCCCTCCCTCTCTCCCTCCCTCCTTTCCTTCCTTCCTTTCTTCCTTCCTTCCTTTTTCTTTCTTTTTCCCTCCCTCCCTTCCTTCCTTCTTTCCTATGTATTTTTGTTATTCTGTTAGAACAAGTACTCTTTCTTATCACTGCTGTGTCCTCAGAATAGTGCCCGGCACATAGTAGGTGTTCAATCGATTTCTGTGGCCCACACTCATGTGTAGGTGGTGCTGGGGGGCTGGGGAATGGGCTTATGCTCTGGCATCCACAACTGTGAGGTGAGCTTCTCTGAAAACAGCTGACAGATGCAGGGTTCTCCAGCTGAGCAGGCCAGGCAGCTGAAACCAAAAATGCAGACGGGATTAGTCACCCTTCGAGCCTGGTAACGCTGGCACCGAACGCACTCCCCATCCAAACACATCACAACAGTGTGGGCCCTGGTGTCTCCAGGGCCCCAGGTGGCAGCTCTGGCATTTGGGAGCTGGCAGCAGCCTGGCAGGGTGGGCACTGGGGGTGGGGGCAGTGGTGGGCGAGGAATGAGGTGGGCCAAGGGCCACAGATAGCGTTCCCTGGACTGGAGACAGGCGGTGGCAAGGGAAACTGGAGGCTTCTGAGGACAAAGCAAACCTTGAGAAAAGGAGACTTGAAGAATGAGCTCAAAGCTGTTGAAAAATAAAAATTCCACTCATAAACCAAAGCAGAACACTCGGTTGTGAAATCAATTTCCGTGACACTTGGTGTGCTTGAAAGGGGAAATTCTCTATTTTGTTTCTTTTTTGTTTTATAACAGCTTTATTGAAATATAATCACATACCATATACTTCACCCACGCAAAATGGACAATTCCATGGTTTTTCGTATATTCACAGTTGTGCAACCATCGCCACAATCAGTTTAAGAACACTTTCATCACCCCAGAAAGAAACCCCCTACCCCATCAGGAGTCACTCCTCTTCCCCTTCACCACCAGCGTAAGCAACCGATAATCCAATTATGTCTCCATAGTTTTGTCTACTCTGGACATTTTATATACATGGAATCATACAAGATGTGACCTTCTGTGACTGTTTCCTTACACCTAGCTTCATGTTCTCAAGGCCATCCATGTCATGGCATATATCAGTACTGCATTCCTTTTCAGGGCCAAATAATATTCCATCGTTGTATGAATAAACTATATTTTATTATTCATTCTTTGGTTGGTGGACATTTGGGTTGTTTCCATTTTTTTTTTGCTATTATGAAGAATGCTGCTATGAACATTTGTGAGTGTACACGTTTTTGTGTGGATGTATAATTTCATTTCTCTTGAGTATATACCTAGTATATTCCTAGGAGTGGAAATCTGTTTTCTTTTTTTTTCTTGAGACAGAGTCTCACTCTGTCACCCAGGCTGGAGTGCAATGACGTGATCTCGGCTCACTGCAACTTCTGTCTCCTGGGTTGAAGCGATTCTCCTGCCTCAGCCTCCCGAGTAGCTGGGATTACAGGCATGCGCCACCACGCCTGGCTAATTTTTGTATTTTTGGTAGAGATGGGGTTTCACCATGTTGGCCAGGGTAGTCTCAAACTCCTGACCTCAAGTGATCTGCCTGCCTTGGCCTCCCAAAGTGCTGCGATTACAGATGTGAGCCACCATGCCCGGCCACTATTTTCTTTTAAAAAGAAAAAAAAAAAAAAAGAAAACATTCCCCAAGTCAAAATACATACAGTGTGGAGTGGGTTTAAGATGTCAGTGGCAGTGGCAACAGCACAAGTGAACTTCACAAGCGTGGGAGCTGCAGCTGTGCCTGGCACATCCCGGAAGCCCAGTGAATATTTCTGAACAAATGCCCAAATGCTCACTCATTCCGTTGTCCCCAGTGAAAAGGCCCAGGGGGTAGAAATGTGACAAAAATGCTACTTGAATTTAATTGATTGTTTTGGGTTTCCTAGACAAAGATGGAGAAGCACCCCCAACCCTAGCCCCGCATGTAAGGAACTCAGTCTAGAGGGAAACGCAGACAAGTAAACCCAGCACCAGGACACAGGAAGGACAGCAGGGACTCTTTTCTGTCCTCCTCACTTTTGGCATTTCCTTCTTGAGCGAATGGCACGTCCCCTAAATTCCTGTTGTGGGCTGCCTCTTGTCTCCATGGGAGAAGCCCCAGTAGGAAGAGAAAGCACCATCTTCAGGAGGATGTTGGCCTGTACTTGGGACACACCTGTCCCTATCTTTGTGTCTGAAGTTGAGGACCTGTTGATCTCTTTTATGAAATAAAGTGTATCTTCCCTATTGCTTTTTTCTGATTGTCAACATACTTCCATTTTTTTCTTTTTTTTTCTTTTTAAGATGGAGTCTCGCTCTGTTGCCCAGGCTGGAGTGCAGTGGCGCGATCTCGGCTCACTGCAACCTCCGCCTCCAGAGTTCAAGTGATTCTCCTGCCTCAGCCTCCCGAGTAGCTGGGATTATAGGTGCATGCCAACACACCCGGCTCATTTTTGTATCCTTAATAAAGACAGGGTTTCACCATGTTGGCCAGGCTGGTCTTGAACTCCTGACCTCAGGTGATGCACCTGCCTTGGCCTCCCAAAGTGCTGGGATTACAGGCGTGAGCCACTGTGCCTGGCCACTTCCACGTATTTTCATTGTACTCCCAAGTACATCCAAACTGCATTGGGTGCCTCAGGTTCCGAGATTAACAAAGAGAGCCCCTATCCACCTGTACCTCCTAGCCTGGTGGGCACGACAGATGGTCCACAAGTAGCCCCAAGGGCCCTTGAAGATATCTGTTTGGGCGCGGTCACTCACGCCTGTAATCCCAGCACTTTGGGAGGCCAAGGCGGGCAGATCACGAGGTCAGGAGATCGAGCCCATCCTGGCTAACACGGAGAAACCTCGTCTCTACTAAAAATATTAAAAAATTAGCCGGGCGTGGTGGCGGGCACCTGTAATCCCAGCTACTTGGGAGGCTGAGGCAGGAGAATGGCGTGAACCTGGGAGGCGGAGCTTGCAGTAAGCCGAGATCGCGCCACTGTGCCCAAGCCTGGGCGACAGAGCAAGACTCTGTCTAAAAAAAAAAAAAAAAAGAAAATATACAACCCTCTGTGTTTTACTGACTTACCAGACACATTCATACACCACTTCCTGGTATGCTTTTTGTTTGTAGAGTTTTAATGTGTTTATTTATTTATTTATTTATTTTTGAAATGGAGTCTCAGTCTGTCACCCAGGCTGGAGTGCAGTGGCGCCATCTCAGCTCACTGTCACCTCCACCTCCCAGGTTCAAGCGATTCTCCTGCCTCAGCCTCCCAAGTAGTTGGGATTACAGGCGCACACCACCATGCCCGGCAATTTTTGTATTTTTAGTAGAAATGGGGTTTCACCATGTTGCCCAGGCTGGTCTTGAACTCCTGACTTCAAGTGATCTGCCCACCTCGGCCTCCCAAAGTGCTGGATTATAGCCATAAGCCACCGTGCGCAGCCCATTTATTTTTAAAGCAGATATTTGCTTGTTCATCTACAAATGTTTATTGAGTGTCAAGTCCTCATTAGGACACAGAGAGAAGTAAAAGTTTCCCTTGACCCTCAATTGCCTCGTAGCCTAGCACGACAGTCAGACATAAATAAATGGGAGCCCTCTCTTTGTGTGGTAGTGGGGGACCCTACAGGGCATAGTACTTCCATTCTCTCTCACATAAAATTTTCTTATTCAGAATCTACAAATACACATACACGTTACTGTAGTCGCAGGTTTGACATATGTTCTGTTCTCATGTGGGTTATATGTAATCTTACAATTTTAACTTTTCAATGTTACACGTATATTTTTGTGTCCAGAAGTGAGATATTTTATATCTTATGCTTCCATTTAACAAAATGGAAAATATACAATAGATCCTTTTTAAAAGGTACTTTTTTCTTGTGATTTTAATAGTAGTACATTTTCAATGGAGAAAATTTAGCAAATACAGAAAAAAAAAGACATGTAAATAAAGACCACTCATAACCTCACACCACCCAGAGACAGGAATATCAACATGTTGCCATCTTTCCTTCTAGTCTTCCTTCTAGGCTGTCTGCTATGTTATGTGTATTCGTATGAAGACACATGTTGTCTAACGTGGTGTTCAAGTCCAATGATACTGGTAGGGGTCTGGGTGTCCCAGCAGAGGGAAACACTTTCATAACACACCTCCCTTCCAGAGGGAGCCTCTATTTCCTTCTCTCCAGGTCACTAACTCACTCTGCAGCAGCCACTAAATGCAGGAGTCCAGGCCACTGGTCAGCCGGTGGCAGGGAGGGTTTCTGGAAGGGCCCAGGAAAGGTTCTGAGCCCAGGCCCAAGGCTGGGGAGTCTGAGTTCTTGAGCCCCACCCCTAGGAGGGTGAGGAGGTGGGGAGAGCAAGGGAATTACTGTTGGGACAGAGAGCGTCTCCCCCAGCCCCCTGAGCCAAGGCTCTAAATAAGGGCCCTGGATCCGCTGTGTCGAGCGACAGCTGAGAATCCCTGTGGCTCGGTGTCCCCACATCCGCTGCCAGAGTCACTGGGGGTGGGGGGTGGGGGGTGGGAAGTGGGGTGCTAAGGAGCCAAGACCCAGCACCCAACCTTTACCAGTGCCCCCGACAGCCTTGCTGAGCAAAGGAACTTCTCAGAGAGAGAGAAAAAAAAAAGGCCCTGGGAATGTTAAACCCAGTCTGTGAAACAGAAGTCCTGCTTCTCTCCATGGAGTGGCAGCGTAACAGTCACCATTTTTCGCCACAGTAGGAAAGAAAGAACAACCATGAGAGGGTTGGTGCTGTGACTCTTCCTGCAGAACCTTCATGACAGCTCTAGGAGGTAGGCGTCCCTGTCCCCATGACAGCAAGGTGGAATCTGAGGCTGGGAGCAGAGGTGACTTGCCCATGGTCACACAGGGCTGGGGTGACTCCCCATGCTCTCCTGTCCCTGCTCCTGCCCGCCCCTGGCCCTGTGTGGGGCTTCCCTCTCTCCAGGCACCGCGCAACCTGCCTGATGGACTTCACCGCCCCGGGTCCCCACCTCTCCCTATCCCTGTGCAGGCAGGAAACACGGGCTCCTCATCTCGGCTTCCCAGCAGCCCCAGTCTGGCCCTCCCATAGAAATATTTATCTAGTGAATGAATAAACACAGAGGGGGCCCTGCACATAAAACCAGGCCGGCCGGGACAGCATCCTCCAGCACAGGCTCTCCACGCCTCATGTGCAGATGCACACATGTGTGTATGTTTATGCGTGTGTGTGTGTGTGTGTGTGTGTGTGTGTGTGTGTGTGCATGCAGGTATGTGTGTGGGGAGCCAGGGGGTGGAGTGGAGTGGTTGGACACACAGACTCGAGAGCCAGACTGCCTGGGTCTGAATCCCAGCTTCTCAGCTGTGTGCCGTTGGGCAAGTGGCTGTCCCTCTCTGTGTCTGTCTTTGCCTCTGTGAAATAGTGGAGGGATAAATAGTCTCTGCCTCATCATTCATGCATGAGCGCTGGTATAGGAGTTAGTCCAGTGCCTGGCACAGAGCAAAAGCTTTTAGAATGCAACAAATTATTGGGGAAACTGAGTCAAGATCACCAGATGAAGTGACTTTATGACTTGTGCAGGGGAGAGGCCACGTGCACCAAGAGGCTTTTGCGAGGAGGTCACACCAGAATTGTTCTGGAACTCTCCTGCCTGCAAGCCTTCGATGGCTCCTCCGCTGTCCTCAGAGCAGTCCAGAGGGGGTTCGTTGGTTGCCTGCAGGGCTCCCAAGGCTCCCTGTGGGCTGGAACCCTGCCCATCTCTGGGGTTTGCCTCTGTGACCCTGCTCTGTTCCCACCTTCCCCACCACGGCCTCCATCCCTTCCTGCAAGTGGATCAGCCCAAACCCTGGAGCTGTGTTGATGACTTTATCTCCCTCCCACCTAGGCCTGCCTCGCAGCTCTTCCTCCAAAATATATGCTGGCTCGGCTGCCGCCCACCCCTCCAGGGCCCACCCCTCAGGACTGCCCAGTTGTCTCTCGCCTGGCCTCAAGTCCCTGCTGGGCTTCCATCCTTGGCCACAAGGCAGCCAGAGGGGTCCTTTGAAAATATGGCTCTGAGAGTCCCACCTCCCCAACACGCTTGGGGGACACCTCCAATGCCTGGCTGGTACACCAAGCCCTAGCTGCTCAGGCCCTGCCACCCCCTCCCTGCCTTCACTCTCTTTGCTTTACCCTGCAGGCCTCCCTCCCAGGTGCCCGCAGAGCCTGGGCACCTGCCCCACAGTGCCAGCATCTCCCCCAGGTCTCTGCCCAAATTCACCTGCTCAGAGAGGCCTTCCCTGGTCTCCCCAACTGGCCCCCATACACACAAACACACACACACATGCACACACACATACATACACAAATACACATAGATATACACACAAACACACACTTACACATACATACACAGGCACAGCATACACACACAAGTCCACATACATACAATATGCCGTCATAGAGCTTACACTTTAGAGAGATGGACAATATTGTAAAGTTTATAAATAAGTGATTTGTGCATTTCATACATAAAATTAAAAAAGAATATAATTTTGGGTGGAAATAAGCACTTTAAAAAGCTAAGGAGGTGGCTGGGCGTGGTGGCTCACACCTGTAATCCCAGAACTTTGGGAGGCCGAGATGGGTGGGTCACCTGAGGTCAGGAGTTCAAGACCAGCCAGGCCGCCAACATTGTGAAACCCCGTCTCTATTAAAAATACAAAAATTAGCCAGGTGTGGTGGCCGGCGCCTGTTACCCCAGCTACTTGGGAGGCTGAGGCAGGAGAATCGCTTGAACCTGGCAGGTGGAGGTTGCAGTGAGCCAAGATTGCGCCACTGTACTCCAGCCTGGGCAACAGAGCAAAACTCTGTTTCAAAAATAAATAAATAAATAAATAGGAGGGAAGCAATAAAGAAGAGACTAAGGTATATATGTCACACACACACATACACACACACACACAGCCTAGTCCCCTCTTCATCTGTTTTCTTAGTTTTTTTCAAAGTGCTCATTTCCACCTGAAATTATACTCTCTGATAATTTTATTTATGAAATGTATAAATCAATTGTTTCTAAGCTTCACAATATTGCCTGTCTCACTGAATGACAGCACAAATATCGTCTGCAGGAGAGAAGGAAGGAAAAAGGAAGAAAGGAAGGAGGGAAGGAAGGGAGGGAGGGAGGGTGGATCAGATCTGGCTGGGCAGAGACAGCAAGGAGGGGAGAGGTGAGCCCGTGCGGGGATATCTGGGGAACAGCCTGGTCTGGCTGGCTCAGAGAGGGTGCAGGGCACTGTGGGACATGAGGCTGGGGGATGACTTTTGGAACAAAATGTGTGGAGCCTTAAATGCCAGAAAAGAGAGCTGTGGAACCAAGGGGCAGATATGCGTTTTTGACCTTAAACCTTTTTCCTCACCCTGGAAGGCAAGTTAGTGTCTAGAAAGAACAGCGGATTCCTCAGGGTCCAGTCCTGTAGAGCTGCTCATATTCCAGCCTCCAGCCCACAGCCGGGGAGGGTGTGGACTCGGGGAGCTGGGGCCAGGGAGGAACTTGCAGCGTAACACCCTCTGGAATGCTGTGGCTGCAATTAACTCGCTCCAGATTCACTCAGTTCCCGTCAGAACATGAAACCAGAGGGAAAAAACCCATGAGGCCCGGACTGATCAGCACAGAACTTAGCAACCGCACAACAAGCTGCAGCTGACCCGTCCCTGGAGCTGAGGTGCTTTCCGGCCAGGCCCAGGGGTTAGGAGCTGGGAGCTGATCTGCTGCTTCTGGCTGGCTTGAGGAGCCCGAGGCCCACCCCAAGACCTCAGGAGGTCCACCTGGCCGGCGCCAGTTGGGTGAAGCTGTGGCTCAGGCTGGACACAGAACCACAAGGGCTCCTGGGAATGGCTTCACTTCCCCATTCCACCACGTGGAGAGACTGAGAAGGGTATTGTTGGCTGGTCCCTGCTCCCAGACTCAGTCACCCTGGACATCCTGGTTTGCTCTGCTGGTTCATGGGTTCACTAGCTCCACACCCTTGCCAGGAGCCCACAAGGGAATCTGGGACTTCAGAGTTTTAGCAATATCCCAATCATCCGGGCATTTCTCAGTGACTCACAGCCTCCCATCTGCTCCATCATTACATCTGGAGGGCCAGGAGCTTGGCCAGCTCCTGACCCAGTTCCTCCATCCTGCCTCCTCTCTCCCAGGCCAGCTTCACACTTACTGGGCCGGCGTGATTGTACCATAAAATATCTCAAGCATATGGAAAAGTTCAGAAAATCATGTTTCGGCCAAACAGCCGTCACTCCTGTTTAATCCTTAATGATCTGCCTGATTTGTTTCAGGGGGTGATGGTGGGGTGTCCCCAGGCCTGTCTGGGGAGGAAGCCCACCAGCAGAGCTAGAGAAGGCTCTGGAAGGGGCAGTATCTTTGTGTGCATTCCAATGCCTATCACATCCGTCGTGGATGTCTAGCAGGTCTCTGACAATAGGCCTGGCATCATAGTAGGTCCTCAGGGAGCAGTGGTTTTCCTGATAGTGTTGCGTCCCACCTGAAAGCCAGTGAGGCAGGCAAGTAGTCTGCAAATGAGGAAAGAGAAGCCCAGATTGGGGCTCAAGGTCACTCAGCCAGAAAGGGGACCAGGACAACGAGCCAAGGCCTTGTTGGGAGCAGAGCGATGACAGCCACTGATGGGCCCCTCTTCCCCCAGTGCCATCCCTTCCTGGGGGTACATGGAGGAGGGCCATCTCCAGGATGAGCCCTTCGGAGGGGAGGCTGAGGGCACCATCCAGCTGGAGAGCAGGGCTTGTGGGAGAAATGGCCTGGATTTCTCTGATGCAGCCATTTGGGGGATTGGAGGCAGAGGCTTCTCCAGGGATGGGGGTCTCCAGGCTCGCTCTGACGACCCCTCCCTCCCTCTGCAGCATCTGTAGTTGGGTCTGCTTGAAACTGCTCCTCGCCCTGCCCGAGTGACGGGGAGTCAGAACAATCTCTTTACAGCTGGGGGCCCAGAGGAGGAGTGGGTCTGGGGCCCAGAGGAGGAGTGGGTCTGGAGCCCAGAGGAGGAGTGGGTCTGGGGTCCAGAGCTCGGGGATGCCAGTTCCCGCATCTGTTTGCTCGACTCCAGAGTGCCTTGACCTAGTCCATAGCGGTTCAGTGCAGCTCACTAAGGATGGCCACCCGTGCTATCCTCCAAGCTGTCACAGGTACCAGGTAAGAGGTAGGGCAGTGGGAGGGGGGGATCCTTCTGGAACCCCAGTCCCCAAGATGGGAGTCCCTGGCCACCACTTCTGAGCTGTGTGGCCCCGGACAGGCAGTTTCTCCTTACTGAGGCTCAGTTCATCCTGTGTGCGCTGTGGGGGTGATGAATGTGGCACATCCCTGGCACCCCAAAATGACGGCTCTTATTACAGTGGAAAGTCCGGGCACACCTGCTACCCTCCCCCCACTGTGTTGTTCTAGAACATTGGTTCTCAAAGTGTGGTCACCGCACCACCCGCAACAGTGTTGCCCAGGAACCTGTTAGAAATGAAAATTCCCCGGCCCCACCTCAGAACGACTGAATCAGAAACTCTGGGGTGGGGCCCAGCGCTCTGTGTTGAACAAGCTTCCTGGGGATTCAGATGTGCACTCAGGATTGGGGACCACTCCTTTAGGTCATCCACATAACCACGACACTTCCCTGCTCTAAACCCTTCCATGGCTCCCAACTGCTTTCTGGATAAAATTGAAAGGCTCTAACCAGCATTCAAAGCCCTCCCCTTGTGGCCCTGGCTGACAGGAGGTGGCCAGCCTGTTTTCCCAGCCCCGTGACAGGCTGCTGGAGGTGACTCATGCCTCGGACCTGTTTACCTGGTGCCCAGCCAGGCTGACAGACAGGGACGAGGGCAGGAGAAAATGACAGAGCACATGCTAACGACGTGTGTGGCTCCTGGTGGCGGTTCGAGGCTCATTCTGTTACCGCCGTGTGAACTGGCCAAGTTGCTTCACTGTCTGGAGCCTCAGTGTTCTCATCTGTCCAGTGGGGATGATAACAGCGCGTCTGCCTAGGTCGGCTAGGACGAAACACGATCACCTGTGCAAAGTGCTCAGCCTGGTGCCTAGCAAACAACAGGTGCCTTAGAATACTAAGGGCCCACAATCCCTTGAGACTGGAGGTTTCAGGATTCTGGGTTTTTCAGGTTTTAAAAAGGGAAATACAGTTGACCCTTGAGCAACATGGGGGTTACGGGTGCTGACCTCCGACACAGTCAAAATCCACCTATAACTTTGGACTTCCCTGAAACTTAATGACTGATAGCCTTCTGCTGACTGGAAGCCATAACATAAATGGTCAGTTAACACATATTTTGTGTGTTATATGTTGTATAT